>NC_000007.14:71900718-72203748 GCF_000001405.40 Homo sapiens
CTGAAGGAGGAATGACTGTTGGAGGGAAAGTCCCAAAGGCTGAGCAGGCATACTGGCAAAGGACTGTGTCGTTATGCTGAACTTTGCTCATTTTAATAGTAAAAAACACACCACTGGGTGGAGATTTAAAATGCTAATGAGACATCCGACATATGTAGTAGCATGTACAGTAACTGTGCACGTGGGCCCAAGAGACCATCCACAACATGCTGAGCAACAATGCCCATTCCAGCCCTTTCATGAATAATCATGTAAGACTCACATAAAAGGAGTTTCCCCAATGCCAGTCAGCACTGTCTCATTCTTGAGCAGCCCACCGGACCCAGCTATCCGAGTGTACTTTTGCTTTGCGATAAACTTCTTTGCCTACTCTTACTTTGGACTTGCTCTCAAATTATTTTGGGTGGTGAAGTCAAGACCCTGAACCAGTCCTCTGAAAACACTATAATTACCAAAATAATAACAATAAAATACCTAGAAATGCATTTAACAAAGGACATGGAAGATCCTTACAAGAAAAACACTAATAAAAGAAATTTTAGATAACATGAACAAATAGAAAAATATTCCATGCTCATGGATCAAAAGAATCTGTATCATTGGAATGCTGCCCAAAGCAATCCACAGATTCAATACAATCCCTATCAAAGTACTAATATCATTTTTCACAGAATTAATAAAAAACAATCCTATAATTCATATGGAACCAAAAAAAAAAAAAAAATAGAGCCAGAATAGCCAAAGCAATTCTAAGTAAAAGGAACAAAGCTGGAGGCATCAACATTACCTAACTTCAAATTATACTACAAGGCTGCAGTAACCAAAACAGAATGGTACTAGTATAAAAATAGATACACAGACCAATGGAACAGAATAGAGAACCTGGAAATAAAGTAACATACCTAAAGCCAACTGATTTTTGACAAAGTCAACAAAAACATATACTGGGGAAGGGACACCCTATTCAATAAATGGTTCTGGAAAAACTGGAGAGCCATATGCAGAAAAATGAAATGACCCTCTCTCTCACCATATACAAAAGTTAACTCAAGATCGATTAAAGACTTAAATATAAGACCCAAAACTATTTAAATACTAGAAGAAAACCTTCAAAAACCTCATCTGGATGTTGACTTTGGCAAAGAATTCATGACTAAGACCTCAAATGCAACAAAAACAAAAACCAACAAACGGGACAATGGGACTTAATTATTACTAAAGAGCTTTTACACAGCAAAAGAAATAATTAACAGAGTGAACAGGCAGCCTGAAGAATGGGAGAAAATATCTACAAACTCTGCATCCAACAAAGGCCTGATATCCAGAATCTACAGGGAACTCAAACAATTCAACAAGAAGATAACAAGTAACCCCATTAAAAAGTGAGCAAAGGACATGAACAGGCTGAGGCTGGAGAATGGTGTGAACCTGGGAGGCGGAGCTTGCAGTGAGCTGAGATGGAGCCACTGCACTCCAGCCTGGGTGACAATGCGAGACTCCGTCTCAAAACCAACCAACCAACCAACCAACCAACCAACCAACCAACCAATCAAAAAAAAAAAACATATAAATGGCCAAAACTCTTATGGAAAAAATGTTCAACATCACTAATCATCAGAGAAATGCAAATTATAACTACAATGAGATACTATCTTACACCAGTCAGAGTAACTATTATTAGTAATAAATAACAGTAAAAAATAACAGGTATTGGAGAGGATGTGAAGAAAAGCAAATAGATGGATAGACCAATGGAACAGAATAGAGAACCCAAAAATAAAGCAACATACCTAAAGTCAACTGAGCTTTGACTGTTGGTGGGAATCTAAATTCATACAACTTTTATGGAAAACAGTATGGAGATTTATCAAATAACTAAAAATAGAACTACCATTCAATCCAGCAATCCTACTACTGGGTATCTACCCGAAGGAAAATAAATCATTATACCAAACTATATGTATAAGTTATATTCTTGTATGTTTATTGCAGCACTATTCACAATAGCAAAGATGTGCAATTCATAAAGAAGTATTGCATAAGGAAAATGTGCTGTATATATATTACGGAATACTACTCAGCCATATAAAAGAATGAAATAATGTCTTTGACAGCCATATGGGTGGAACTGGAGGCCATTATCCTAAGTGAAATAACTCAGAAAGTCAAATACTACATGTTCTAATTTATAAGAGCTAAACAGTGTATACACATGGACATAGAGAGTAGAATAGTAGACATTGGAAGCTTGGAAGGGTAGGAGGGTGAGAGGAAGGTGAGGGATGAAAAATTACTTAAAAATTTTTTAAGTAAAAATTTAAAAAAAATTTTTACTTTTTTTTAAAAAAAGTAAAAAAATTACTTAACGGGTACAATATACTCTCTTCAGATTGCTACATTAAAAAGCTCAGACTTCACCACTATACAATAAAACTGCACTTTTACCCTCTAGATCTATAATAAAATATTTAAAAAGGGCTAACTTAAATGAGAAACCATTTTTTGAAATCACCCAATTGGCAAGATTTAAAATAAATTCTAGTGTTTAAAGTTGCAGGCATCACATTACCTAACTTCAAAAAAATACTATGAAGCTATAGTAAACAAAGCAGTATGTTATTGGCATAAAAATAGACACATAGACCCAAGGAACAGAATAAAAAGCCCAGAAATAAATCCACATATTTACAGCCAACTGATTTTTGACAAGGGTGCCAAGAACACACAATGGGGAAAGAATAGTCTCTTCAATGAATGGTGTTGGGAAAACTGGATATCTAAATGCAGAAGACCGAAATTAGAACTTTATCTCACATCTTATACAAAAATCAACTCAAAATGGATTAGAGACTTAAATGTAAGACCCAAAACTATGAATTTACTATATGAAAACATAAATGAAAAGCTTCATGACATTGGTCTGGGCAAAGACTCTTTTGGGTAAGACCTCAAAAGCACAGGCAGCAAAAGCAAAAACAGACAAATAGGATTATATCAAACTAAAAAGTTTTATACAGGAAAGGAAACAACAGAGTGACAAGACAACCTACAGAATGGAGGAAAATATTTGCAAACTATGCATCTGATAAGGGGTTAATATCCCAAAACATATAAGGAATTTAACTCCATTGGAAGAAAACAAAAAACTGGATTCAAAAATAGGCAAAAGACCTGAATAGATGATTTTTTCAAAATAAGACATATGAATAGCCAATAGGTATATGAAAAAATGCTCAACATCCCTTATCATCAGGGACATGCAAATCAAAACTGTAATGAGATATCATCTCACCCCAGTTAGAATGGCTATGATCAAAAGGACAAAAGATAACAAATGTTTGGAAGATGGGGAAAAAAAGGAAACCCTTATAAACTGTTTGTGGGAATGTACATTAGTGCAGCCATTATGGCAAACATTATGGAGGTTCCTCAAAAAACTAAAAATACATCTGCCCTAAGACCCAGCAATCCCACTACTGGGTACATGTCCAGAGGAAATGAAATCAGTACACTGAAGAGAATCTGCACTCCCTTGTTTGTTACAGCAGTATTCACAATTGCCAAAATATGGAATTAATCTGTCTATCAAAGGATGAATGGGTAAAGAAAATGTAGTATATATTCCCAATGGAATACTATTCAGCCATGAAAAAGAATAAAATCTTGTTATTTGCAACAACATGGATGGAACTAGAGGACATTGTTAAGGGAAATAAGCCAGGCATAGAAAGACAAATACCAAATAATCTCACTTACATGTGAAATCTAAAAATGTTTATCTCATAGAAGTTGAGAATAGAATGGTGGTTATCAGAGACTGGGGTGGGTAGTGGGGAGAAGGAGATGGGGAGATACTGGTGAAAGAACACATAATTACAGTTTGAAAGGAGAAATAAACTCAAGAGCTCTATCGTACAGCAAGCTGACTATAGTCAGTGACGATAGTATTCTAAAAAAATGCTGAGTGGACAAATGCATTCTCCACAAAAATGATAACTATTTGAGGTCACGCATTTGCTAATTAGCTACATTTAATTTATCCCACAATGTACGTATACTTCAAAACATTATGTTGCACATGGTAAATACATACAATGTTACCTGTCACTTTTTTTTAAATGTAAAAATGAGAAGAGTTCATATTTCTGTGGAATGTGTAACAATATACATTTATGGTTTTGGCTTAGAATTATATTTTGTTGTTTTTGTTCTTAATTTCTTTATTTGATTTATTTATTGAGACGGGGTCTTGCTTTTTCTCCCAGGCTGGAGTGCAGTGGCGTGATCTCAGCTCACTGCAACCTCTGCCTCCCAGGTTCAAGCAATTCTCCTGCCTCAGCCTCCTGAGTAGCTGGAATTACAGGTGTCTGTGACCATGCCCAACTAATTTTTGTATTTTCAGTAGAGACGGGGTTTTAACATGTTGGCCGGGCTGGTCTTGAACTCCCGACTTTGGGTGATCCGCCTGCCTCAGGTTCCCAAAGTGCTAGGATTACAGGTGTGAGCCATCGTGCCTGGCCTATTTATTTATTTTTTAAAATTATATTTCAATAGCTTTTGGGGTACAAGTGGCTTTTTGTTATATGGATGAATTATACAGTGGTGAATTCTGAGACTTCAGTGTACCCATCACCTGAGTAGTGTACATTGTACCTAATGTGTAGTTTTTTTTTTTTTTATCTCTATCCCCCCTCCTACCCTCTAAAGTCTCTAAAGTCCATTATATCACTCAACTCAGGATTATATTAACTTTTCTGCCTTCTGTCATAATGTAGTCCAAAAAGATCAGGGCTTTTTGGACATCCTACGGAACATCTCATTGATCCTCTACATCAGTAGCATGCTAAGCTTACTGAGCTGGATAAGCAAGAAATGGATTAGTCCTCTGGAGACCTTGGCAAGACATACGCACTCCATAGAGTGGGAGATAAACTCTATAAAGATTCTAGGGCCTGACATGTCAGTAAAATGTTTAGGAATCCAGTCACCAGAGGTACCTGGAATATGTCCTCTAAAGTGAAAAATGCATCATTATAAAAAAAATCTAGGGTTTAACACTGTGAAATTGTATTAGTCTGTTCTCACACTGCCATAAAGATACTACCCAAGACTGGGTAATTTATAAAGGAAAGAGGTTTAATTGACTCACAGTTCCACATGGCTGAGGAGGCCTCAGGAAACTTACAATTATGGAAGAAGGTGAAGAAGCAAGCACCTTCTTCACATGGTGGCAGGAGAGAGAAGAGGAAGCAAAAGAGGAACTTGCCAAACACTTATAAAACCATTCAATCTCATGAGAATGAACTCACTACCACAAGAACAGCATGGGGGAAACTGACCCCATGATTGAGTCACCTCCCACCAAGTTCCTCCCTCAATATCTGGGGATTACAATTCAAGATGAGATTTGGGTAGGGACACAAGCCTAACCATATAATAAATGGACACTCCCTATCATTGCTGGAAGCAGTGTGCTTGGTGCCATCTTTCTGGCACGCTCTGGTGATCATTCCTATAAATGTGAGACATTGTGGAATCTGGCAGCAGCCGGGCGGAACTTTCCATTTTCCAGGCTTTGGGAAGTGCAATTTAGAGGTAGACCACGTATTTCCCGGGCCATGAGCCAGCAGGCAGTGAGGAGGAGCTTAGATATTGATCCAGAGACTCCGAATGGGTGGGGAGATGCAGATGGAATTCATAATTTAGGGAGAAATATAGTAGTCACTAGAGTTGCAAAATCCAGGGCAATAGGGACAGGTAAAAGTCAGGTCAGAAACCTTGGTTAGGAGCCAGGCAGAAAGCTTGGACGGGCTCATTCATTGACAAAAATGGAGCAGGCATGACAGACCAGGCACTGGGTATCACCGATGGTGGTACCACTTGTTACTGATGGTGACAAGCTTGATGTAGTCAAGCACCAACAAGCTTACACTGTAGCGGGGCAAATTGGACAACCAGATTTTAAAAACCAAGCAAATGAGCAAACTTCAAAATAATGCAAGTTTTCATGAGAATGATGAAGGAAATAGATCTGGCATCCAGACAGAGTTAGGGCAGGGACCCTCATTTCCAGAACAAAACAGAAAGCGAGGAGTAAGACTGGCAGCAGCCAAGGGTTTTGCAGTTGGGTTGCCCAGGTGGCAAATAGGTTCACGATGTCTGTTTTTGCAAAATCAAAAACAAAAAGGCTGCATGTAATGTTCAGGTCTGCAGCTCTGTTTTACGCATCTGGGCATCTAGATGAGGAGGTTTCCCCACCCGGTTCAGGTGACAGAGGCAGGGGGCAGGGCCTGGTGCCATCCTGCCTTTTTGCAGCTTGCTTGCATCCACCCTGGGCCAGGTAAAGCTGACTGAACATGGGGGAGCCATTCTCTGCATGTGGTTTGTGTGTGCTTCCTCTGGCCTTTTCAGCTTTGGATAATTGAACATTTAAGTGATTGTTCCACTTCATAAAGTATGGTCCAGGGAGGCACTGTGCAAATTGCTAAATCAATTTACTTTTAAACAGAAATGAGGTTTAAACACACACACACACACACACACACACACAACTTAAGGAAGGCTTGATGTGTTCCATCGCAAGCGTCTCCAGAATGCTGCACTGCTCTCCCTGTGAAGTCAATATTACAGATTCCTGGGCTGCAAACCAGAAGGACAAATTGGGGGCCATGTGCACAGCCGCATTATTTTTCTCGTTTGCAAAGGTCAGTGATTCTCCATGCATCAACTATGAAGCACACCACACAGCACCTCAGCATCAGCAGAATAAAGCTGTGAGTCAGAACCGGGTTTGGAGCTAGAAAAAGACCTGGATTCCAATTTCAGTCCTTCCCCTATGTGATTTTGGAGCAAACTATTTAACTTCTGGGCCCTGAAGTCTCTTCATGGTTTAAAAGCGATAATACCTACTTTGCTAGGTCTTGCTGAGAATTAAATGACTTTATAATAACGATAGTTGCCAACCTGTATGCAGCACTTATTATGTTCCAGGAACAATGCATAGTGCCCTATCTGTGAATTCTCAGATGTAGATATCCTTAGGAGATGAAAACAATTCAATTCCCATTACGCAGCTGGTATTTGTAATGTGCAGAGCACACACTTCTAGTTCTTCCATTGGTCTACAAAATGACTTGTCATGCGCTTATTTTGTATTCAAAGGTGTTAGATTTGATGATATCCTGTCCCCAGGGACAAAGGATTAATAAAAAATGTGTATGCATATGCGTGTGTGCGCGTGGACATGGGGGCAACGTTGAAACAACTGCTCTTTTGAATCAGAAATGTTTCCTATACCAGATTATTGTGGATTTTAGGTCTAGCTTTCGGGTTATTGCTCCAATCATTTTTACTTGGTTCTGTTACCCTTCAGACAAATGATTTTCTTCTAGGCTTCTCACTTCACACCTCCAGTGAGCTCAGATCAAATCCTCTTTTCTCTGTCTGACCTCCTGAACCCTTTGGTGGCCCCCTTTGTTGCAGGCCTCCACCCAAAGTCAACCAATTTTTGGTCCTCATCTCCCAAAAATCTGAACTCCTGGTATTGCAAAACTTGAATTTTCCCCTATGCTTACACTATATAATTCTTTTTAAAATCATGGGCTTTAAAAAAAATTTGGAATTATTTTTCTTCCAATTTAGGCTCAATTGCAAAACCTGGAGTTTGGTCAAGGAAAGCTACTTTCAATGCGAAGTGAAGACAGAACATAAATCACAAAGTTAACGTCGAAAGGTTTCTGAGAAGCCTGGAGAAAGATCAAACCTAAAGGTGACCCTGGAAGTCTGGCTGGGAATAGAAGATAAAAATTCCTTTCTTTAATTTCCAAAGTTCACTGATTCACGAGAAAAGTAGATATCTTAAAAGGACACGGAAATGCACCAAAAAAAATAAACACAACGATGCATAACTAGCTGTTTTAATTCAACACCCTCTCTCCTGTGCCTGACATGGTATCTCTACCATATCCTCCAAAAAGTAAGGACAGGCAAGGACTGAAGTGTCCTCCTTATTGTGAAAGGGAACTGAGGTAGAGCCTCCTACAGTGGTCAACTCACTAACAGCTTAAGCTGGACAAAGCCAAGTCAATGTGTCCACCCCCAGTTCCAATGAGTCAACTTGGTCCATTGATTCAGGGCAAATCAGGGTGTTCTTAATCTTCTATCCAGGGATGTCCTTTCAGGGATCCAGGGACGTCCTTTCAGGGATCCAGCAACGTCTTATTGAGCACTTCAATGTTTGTTCATGTTTCATGTCTGGAAATATAACCTTAATGACTTCTCCGTGACATTTTATTGATTGATTGATTGACTGACGGGCAGACAAGGTCTTGCTCTGTTGCCCAGGCTGGAGTGCAGTGGTGCAGTCATAGCTGACTGCAGCCTCAACCTCCTAGGCTCAAGCGATCTTCCCACCTCAGCCTCCTGAGTAGCTGGGACAATAGGCAGGCACCAACACGCCCAGCTGATTTTTATTTTTTAGAGATAGGGTCTTGCTGTGTTGCCCAGGTTGGCCTTGAACTTCTGGCCTCCGGAAGTGCTGGTATTACAGGCGTGAGCCACTGTGCCCAGCCTGTATGATGTTTAATTTTGAGTTTCTCATTGCGGCAAGCCATCTTTATTTGTCGAATGTATTTCCTTGCGATAAAATCAGGTATGCAAGGATTCACATATGTTTCTCATGCAAGCACACCATTTATTCCTCCTTATACAAACACTTACTGGTTAAAAAAAAAAAGCAGACTGCTAATAAAGGCTTTCTGTACTTCACATGGATTCCAATGGATTGGAAGCCAATGAGCCTTGGAATATTAGATTGTTATTATCCAATAATAATATTCTAAGTCTGGGCATCTCAGATTGAGAGAATGAAATTAGGCAGACACTCATCTGAACAGGTCTGGTGTACAATGACAGGCTTCCATACCTTTTTGTCATATTTGTGGTGTTTCAAGTTGCAAGGCAGATTTCTCCCCAAGTTACACAGGGGACGTTTGGTATCACTTGGTTTCCATTCTCTGAATACTCTATAGAACACTGTCCAAAGGGGATGCATTTGTCAGGACTGTTGAGTTATGCCATTGGTTCTAACTACCCTGAAGTCTCAGGTGATGATAACCCCTTAGAGACCCAGTGTATTAGTCAGTTCTCACATTGCTGCAAAGATACTACCTAAGACTGGGTAATTTATAAAGAAAAGAAGTTTAATGGACTCACAGTTCAGCATGGCTGGGGAGGCCTCCCAATCATGGTGTAAGGTAAAGGAGAAGCAAAGGCACATCTTACAAGGCAGCAGGCAAGAGAGCTTTGCAAGGGAACTTCCATTTATAAAACCATCAGATCTCAAGAGACTTATTCACTATCACAATAACAGTATGAGTCAGTTATCTCCAGCTGGCCCCACCCTTGACACATGGGAATTACTACAATTCAAGGTGAGATTTGGATGGGGACACAGCCAAACTGTATCACCCAGGAAGACAGAGATTCTATCATCTTATGATGCTGCCATATCAACGCCAGACCTGAGAGTTTGCCATGGTGGGGAAAGATATGGAGAACCACACAGCAGCTCTTAAAGGCTTCCATCCCCAAACCAACCCACATCACTTCTGCCCAAGTTTCATTAGCCAAATCAAGCCATACATCCACATCTAACTTCCAAGGGTTGGGGAGGACATTCCTCTTACGTGCCAGAAGGCGAGGAGATCAGGAAATATTGGTGAACACCAGTAATGTCCGTGCACCAAACGTTTGTTTGTTCTGGCTGTCCTGCATCCACACCTAACAGACAGATGAACCAAGTTGGGCCAACTGCACCCTCTCTCCAGGGTATCAAATCCACTGAAGCCATGTTCATTTACCTGCAATACCAAGAAACTCACTGAGTCTAGAGATGAAAGTCTCTCTAGAGACTTTTGTTCTTGAGTAGAGTTATGTAAGAACAGAGAAAAAAAGGGCTTACTCATTCTAGCAGATTCTAGCAGCCTCATCTTGCTAATCCTGTCAGTTAATTTCCTCTTGTCCAGTCCCCCTGAAGCTACCCTTGTTTCCTGCACCGTTTTTTTCTCAGCTTGTTTCTCGAACTGTCCTATGAACCTGGGCACTACCAATACCCTCCCAATGTATTGCTTTTGTGCTTAGTATTAAGACTCAGTTTCTGTTATTTGTGCCAAACAGTTTCCCAAACAGAAAGCAAAAGCCAAAAAGAAAATAAACGCCCAACAGAAGCAATTTGCTAGGTGCTCTGAGATATACACACAGGTATGAACTTGTAGGGGGAGGTAGGAAAATTGGGTTCCTGTCTCAGGTCTGTCACCTGTCTTGCTGTGTGAACTTCAACAAACCCCCAAATTCATCAGTAAAATCAAAGTCTGGGACTAGTTAATCTTCAAAGTCCTTACTGGCGCCAGCAGACAATGACTGTGCCATTTTGGGATTGCTGAAACAAGCACAAACCCTGTATTTTGGTAGCTGATTGAAACCCAAACCAGGCCCCACACTTTGACAAATAACCTGCCAAGTCTCCACATTTGCTGAGAATCACATTAGCCTAGGAAATCACGGATTGCTTATATTTTACATTTCAAATGTGTAGAGATCTTGGCATTGATCTGAGGGTATGCCATCACCCTGGGGATTCGTCTCAGCAGCAGGGCTGGTATTCACTGCAAGGAACCACGCTCGGTACTCATTGGATGCCTATATACTGTGTAGTATGTCCTTTAGTTTGTTTGAGACCAGTTGGGGTCCTTTATTTGCCCGTCAGCTTAGTACTCGAGAGGCAGAAGGACCTGACATTTCTAGAACATTGTGATGTACTAATATCAATAAAAGTAAATTATTATTATAAAACCTCAGCTCTCCATCTCTGATTAGAACTTCAGGAGCTGGGCAGAGAGAAAAATCCTAAGTATGTCTGTGCAGGTGGGTGTACAGATGAAAAATGAGATGACTTTCCCTGTGAATAAGTTTCACCTCTGATTAAAATTCTGCCTAGAATGAAAGGGCGATGTGCTAAGATATGAATGACTCACTAAATCAGAAGGGCCTCTCTGTACACATTATTCTTCCTGCCTTTGGCTGCAATAAACTCTCTCTCATTCTTACATTGATAAAAATGGAGGTTTTCAGGATATCCTGCCCCGATAAAGTAACGACGAAGATGAGTTTCCATCAGGAGCATGGGTGATCCTTGTCTTTCATACACATGAAGGGGCTTCACCAAATCCCAGAACACCACGGTGAGAGGAATTTCAGGGGTCACTGATTCCATAGGCTATGGTCAGGGGGCAGTCTCTGCTTGTGGATAATTTTTTCCTCTCTGCAAAGCTAACTGGGTGAAACGGGCTCAATCCTAAGATCTGGACCTCTTCAATCCAGGACTAACTAAGTAGGACTTGCACTTTAAAGCGGACCTCAGTGAACGTTAGTCTTCTGTGTGGGATGAGAAGAGAAAGGCTTAAGTGGCCGGCCAAACAGAACGGAGGTCCAGCTGCCTAGTGATTTCAGAAGATCCTGACAAGCTATGTCTTATGGAACCTGAGACTTTCTGCTGTGCCAGAGCCCTTGTTCAGTTCCTCAGCAAATTCTCAGTGGTCCCAGTTGATGATAACAGACAGTGCCCTGCCAAACCAAAGTTCCTGGCAACTGGAAGGTGTAGTTGCTCTAGGATGGATCTCAAGTGTTTCCAATGCAGTTTTCCTGTTGAACACAGTTACAAATGTGATACCTTGCAGCAACTTAAAAACACAGAAACCGGCCACACACACAATTCGTGCATGTTTGTGTTTAGTACCAGAAATGTGGCTTGTAACTTTTCTGTCTTTAATACAAGGTAGGGAATTTTTAAAACAATCCACTGCTTCCAGCTTTGGCTCTTTCTCAGGTAGGACTCACCCAGTAGATATAACTGAGTTCCCGCTGAACTTGGCAGTAGAGAGCGAACCCAGGAATTTGGCAGGAAGTAAGTTATGACTGCACAACCTGAGAAGCTACACGTCTGACTCAGGATGCCATGGGTTTGGGGGTTGGGATTATTCTCCAGATCCCAAGAATCCATGTCCAATGATTCCCTTATGGCCTAAACTATTGATCTGGCAGTACTGAGTTTGGTTTTCAGTATTCAGTTCCAGGGCATCCACTTGTAAAAACAATCCATAAATGAGATTCTCAGACTCAGCAGTTTCTGCCACTACCGACTTGACGGACTAAGCCAGGGCTGTGATTGAGCCAGAATTCCTTGGAGGAGAAGCCTGGGGTGCTAAGCTGATTGTGAAGCAGCACCCATCAAGTGGAGGCTGAGGAGAGCATCCAGGATAAGCACTTGCAGGTGATGAGCTGCGAGTGTTTATCTACTTCGTCAACTTTAATAGGAAAAGAACAAGACCAGGATGTGCATGATCCACTCAGGGTTACCTCGTCCCATCTGGTTGCAGCTGATGACTTTCACCAGAAAGAGGAAAAGTGAAAAGTAAAGAGAAACGAGGAGCTGGCCAGGCCAGGGCATGGAAGATGGCCTTCATCAATTTCCAAATTCTAGCAGTAAGTCACTTCTACTGTGCATTAGGTGAGTTCTCTGCACTTTGCCACAGAAAGCCTTATAGCCACTGTTAGGATTCTATGAGCTGGCTTCTGAAACCTCCTTTAGTGGCAAATTCTTCAAAAGATCAGAGGGGCAGCAACCCCTGAGGATAATATTTCAGCCGAGGAGATGAACAGTGCTCATTGTAGGTACTAACTATAGAATTCAGGGCCAGGCTTCTCTCTATGTATAAGAAAGAAGGATGTTGGTGGCAAAAGCCTTCCCACTCCCATAGTACAATACAAGTTGCAAAAGGTTTTATTGTTTTTTAAAATGTACTTAATGTTTTAGAGACAGGCTCTCCCTCTGTTACCCAGGCTGGAATGCAGAGGTGCAATCCTAGCTCACTGCAGCCTCAAACTCCTGGGCTCAAGTGATCCTCCTGCCTCAGCCTCCTGAGTAGCTTGGACTACAGGCATGCACCATCACACCTAGCTAAGAGATACAGCACCTGGTATTCACAGGTGGTCTCCCATCCATGCACTAACCAGGTCTGACCCTGCTTAACTTCTGAGATCAGAAAAGATCAGTCATGTTCACAGTGGTACATCTGCAGATGCTACAAAAGGTTTTAATACACATTATCCATTCGAGCTTCATCACAAGCCTGTACAAGGAGTGAGTTAGGAATCATTGTCCCTGGCTTATGGATGACAGAAATGATTGACTGAGGTGAAATAGCCAGTCCAAGTTTATGAGCTAGTAAGCAGCAGAACTGAAATTCTTTCACACCATTTCTCCAAAAGCAAAGGTTTTGTTTTTTAACTTTTAAATTCCGGGGTAAAAGTGCAGGTTTGTTACATAGGTAAGCTTGTGTCATGGGGGTCTGTTGTACAGATTATTTCATCACCTAGATATTAAGCCTAGTATACATTAATTATTTTTCCTGATCCTCTCCCTCCTCTTAACCTCCACCCTCCAAAAGGCCCCAGTGTGTATTGTTCTCCACTGTGTGTCCACGTGTTCTCATCATTTACCTCCCACTTATAAGTAAGAACATGCAGTATTTGGTTTTCTGTTCCTGCGTTAGTTTGCTAAGGATAATGACCTCCAGCTCCATCCTTGTCCTTGCGAAGGACATGATCTCATCCTTTTCATGGCTGCATAGTATTCCATGGTGTAGATGTACCACATTTTCTTTATCCAGTCACTGATGAACATTTAGATTGAGTCTGTGTCTTGGCTATTGTGAATAGTGCTGCAGTGAACATATTCGTGCATGTGTCTTTATAACAGAATGATTTATATTCCTTTGGTATATACCCAGTAATGGGATTGCTGGGTCAAATGATATTTCTGTCTTTAGGTCTTTGAGGAATCACCACACTGTCTCCCACAATGATTGAACTAATTTATACTCCCACCAAGAGTATAAGTATCCCTTTTACTACACAAACTTGCCAGCATCTGTTATCTTCTGACTTTTTAGTAATAGCCATTCTGACTGGTGTGAGATGGTGTCTCATTGTAGTTTTGATCTGCATTTCTCTAATGATCAGTGATGTTGAGCTTCTTTTTCCTATGATTGTTGGCCGCATGTATGCCTTCTCTTGAAAAGTGTCTGTTCATGTCGTTTGCCCACTTTTTTATTATGCATCCAACAAAAGTCTAATATCCAGTATATATAAGGAACTTAAACAAGTTTACAAGAAAAAAAATAAAGTTTGCAAAATGGTTTTAACTCTTACTGAAGGATATATACCCTACAACTAAACAATGGTGGCAACAGGACGCTGGTACACAAACACTTCCTGTGTTTTGTTTAAGGCAACATCACAAAGGGATTAGTCTCTCCACTGCCCTGGGTCTCTCCAGGTCAACGTTCAAGAAGCCTAAATTTTCTCCTTTTGCAACCTGAATTCTCTATTATAGGCCTAATCTCACCCCCTTAGGGGGCCAAGGTCTCCAGTGCAACAAAAGCCCAAGAGAGGATTAACTCTCAACCACACTTGCAATGACTGCCTTAGAAATGAGAAAAGCAATGAGGTCATCTCAGTGGGACTTTCTTTCGAAAAGAGGTGAACCAATTAAGTTTTTGACAACCCCTTTCTTCTTTCTCACTTCTTCCTCACATCAGGCTCTGAAACCAAATGTCTAGGAATGAAGACATGGCCTGCTGATGTCAAGCAACTATGTATTAAAATACCAATCTGGGCCAGGCACAGTGGCTCATGCCTGTAATCCCAGCACTTTGGGAGGCTGAGGCAGGCAGATCGCAAAGTCAAGAGATGGAGACCATCCTGGCCAACATGGTGAAACCTTGCCTCTATTGAAAATACTAAAAAATTAGTTGGGCATGGTGGTGCATGCCTGTAGTTCCCGCTACTCAGGAGGCTGAGGCAGGAGAATCACTTGAACAGGGGAGGCGGAGGTTGCAGTGAGCCAAGATCGCTGCATTGCACTCCAGCCCCGCAACAGAGCGAGACTCCGTCTCAAAACAAAAACCAACCAAACAAAAAAAAAACCCAATCTGCCCAAGAGGTAGAGCAGGGCCCTGAGGATAAGGAACTACCTTTAGTGGACCCAGTTTACAATTTCTTGAGAAAGAAAACCCATCCCTCCAACCCATCCTCCCAACTCCCAGGATTAGAGGCACCACTGTCGCTGCAAATCTGCAGCAACATGTGTCTAGCAGCTAAAATGTCACAACCCAAGCCCCACCGTTTCTGGAAATGACTTAGAGCAACAGGGCAATAAGACAATAGCATTCTTCCTCCCTGTCCTGTCCCTCCACTTCCACCTCCAATCCAGCAAATCTTAAAATAGTGAATTTCCCTAGACATCAATGGTAAGGATTATTTGTTTTTAATGTGGGATGTGACACTTGAGCGAAGATTGGAGGTGGGTTCTAGAAACACAAAGGGATGTTCCCATCAAGGTTGCCTAGGATAGTAGTATAAGAAAGAGGATCTGAGTATATACTAGCGATATAAACATATCTGTTAGTCAATCAAACATTCTTAGTCCAGGAAGAGAGAGAAGACTTGGGAGGTAAAATGTAGACTCCTTCCTCAGAGAAGATGGTGAATCAATCGCCTGAAACCAAGCAGAGGACAGGTTTGATACAAATGTGATTTTTTTTAATCAAGAGAAGAGTCAGGCAAAGAGTGGGCAGAGGAGAAGAAAGGCATCAATGATTTTCTGGATAAAGAAAATGTGGTACACATACACCATAGAATACTATGCAACCATAAAAAGGAATGAGATCATGTCCTTGCCAGGAACATGGATGGAGCTGGAGGCCATTATCCTCAGCAAACTAATGCAGGAACAGAAAACCAAATACCACATGTTCCCACTTATAAGTGGGAGCTGAATAATAAGAACACTTGGACACAGGGAGGGGAACAACACACACTGGGCACCTGTGCTGGGGGAGGAGGAAAAACATCAGGAAGAATAGCTAATGGATGCTGGGATGATCTGTGCAGCAAACCACCATGGCAGATGTTTACCTGTGTAACAAACTGCACATCCTGCACATGTACCCTGGAACTTAAAATAAAAGTTGAAGAAGCAAGAAAAAAAAAATTCTTGCGATGTAAGTAGCATAGGTTCTGAACATCCACTGAGTTTCTTTCCCTGGGCCACAGACAGTCTTCTGACGTGGTACCATCATGTTGTCTGAGGACAGCTGGGGTTTTTATCAGACTGTGAGGGCATTCCACAGGGAGTTAGGAACAAAAGGTCCCATTTTCCACCTTATAGCTCACAGAGAAGACAAACACCAACATATTTCCTCTAAAGATAATGGATTTAACAGCCTAAGAAATGGTAATGAGCTAGTTGAGAAGGTGCTTTTCTGAGATGTGGAAACCTTGAGCTCAGAGCAGCAAAAGCACAGTGCTGCTTCTTCCAGGAGATTTCACTGGAATTGTCTCATGGCCCATTGATACATTTGGAAATGCCATCAAAGGCTGAGGAACTTTCAGAAACAACAGGATGAGGCAGGTTGCCAGAGGTCAAAGGGTGGTAGAAATGGGGAGACAGATGTTGGTCAAAAGGTACAAATGTTCAGTTGGAAGATGAGTATGTTCTAGAGGTCTAATATACAGAATGGCGATTATTGTTAATACCACTATTATATAATTGAAACTTGATGAGAGCAGATTGTTAAGTATCCTCGCCCTACATGCATACGAAATGGTAACTATAAATGGTGATGAATATGCTAATTAATTGATTGCTGTATTAGTCCATTCTCACACTGCTATAAAGAAATACCTGAGACTGGGTAATTTATAAATAAAAGAGGTTTAATTGACTCACAGTTCTGCATGGCTGGGGAGGCCTCAGGAAACTTACAATCATGGCGGAAGGCACCTCTCCATGGGGCAGCAGGAGAGAATGAGTGCAAGTGGGGGGAGGAAATGCCAGATGCTTAAAAAACCATCAGATCATGAGACTCACTCATTTTTATGAGAACAGCATGGGGATGATTCAATTACCTCCACCTGGTCCCACCCTTGACGTGTGGGGATTATTAAAATTCAAGGTAAGATTTAGGTGGGGGACACAGAGCCAAACCGTTACAATTGTGATTATCTTACACAAAGTATGCATATATCAATCATCACGTTGTACACATTGAATATGCACAATTTTTATTTGTTAACTATGTCTCAGTGAAACTGGAAAAAGAAAGAAACCTCAGATATGAAAATCCAGAGTCACGACCAAATGTGTTTAGGGTCGATGGCATGCATTATAAAATGATTCTCTTCAATTTCTTATTTTCCTCCAGTTTCCTCATCTATAAAATTTGGATAATAACCCCTGACTTGCCTAGAAGATAGGAATTGCATAAGGATCAAATTAAATCATGCACAACTGAGTGCTATGTAAAACACACAGCTATACTTGCTTATCACCATTCTTAGGAACATTAAAACACTGTACACACACATGTGTGCTGCCTGGCTGAATTACTTTCATGAGGACCTGAGAACAAAGTGTCTCTTGCCATTTTTATCCACCTGAAGACTCTCGAAGAGTCGTGAGGCAGGTTACTGACAAAATTGCTTCCTTTGAAACAATGCATCTGTGTGAATCAGGATTTCTCAATAATGAGCTGATCTAAGACTGAAATTCAGCAAAAATGCTAACAGCTCTGGGCCTCAACTTATTCCAACTGTAAAATGGGAACAATAACTCAGCCCTTGTAGGGTTTCTGATGATTTAGGAGGTGGGGTATGTAGACTGCTTTCCTACTGGGAGAACTGAGGCATGCCAAGGTTTTTGCTTGTTTGTTTTTGCCTGCAAGCACAAGAATGAGAAAATCTGGAGGGAGAAAATGTTGGCACTAGGCCTGAAATTCTTGAAGACAGTGTGGGAAGCAAAGACCCCCTTCATCTTCTCAGGCACAAAATGCACGTTCCCAGAAGGAAGAAGGTCAACCTAAAGCAGCCTAGACCAAGGACATTTGCTGAGAGTCACTAGGGAAAGGTCATTCCTACTGTCCACCAAATGCTTAATCCAGCCCCCAGCTCCTTGGAATTCTATCCATCTCTTAAAGCCATGTTCAAGTCTTCCTTCCTTTGTGAGACACTCCCAGACCTCCTCATTTGGAATTTCCATTGTTTTCCTAGTTCTACTTTCTTTGGTTGCATTATATAACATGCTTTATGGTTTGCCATATTTTATTATTTGTGGGCATCTTAATCTTTTTAAGAGACTTTGGAGAGCAAGGAGCATGTATTTTTCATCTTTATGTCCCTTATACTGCTCCATAATGATGTCTGCTTTTGAATGAAATGTGTTTGAAATGCTCACCTCATCATTCATTTAAAGCCAATTCTATAAATAAGCAATGAGGGCTGTCTTTGCCATCACCACCTAATGCCCGATGCTGCCACGCTTCTTAACAGGCATCTTATCTTCAGACTGGCCTCCCAGATTCATCATCTTTAAATGCCATTTTAAAACTCCTTATTCAAATTTCCCACTCAAAATCTTTTAAAGGCTTCACAATGCCTACATGATAAGGTACAAACGTCAAAGCCTTGAATGTAAGACTGTCCACCAGCTGGCTCCAATCCAGCTATTTAAACTCATTTAACCCACATATTCCCAAAGCAGTGGGCTGACTTCATTCATTCATTGATTCGTGCATTTCATTCAGCATGGATTGAATGTCCCAGTCATTTTCATAGTCATTGTGTTAGGTGGTAGAGATATCTATAGGAAAAGACATAGTCCCTGATCTCAATGCAGTTATCATCCACTGAGTTGGCGGGAAGTAAAGAGAATATTACAATTTTAAGTGATAGTAGCTATAACAGAACAATGTACAAGAGACACTGTGAGTATGGAAAAGCTGGGGCCCAAACTGGCCTAAGGGAGTCAGGGGAGTGTTAGTAAAAGAAGAACAAAAGGAAGACTGGTTTTCCAGGAAGACACTATGGTGGAGTAAAGAGAGTGCATTTGAAACAGAGAGAAAATAATATGCCCCCTACACATACACACACACACAAAAACCCTACAATGATGCTACAAGAATCTGGTATAAAGTTACCAGTGGTCCGCGAGGACCTAGTTGAAGCTGAACTCAAACTAAAAGGGATTTCTTGTGTCTGTAAGTGGTATTTATTATCTAATGACAGTATTTCCCGATGTGTTCCTGAGCCTGGTTCTGAGAGGCACAGTAAGTAGCTCACCATGACGGAAAGAAAAAAATATCATTCTGTGGTCATAAAATGTCTGCAGAGTAAACACATGCTTTTCTCCTTCTTGGGAAGGTACAATGTTCAAAAGCATATGAAAGCTTCTGCTAAGTCTTGCAATAAAACAAGCTGTTTAAAGGATTGCAGACATGTTTATCTATAGAGTATCATGCCACTATGTACTTCCTGCAGAATGAGATCCAAGGAAGAGTTTTGGAAACACCGGTCTGTATCTGTAACCTGCTCTTTAGATGCACCTGTACTGGCCTGTAAATAGTTTATGAAGGCACAGGCTTCAAGGACAAACACACTTGATTTTAAAGCTTGTCTGCATCACTTAGTTACTGTTTGACCTTGGACAAATTAGTTCTTTTTTTTTTTTTTTTTTTTTTTGAGATGGAGTCTTGCTCTGTCACCTAGGCTGGAGTGTAGTGGTGCGATCTCGGCTCACTGCAAGCTCTGCCTCCCAGATTCACACCATTCTCTCGCCTCAGCTTCCCGAGTAGCTGAGACTGCAGGTGCCCTCCACCACGCCCAGCTGATTTTTTGTATTTTTAGTAGAGATGGGGTTTCACCGTGTTAGCCAGGATGGTCTTGATCTCCTGACCTCGTGATCCGACTGCCTCAGCCTCCCAAAGTACTGGGATTACAGGCGTGAGCCACAGCACCCGGCCGACAAATTAGTTTTTTTATGGACAGTTTCCTCAGTTGTAAAATGGGCATAATATGTACTTTCTCCATGTGTAGTTTTATTGAGCACATATGCCTGACACATACCTGATTAAACATTTTCTTTTCATTATTAGTGGCAAACATATAAGCTGAACTAGGTATAAGAACCTTGCGGCAATTTCTCAAGGATCTATAACTAGAAATACCATTTGACCCAGCAATCCCATTACCCAAAAGATTATAAATCATTCTACAATAAATACACATGCATACGTATGTTTATTGTGGCACTGTTCACAACAGCAAAGACTTGGAACCAATCCAAATGCCTATCAGTGATAGACTGGATAAAGAAAATGTGGCACATATACACCATGGAATACTATGCAGCCATAAAAAAGGATGCGTTCATGTCCTTTGCAGGGATATGGATGAAGCTGGAAACCATCGTTCTAGCAAACCAACACAAGAACAGAAGACCAAACACCACATACTCTCACTCATAAATGGGAGTTGAACAATGAGAACATATGGACAGAGGGAGAGATACATCACACACACACACCGCAGCCTCTCAGGGAGTGGGGGTCTAGGGAAGGGAGAGCATTAGGAGAAATACCTAATGTAGATGACAGGTTGATGGGTGCAGCAAACCACCATGGCATGTGTATACCTATGTAACAAACCTGCATGTTCTGCACATGTACCCCAAGACTTAAAGTATAATAATAAAAAAAGAACCTTGTAAGTAAGTTATATAGATTTGTTCCTCTTTTAGCATTCTAGCAGAATTTCTTTCCAATGGCTCACCAGTGATTCTTATTTACTGATACTTAAACCTTGGCACAAAAGGATTCCCTGAAATATTGCAATTATATAAATGAGAAGAGAAAGAAGAAGACAAAAAACCACCTTAATACATATATTATCAGGATGGACTGATTTTCCTAAGTGAGGTGCCATAATATTCAGAATAACCCCAATGTCCCTTACTGGCTGAAAAATAAACTATGTAAAAAAGAAATATCTACCACGTTAGGATTAAAATTATGGCATTTAGTGTGGAAGAAATCTGAATCTGCAGATTTTTAAAAGTAGGTGAGGAAGTGCTCTCTTCCATGTCTAGCCTGGGACACATAATCTGTCCTTGGTCCTTGGCTTTGAAAACCCTTTCTCACTGTACCTCTGCACCATCCCCCCCGCCGCCATCCTACCCCCTTCCCAGACACATCCTGGCCAACTCAACTCATCCATTATTTTCTTCAAAAAGTTGTCCTTGACTCCCCAGGTTGAGGCAGGTAACAACCTTTGGTTCCCATAGCCTCCTGTGCACACATTTCCATTAGGCAACAATGAGTGCGTTCTTACTGAGTGGCCGTTATGGCCAGGGAGCTGGAGATGCAATTGTTGGCCAAACAGAGGTGAGCCTGCCCTCAGGGAGCTTACTGTCTGATGCAGGCAGCACATACCAAACAGGTAAACAGGTGAGTCAGGTATGGTCACAAATGGAGACAAGCACTATGAGCAAATAAAAGAGACGTTATAATTGAAAGTAAAATGGATTCTCTTTTAATTACTTATCTTGTCTCTTTGGCACGCTATGAAGGATTTGAGTGTAATATCTGGTTCACATTTGCATAACTTGGCATGGCAATGTGCCTGTATACATTGAGCAAGAATTAACTGCCTCATGAATAAACGAAAGAATGAATGAATTCAACGACAAAGCTGAGACCTATAGGACTAGCCTACAGTGACAACTAGTTAGTGACAATTTAAAGTCCCCTTCATTTAAAGTGAGTATATATAATTATATTTATTTATATTTACATATAAATATGAATATATATTAATATAATATATAATATATAAATACACAATATATAACACACAGAATATATTATATATAAATATATAACACACAGATTATATATAAATATATAACACACAGAATGTATTATATATAAATATATAACACACAGAATATATTATATATAAATATATAACAGAATATATTATATATAAATATATAACATACAGAATATATTATATATAAATATATAACATACAGAATATATTATATAAATATATAACATACAGAATATATTATATATAAATATATAACATACCGAATATATTATATATAAATATATAACAGACCGAATATATTATATATAAATATATAATATACAGAATATATATAAATATATAATATATAATATACACAATGTATATTAATATATAAACATATATATTAATATATATGTATATATTTGTATATAAGCATATACAATGTGTGCTTATAGATATATGATATGTACATATATAGATCTATGTATCCATCTATCTCTATGTATCTATCTAACTACACTATACTATACTATACTATACTATTCTATACTATACTATACTATACAGCCAGCACATCCAAACAACCTCTTAATTTCCAGGCCTAAGAAATGGGTAATTTTGGGTACTCAAAATTTATTTTTGGCCCAGCCCTGGCTGCTGTTCTTTGTTGGTAAACAAGTGAGTAGCTTCAAAGTGGACTTTACACCACGCAATGTAGAGAAGGCACCCTTTATGCTCATTTGTTCTTTCTGACAGAAAAAGCCTACAGCCAACCTCAGAATGATTACTTCTGTGCTCTGTTGATGCTTGCTTTCATTTGGCTGTTTGGTTCTGCCAGGCCCTATAAAAACACAGATATAATCAACGGCTTCAAAGGAGAACTAGCTAGCTTGAAGGAAGAATGCATTTTATTTGGGAAATGGTGGCTCCCCTATGCACTTGTGATTAAAGGGGGAAGAAAACATTTGTGATTCATCCAATTAACCTCAATAGTATGTCATTCAAGCAAGGTCCAGACAGGAGTCTCACTCTATTATTCCAAATCTTTCATTAAACCAATTCCATCTGCAGCCAGCACTTTCCTGTTTTCCCGGTGCATTCTTGTGATTACCTAATTTAAATAAAGAGCTAGTTTATTGTTTTTCCTGGGTGCCAGGAAGATTTAGAGCAATGACCTGGAGCAGGGATAACATTCTCATGTAATTTTCAGAATTTACAAAAAGTCAGAAAGTGCCCTCCTAAGGATGCTCATATCCTTCCTGGAGACAGCTAGACACAGATGCACTTTTTTAGAGCACCACAATAGACCACAGTGTTCCCCTCCCTGTGGCCCCCACTAACATTTGATTTTTAAAATGTCACCCATGTTAGCATGGCCTTTGAAGGCTCTGCAACCAGAAGTTTGCAGTCCAAGATTAGGATTTCAGGGCTGGGCATAGTGGCTCACACTTGTAATTCCAGCACTTTGGGAGGCCAACATGGGTGGATCACTTGAGGTCAGGAGTTCAAGACCATCCTGGCCAACATGGTGAAACCCCGTCTGAACTAAAAATACAAAAATTAGCCAGGCATGGTGGCGGCCACCTGTAATCCCAGCTACTCGCGGGGCTGACGCAGGAGAATCGCTTGAACCCAGGAGGCGAAGGTTGCAGTGAGCCGAAATTGCGCCATTTCACTCCAGCCTAGGCGACAAGAGTGAAACTCAGTCTCAAAAAAAAAAAAAAAAAAAAAGATTAGGATTAGGATTTCAGATCTTTTTAAAAAAGATTAGGATTTCAGATCTTTTTAAAAAAGATTAGGATTTCAGATCTTTTTGCAGTGACTGGTGGAACCCACCTCTGCACTTCAGACCAGCCTTTCCAGATATAGAATATATTTCCTTGGCGAGAGGTATAAAATTAACCTTTACATTTTTAATATAATACTTAATATATACAAAAGAATGTTTATATATTACTTTCAAGGCAATGATCATAATAAATAAAACACCTATGAAATTCTTATCCATCTGAAGAACCAGAACACACCCAATACGCTTGAAGTTATAGATGGGGTCTTTCCAATCCATGCTATCTCAGATAAAACAATATCTGAGGTTTGTGTTCCTAATTCCTTGTTTTTAAATAGCTGTACCTTAATCTGTTTTTCTCTGTATTTTTTTTTTACTCTATCTGCCTTCATGATATCTGTTTACCTTTGGTTTTCAGTGGTTTGACTATGATGTCTATCTTCAAATAATACAATGCTCATTACACATAAGAGCCTGAAAACAGTATTCTCCTGATTTTTTTCTCTCCAATCTTTTGTTCTATTGTTGTCAATCATTTAACTTTGACATGTGCTACAAATACATTATGTCTTAAAACTATTAATTGCTTTAAATAATTGCTTTAAAGGATCAATTATTTTTAGGGTGAATCAATAGAAATTGATTTAAAATAAAATCAACCTTTAGATTTACAATGAAATAAATTTGGCCGGGTGCAGTGGCTCACGCCTTTAATCCCAGCACTTTGGGAGGCCGAGGTGGGCAGACTACTTGAGGTCAGGAGTTTGAGAGCAGCCTGACCAACATGGTGAAACCCTGTCTCTACTAAAAACACAAAAATTAGCTGGGCATGGTGGCACATGCTTGTAATCCTAGCTACTCGGGAAGCTGAAGCAGGAGGATCGCTTGAACCTGGAAGGTGGAGGCTGCAGTGAGCTGAGATTGTGCCACTGTACTACAGTCTGGGCAACACAGTGAGACTCTGAGGGGGAGAGAGAGAGAGAGACAAAGAAAAGCAAGCAAGCAAGCAAGCAAGAAAAGAAAAGAAAAGAAAGAAGAAAGATTGATTTATATTGATTTGCCTTTCAACTATTCCTAGAAATTCTTATTCTTTATGAAGATGTTAAGTTTCTCCCATTATCATAATTGTTCTGCTTTAAGAATGTCCTTCACTATTTTTTATAGTAAAGGTCTGCTGCTAATGTGTTCTCAAAACCCCCCTCCTATTTTTTGGGTTTTTTTGGTTTTTTTTTTTGGTTGTTGTTTGGTCTGGAAAGTCATTATTTGTCTTTAGTTTTAAAAAATATTTTCCTTTAATTTTAAAAATAATTCATTTTTAAAATATTTTCCTTTAATTTTAAAAATATAGACTTCTGGGTTGACAGATTGGGTTTGCATCAGTTATCCATTTATTGCCTCTCAGCTCTGAATGCATCTTCCAATACAGGCAATACAATAAAGTGT
The DNA here is from genome assembly GCF_000001405.40 of Homo sapiens. NCBI lineage: Eukaryota > Metazoa > Chordata > Mammalia > Primates > Hominidae > Homo > Homo sapiens. The sequence continues at coordinate 71,925,716 of NC_000007.14, forward strand.
GAGAAGCAATGGAATCCCTTTGAGCATTTCTCCTTTAAAGTCAGCAGGATGTTGAGCTTTCTCGGTAGAGGGTGCTGAAGCCAAACTGGAGAAAGAGGCATTCTGCAATTCCTGGTGTCATCCAAGAGGGGTCAGTGGTGCAGTTTGTTGTTGTTTGAAACGGAGTCTCTCTCTGCGGCCCAGGCTGGAGTGCAGTGGCGCAATCTCAGCTAACTGCAACCTCTGCCTCCTGGGTTTAAATGATTCTCCTGCCTCAGCTTCCCGAGTAGCTGGGAGTACAGGCACCTGCCGCCATGCCTGGCTAAGGTGGTGTAGTTTTGAGGACAACTGTCACAACTCAGATCGTGGTCCCTCTGTGGCCTTGAAGCCTCAGTTTGGCAATAATCTTTCTGCAGCCCTCTCAACACAGAAGCTAACTCCCCACATGCTCGGGCTCCCTAAGCAAGCTTCCTCCTCTCCCCAACCCCCTAACCACCACAGCCTGCACACAGCTCCATGTGTCCCCGATGAGCATTTCGCAAGTCTCCAGATACCCAAGCTTGCTCCTTCAGCACTGAAAGCCTTTGCCCCTGCCATCATCCAGATTCCCACTGCATACTGCTTCACAGCCAGCACTCCAGAAAGTTACCTATTGCTTGCCCAGCAACTCCAGACCAGATCTTTTCTGATCAAACCAATGAGCTTCTCCACTACCCAGTCATCGGAACATACCATCTCCAATAGGCCTATTGGAGAGCAAACCCTATCCATGCTTGTTCTGCTGATTAGACCCATTCTGTTACAGGGTTCTCTGAGCATCTTGGATCTGTGATTTGATGTCTTATATTATTTGTAGATAGTGTTCTGCTATTATCTCTTCAAGTAGGTTGTCTGTCCCTATCTCTTTCTAATCCTTCTGGCATTCCAATTGTACAAATTTCAGACTATCTGATATTAGCCCGTTGATCTTGGATGCTCTATATTTTTTAAAATTTATTCTTTTTACCTCTTTGTGTTTCATTTGGTCAATTTCTATTGATTCACCTTTAAGTTCATAAATTTTTTCTTTGGCTGTGTTAAGTCCAGTGATAAGTCCATCAAAGTCATTTTTCATCTCTGTTATTGTATTTTTTATTTCTAAGATTTTCTTTAGACTCTTTCTTATAACTTCTGTTGAAATTCTCCACCATGCATATTGCCTACTTTTTCCATAAGAGCCTTTAATATATTAATCGTAGGTATTTTAAATTTCCCGAGAGTTCAAACGTCTTTGTCATCTTTGAGTCTGGTTCTGTTGATTACTTTGACTCTTGACAGTGAGTTGTTCTGTCTTGCATTTTTATTTGTCTTGTAACTTTTTATTGCACATGAACACTGTGAGGTATGATAGTAGAGAATAAAGTAAACAGTACTTTTGCTTGGTCTGCCAACATAAAGAAGAGTCTACTGGAATTGATCTGGGTTTAGCCTTTGTTGTTGCTATGGTTACCTTCAGTATACTACCAGTCTCAAATTTTTTGTATGTGTTTTTTTGAGACAGAGTCTCACTCTGTTGCCCAGGCTGGAGTGCAGTGGTGCAATCTCAGCTCACTGCAACCTCTGCCTCCTGGACTCAAGTGATTCTCCTGCCTCAGCCTCCTGAGTAGCTGAGACCACAGGCGTGCACCACCATGCCTGGCTAATTTTTCTATTTTCAATACAGATGGGGTTTCACCATGTTGGCCAGGCTGGTCTTGAACTACTGACGTCAGGTGATCCACCCGCCTCAGCCTTCCAAAGTGCTGGGATTACAAGCATGAGCCACTGTGCCCAGCCTCAAATGTTTTTAATGTAATCTAGTTCTTTGGATGGGGTATGTGTTGCATGTAAGCTGTTTCTAATATTCCTGTTTATCCCTTAGCTTTTGTCTTTCTCTGTGTGTCTGTACCTCAGAGAAGGTCCCTTTTTTATGCTCTTCCTCTTCTCTCAGTGATAGATTGCTACTGTTACTTGATGCCTGCTGGTCTAGTAGTGGTGTATAGGAGAAGACAGGTCTCTGTTTTCCTAGTCCAGCCTTGGTCTTAGGAAGGCCCTGTGTCCCTAAGTCTTGCAGATCAGGTTTTCTCTGTAATTCTGATCCTCCTCTCTGTAGCAGCCAAATGATGTCTTGAATCTTTGGTGGCCCTTGTGAACGGGAGAGTTTCTTGCTCTTCCCCCAGTGGTAGGAGATCTTTAATGGCCTGGGTCAAACACCCAGGAATGGAAGACTTTTCCCTTTTCTTTCTGCTTCCTTGCTGCAATGGTCTTTACCTGTGTCCTAGTGACCACAAGGTTTGCTCCCCTTCTCCAGCATCCTAAGGCTTTTGATCCTTAGAGGACTGACCTTGGTGAGAATCTGTGCTTTGCCACAGAAGTGACACTCATCTCCTCTCTGTCTTCAATATGGAGGAGGGCTTTCTCTCACCTCCTGCCCCATCACCAATCTTTCTTGTGAGTGCACAACGGAGGTCCATGGAGAATACCCTGTAAGTGGGCGCAAGCCTATATTCTCATGCAAGTCCACCCCACGACTTCAGAAATTTGTTTAAAAATTTCACTGAATGATTCTCTCCCACTGTATGGCACCTGGCATCTCTACCTCCTTGGTTTCCCATAGATGACTCAATGGTTGTGTCCAATCTCTCCTTGGGAATGCCTATCTTTCCATTGACTTCAGGCCACCCAATTGCCCTGGGGCTTCAATTCTCTGAGAGGTTTGCCATTACTTTTAATGGCAAAAAAAAAAAAAAAAGGTCTGTCCGTGTTTTGTACAGACACAATTTTACCCCGAATATTTTTGATCCACGGTTATTTGAATCCATGGATGCAGAACCCGTGGATACAGAATGCCATTACTTTTAATGTCAAAAAATGCAATTACTTTTGCACCAATGTAATAGTTCACATACCATATCTTTCGCTTAAAGTATACAAGTCAATGGTTTTTTGTAGAGTCACAGAGTTATGCCATCATCACAACAACAGATTCTACAACTGATCTTAGAACACTTTTATCGCCGCAAAAAGAAATATTCTAGGCCTGGCGCAGTGGCTCATGCCTATAATATCACCATTTTGGGAGGCTGAGGTGGGCAGATCACTTGAGGTCAGGAGCTCCAGACCAGCCAACGTGGCGAAACCCCGCCTCTACTAAAAATACAAAAATACAAAAAAAAAAGAAATATTCTTGATTTTCACCTACCCCCCACCCCCAAACCCGCCAGCAACCCCTGCTGCTCTCCTACCAGGGACCCACTTCCCTGCTTTCTGATTCAATGGATTCACCGATTTTTGATGTGTCATGTAAATGGAATTATATGATATGTGACCTTTTGGGTCTGGCTACTTCCACTTAGCATAATGTTTTATTCACATTGTAGCATGTAACAGAATTTCATTTTTTTAATATTTATTTTTCCAACTTTTAAGTTCAAGGGTACATGTGCAGGATGTGCAGGTTTGTTACATAGTTAAACACGTGCCATGGTGGTTTACCTCAGATCATCCCATCACCTAGATATTCAGCCCAGAATCCATTAGCTATTCTTCCTGATGCCCTCCCTCCTCCCACTCCCCACCCTCTGACAGGCCCCAGTGTGTGTTGCTCCCCTTGATGTTTCCATGTGTTCTCATCATTCAGCTCCCACTTACAAGTGAGAACATGCAGTACTGGTATTTGGTTTTCTGTTCTTGCATTAGTTTGCTGAGGATAATGGCTTCCAGCTTCATCCATGCCTCTGCAAAGGACATGATCTCATTCCTTTTTATGGTTGCATTGTATTCCATGGTGTATATGTACCACATTTTCTTTATCCAGTCTACCATTGATGGGCATGTAGGTTGATTCCACGTCCTTGCTATTGTGAATCATTTCTTTTTATTGATAAATAATATTCCATTGTATGGATATGCCACTTTTGTTTATTCATCAGCTGAAGGACATTTGGGTTATGTCCACTTTTTGGCTATTGTGAACAATGCAGCTATGAATATTCTTGTATATGGTTTTTGTGGATGTATGTTTTTATTTCTCAGTATTACCCAGGAGTGAAATTGATGGAGTATATGGTAATTGTTCAGCCGTTTGAGGGATGCCAGACTGTCTTCCCAATTGGCTGCACAATTTGCATTCACAGCAGCAATGGATGAGGGTTCCAATTTTTCCACATCCTTTTTAGTACAGCTGTCCCTCGGTATCTGTGGGAATTGGTTTCAGGACATCTCATGGATACCAAAATCCACGGCTGCTCAAGCATCTTATATAAAATGATGTCGTATTTGCATATAACCTACGCACATGTTCCTGTATACTTTAAATCACCTCTAGATTACTTACAATACCGAATGCAATGTAAATGTTATGTAAATAGTTGTTATATTGTATGGTTTAGGGAATAGTGACTAAAGAAAAAAATCTGTACATGTTTTGGACAGACACAATTTTTTTCCCAGGCTATTTTTGACCTATAGTTATTTGAATCCACAGATGCAGAACCCACGGATACAGAGTGCCAACTGTACTTACTGGTATCTGTCTTTTTCAATATAGCCATCCTAGCAGGATGGTGTGGTGACTCATTATGGCTTTGATTTGCGTTTCCTTAAAGACATAATGTCGAACACCTTTTCATGTGATTACTGGCCTTTTGTGTATCTTCTTAGGAAAACTGTATTTTTTAGATCGTTTGTCCATCCTTTCTGTATGTTGTCTTTCTATCATTGAAAGAGTTCTTTATACATTCTAGACACAAGCCCTTTATAAAGCTATATGATTTGCAAATATATGCACCCCATGGTGTGAGTTGTCTTTTTAGCTTCTTGATAGTGTCTTTTTAAATTTTTAATACACTTTTTAATTTTGATGAAGTCCAATTTGCCTATTTTATCTTTGGTCCCTTGTGCTTTATGAACATTTGCTCCTATATTTACTTCTAAGAGTTTTATCGTTTCAGATCTGGAATTTAGGTCTTTGATCCATTTTGAGTTAATTGTTGTGTTTGGTGTAATGAAGCAGTCCAACTTCATTCTCTCGCGTGTGTGTATTCTGGTGTCCCAGTTCCAGAAACTCTTCTGCGCTTCTCACATGCTGTTTTCTGGGTCTCGAAACTCCTTCCCTTCTCTTCTCCATCTTTAAAATGCTTAATTGCTTTTCAAGTGCAGCATAACCCATGCCAAAGTCTTCTCTGACTTCTTTGTCTAATTTAGATGTCCCTTTTGGTACTTTTATAACACCGTACATGTTTCTAGACAGAGGTCTGCAAACTTTTTTTTCTGGCAAAGCGACAGATTACAAATATTTAGGCTTTGTGTGCCAGAAGGAAAAATCAAGGAAACTGTGGAGGTACTTAATAAGAGAGAAAACAAATTTCCAAAAATACTTGTATTGATGAAATTAACAAATAATAATAGAGGTTTTTCTTTTTGAAATGTGGGTACATGAATAAGAAAAACTGAATTCTTTTTTTAGAGGGGATAACATTTTGCTTAATTGGGATTTAAAGTTAGTTCTTCCTATCATCAAATTGGTAGCATATGTTCATCTGTGAAAACCATTCTCTTTTTTTTTTGTTTGAGATGGAGTCTCACTCTGTCACCCAGGCTAGAGTGCAGTGGAGTGATCTCGGCTCACTGCAACCTCCGTCTCCTGGCTTCAAGTGATTCTCTTTGCCTCAGCCTCTGGAGTAGCTGGGATTACAGGCATGTGCCACAACACCCAGTCGATTTTTGTATTTTTAGTAGAGACGGGGTTTCACCACGTTGCCCAGGCTGTTCTTGAACTCCTGAGCTCAAGTGATCGGCCTACTTTGGCCTCCCAAAGTGCTGGAATTACAAGCATGCGCCACCGCGCCCAGCTGAAAACCATGGTTTTCTTGGGCCCTACGAAAACAGGTAGTGAGTTAGATTTGGCTGATGGACTGTAATTTCACGACATGGTAGTAGGTCAGTAGTTCTAACCCTTTCTTTCAAAGCCGTTGCTACTGAGGGATACAGTGCAATCCCAGTCATAACTGTGGATAGTTAGACAGGGATTCTCTTTGAGGAGGGTGATGATGGGAGGCTTACGGTGGCAGGAATTACAGATTATCTTAATCAATAATCATTCTTCTGATTTGTCTTCCCAAAGTGTAGAGGAGCCCAAAACTCATTTCTTAGACTTCTTTGCAGCAAGGGGTCTGCCAGCCTAGCACACTTTACATCAAACCTTGATTTGGAAGTGAGACACATGAGCAGAGAATCAGGGCAGTTGGCATGCAGTTTGCCAGTGTGAATGATGACACTGCTGGTGTGATTCTGGAACTGGCAATTAAGGTGGTAGCTTCTGGATTCAGCAAACGGCTCACTGAATCACCAGCTTTTCTGTTGTGCCACTGGAGGTAGCCGCCTTGGAGTCCCAGGTTGTCAGTGTGCTTTGGAGAGTGGTTCTGGGAAACTAAGACCTTCCAACAATGCTGTGACCCAAGACCCCTAATAAATGTTTTATTTATTTATTTATGTCATTTCTCTGTCACCCAGGCTGGAGTACAGTGATCATAGCTCACTGCAACCCCCAACTCTTGCGCTGAAGCGATCTTCCCACCTTAACCTCCTGAGTAGCTGGGACTACAGGCACACACCACCATGCCCAGCTATTTTTCATAGAGATGAGGTCTCACTATGTTGTCTAGGCTGGTCTTGAACTCCTGGTCTGAAGTGATCCTCCTGCCTCGGCCTCCCAAAGTGCTGTGGTTACAAGCATGAGCTATCGTGCCTGGTGGTAAAATGGTTTAAACTATATTAACTTGAATCTTTTGTCTACAACTTGACTATAAGAAGTATATGTGCCGGGCAGGGTGGCTCACGCCTGTAATCCCAGAACTTTCGGAGGCCGAGGCGGGCGGATCACAACGTCAGGAGATCAAGACCATCCTGGCTAACACGGTGAAACCCCGTCTCTACTAAAAATACAAAAAAAAAATTAGCTGGGCGTGGTGGCGGGCACCTGTAGTCCAGCTACTCGGGAGGCTGAGGCAGGAGAATGGCATGAACCCGGGAGGCGGAGCTTACAGTGAGCCGAGATCGCATCACTGCACTCCAGCCTGGGTGACAGAGCGATACTCCATCTCAAAAAAAAAAAAAAAAAGAGAAGTGTATGTTAGAATCTAGGGGGGTATGGGAAGATTTTTATTCTGATACGCTTCTCCCCATTCATAATCACTACTTTTGACAATTCCAGATAGGGCGCATGTCACATTGATGTAGGAGTTAAGAAGAAACTACTTAGGCAGATAGTGAGGGTACAGGAGTCCTTGGTAAGGTCTCCCTTTTTAACGAAAAGCAGCCCCCAAATCATATTCTAACAAAGAGCAGCCTGCAAAATCGAGCTACAGACATAGACATGCAAGCTAGAAGCTTGCATGGGTGAATGCCATCAAGAAAAAAGCTACCTGGGACTAGGCATGTCCAAAATGGTGGCCCCATCTTCCCTCCTCTTTGCCAGCCGTATGTACAGTAAGAAGACAAGATGGCGCCAGTTAAGTGGGAAACCCATTTGCATAATAAGAGTAGGGTGAGGTGGCCAGGCTTCCCTGCGTGGTACGTAAATGTCACACCTGATGGAACCAATCTGTGGGTCCTACATAAAGAAGACACTGCCTCCTCAAGCCTGCTTATAAAATCTGGTGAACGCCGCCGCCGGCTGGTCTTTCCTTTCGGAAGCCCCTCTCACTAGAGAGGGAGCTGTTCTCCTTTCTCTTTCTTTTGCCTATTAAACCTCCGCTCCTAAACTCCTCATGTGTGTCCATGTCCTAAATTTTCTTGGCGCAAGATGATGAGCCCTGGGTATTTACCCTAGACAACCACACCGCTTCAACATCGTAAAAGAAATGGTTGCTTTGCTTAACACTCATCAAGTCACAATTTTGTGTGGGCAGGCACTTTGTCTTACTCACCTCTGAATCCTTGGTGCCAGGCAGTCAGTAGAAGCTTAACGAAATGTGCATTTCTAGGTTTTTATGTTCTAGAATTAATTCTCTATATAAATCTTAGCTTATCTCCCAGTGAGAATGTAAGTTATTTTATGCGGAGAGACTTTAACATAAGGTATCATAAGTCACACGGTCCTGCTGTGCTAGGTTCGGAGCAGTATTGATAATTATTGGCCTTAGCAGGGTCAAGGGATTATCAACACCAGGGCCAGGCAGGTGACGTGAGTGAGTGACATGGGATGACTGCAACACAAAAGGGGTGGCAAAGATCAAGGAAACCTCAAATGTATGTACGTGCAAAGGAAGCAGCTTCAGTCGGGGGCTGCCATATGGGAATGTAGGTTCACTCTTTACAGAACAGCCAATCTGAGTTTTTGCATTGAAGCTCCCTATTTGAAAATGCTGATATCAAATTTTTTTAAATGTGACTTATATTTGCCAGACAAAAGAGGGCTGCAGGCTGGAACTGGCTCATGCAACTTCTAGCTAAAATAGTTCTCCCGACACCTCAAAAGATTGTGAATTCTCAAAGAAAGATAATATTCAATGAGAATTGTTCTTTCTTAGATCCCATATCTGAAGGTGTTCTGTTAAGTGGAATAGAGAAAACTGTGGAAGATTGTTAGTACTTATGGGATGTGTGAAGTCACTGGTATAGTCACTGATTATCTTAGTCTATTTTGCATTGTATAAGGAATACCTGAGGCTGGGTAATTTATAAAGAAAAGAGGTTTACTTGGCTCATGGTTCTGCAGGATGTACAAGCATGGTGCCTGTATCTACTTGGCTTCTGGTGAGACCTCAGGAAGCTTTTACTCATGGTAGAAGGCAAAGGGGGAACAGGTGTGCCACGTGACAAGAAAGGGAGCAAGAGAGATGCCAGGCTCTTTTTAAGCAACCAGCTCTTGAATGAACTAACAGAACGAGAACTCACTCATTACCATGGGGAGGGCACCAAGCCATTCATGAGGGATCTGTCCCTATGACCCAAACACCTCCCACCAGGCCCCACCTCCAACACTGAGGGTTGTATTAGTCTGTTCTCATGTTGCTAATAAAGACATACCCAAGGCTGGGTAATTTATAAAGAAAAAGAGGTTTAATGGACTCCCAGTTCCACATGGCTGGGGAGACCTCGCAATCATGGTGGAAGGCAAGGAGGAGCAAGTCACATATTACATGGTGGCAGAGAAGAGAGAGAACTTGTGCAGGAGAACTCCTGTTTATAAAACCATCAGATCTTGTAGCACTTATTCACTAATACGAGAACAGCACAGTAAAGACCCACCCCCATGATTCAATTACCTCCCACCAGGTCCCTCCAACAACACATGGAAATTATGGGAGCTATAATTCAAGATGAGATTTGGGTGGGCAAACAGCCAAACCATATCAGGGTCACCTTTCCATATGAGATTTGGAGGGGACACATATCCAAACTGTAGCACTGGTGTAGATGTTGTTGTCTAAGGATCTAGAGTAGATGAAAAAGCTTGAGGGGTCCAGGCCAAGGCAATGATGAGGCTTTACTGAAGACGAACTAGACAGAAGGCTGCTAACATTGGTGTGAATCTGGCAAAGGAGTTGTTTCAGCTCTTCCCAGAGCAGACAGCAAGCAGGGTGCAGGATAGCAGTGGGTTAAACAAGTGAAAGAAGGAAAAAGTGCTTCTGGCCCTAGGAAGGAAAAAATGGGAGGTCTTTCTGCCAGGAATGAGACTGTCTGCAGAGTGAATTAGCAGTGGTAGATGGATTCATTAAAAGGCATCCCTCTAGGCCAGGTGCGGTGTTTCAATCCCAGCAGTTTGGGAGGCCGAGGCGGGCGGATCACCTGAGGTCAGGAGTTCGAGACCAGGCTGGCCAACATGGTGAAACCCTGTCTCTACTAAAAATACCAAATTAGCTAGGCGTGGTTGGCGCATGCCTGTAATTCCAGCTATTCTGGAGGCTGAGGAAGGAGAATCGCTTGAACCCGGGAGGAGAAGTTGCGGTGAGCGGAGATCGCACCCTTGCACTCCGCCTGGGCAACAAGAGCGAAACTCCGTCTCAAAAAACAGAAACAAAAAACAAAAAACATCCCTCCTCCTGTACTGCCAGGGCACTGCTTTTCATTTTCCATCTTTCAGCTGTGAGTGAAATGAAGACACCCATCTGCCCAATGGTAGTCTTGAGGTTGCGGGATGCTTGACCACAAAATGCAATCTACAGGTTACATGTACCTTCTGCAGCTTTTGCTTTTAGCTAAAGCTTTTTCTGTAACCTCATTTTGGCAGTGCAGGCAAGGAGGGAGTGTTGACCTGTCAGTGTAGTAGAGACTCCCAGGTGTCCTGGGTGAAGTTGTGCAGAGCATTTGGGATGTTCTTAAAATAATACCCTGGAAGTTCTTCTCTGCATGACCAGAAGCCATGTCAGAACTCTAATGGCATCACCTGCTGAGTTAGAAAAAAGTTTCCAGAAACCACAAGTTTGATTTCATAATAAACAGCTTCTCAGGGCCTCTTCGGCATGGCTACATAAATCTACTGCTTAAAAATAGATGAGTGGACTGGGCGCGGTGGCTCACGCCTGCAATCCCAGCACTTTGGGAGGCTGAGACGGGTGGATCACGAGGTCAGGAGATTGAGACCATGCTGGCTAACAAGGTGAAACCCCATCTCTACTAAAAATACAAAAAATTAGCTGGGTGTAGTGGCAGGCGCCTGGGCGACTGAGCGAGACTCAGTCTCAAAAAAAAAAAAAAAAAAAAAGATGAGCGTAGAGCCTTGCTTCACTCCTCTGGCACTGTACACCAAGCTGGAAGGGCCACTGATGATACTGGAACCATCTTCTAGGCCCCTGGGAAATTCTGGGGGAGGTCAACATGGACACTGAGCTCTAGGGCGTGAAGATTCCATTTGTCTGGTATGGGGCTGCAGCAAAGGCTGGAAGGTGGGTATTTGGGTCTCATCTGCTGAACTGCCCTTGTTTCTAAGGTATTCTTCCCCAACCCCTGTTATCTACTCTCCTGAAAGCTTTTTTCAATTTGATCCCCACTTCCAAACTCCATTAGTCATATGGTCTGGCTCTGTGTCCCCACCCAAATCTCATCTTGAATTGTAGCTCCCATAATTCCCATGTGTTATCGGAGAGCCTGGAGGGAGACAATTTGAACCATGGAGGCAGTTTCCCCCATACTGTTCTCGTGGTAGTGAGTAAGTCTCATGAGATCTGATGGTTTTATCAGGAGTTTCTGCTTTTGTATCTCCCTCATTTTCTCTTGCTGCCACCATATAAGAAGTGCCTTTCATCTCCAGCCATGATTCTGAGGCCTCCCCAGCCATGTGGAACTGTAAGTCCAATTAAACCTCTTTTTCTTCCCAGTCTCAGGTATGTCTGTATCCACAGCATGAAAATGGACTAATACAATTAGGCAGCTCTTTAAATATCTATCTTTCTAATCTATATATCACACGTAGGAAACCCTGTCTCTACTAAAAATACAAAAGTAGCTGGGCATGGTGGTGCATGCCTGTAAACCCAGCTCCTTGGGAGGCTGCTTGAACAGGAGAATTGCTTGAACCCGGGAGACAGAGGTTGCAGTGAGCTGAGATCGTACCATTGCACTCCAGCCTGGGCAACAAGAGTGAAACTTTGTCTCAAAACAAAACAACACCAAAAAAAAACCCCATACGTATTTATATGTGTGTATATATGTAGATACACATATAAATATGTATATATGTATTTACATATACAGACACATATAAATATGTATGTATATGTATATACATCTAATATATATATATATAGATGTATAATTTCACGTGTATATATGCAGGTATATATGTATAAAACTTTCCCTGTGGACCAGACGGGAGTCCGGTGGTGCAATCATAGCTCACTGAAGCCTCACATTCCTAGGCTCAAGGGATCCTCCCACCTCAGCCTCTTAAGCTGTTAGGGCTACAAGTGTGTACCATTACATCCAGCTAATTTTAAAATGTTTTTGTAGAGATAGGGTCTCGCTGTGTTGCCAGGCTGATCTCAAACTACTGGGCTCAAGCAGTCCTCCCACCTCAGCCTCCCAAACTGATGGGATTACAGGCATGAGCCACTGCACCTGCCAACTCTTTAAATATTTGAAGGCTGTAGCCATACCTTCTTCCTACCTGGTCTGTTTAAGGAAAAATAAAAAAAGCAATCTATGTTCCATCACGCAGCACCCAAGTGAAATGCAGCCTGTGCTTTCACCAATCTGACTGCCCTTTTCCAGAACCACATCATTTTTATCTCTGTCACTATTTATTCAACACAGATATTTATGCAGCACTCAGGGAGGTCCCTTGGGAGGGTTAGGGAAAGACTGACGTTTTACGCAACATCTGGGTTGGGGCTTGTAGAAAGAGAAAGAGTTTACCAAAGAATGGGCAAGTTCCCAAGAGTATCAGAGAGATTGGCACAGAGATAATCAGGAAATATCATACAGATGGGGGCTGCATTCTTCCCTGGGGTGGAAATTTCATTCCATAGCCATCATTTCCAGATAGGGACACATAGCTGTGCCTACCCTGCCCAGAAAGACAGTGAGAAAGTTGTGATACAATGACGACAGACTTTTTTTTGCTTATTTGGTGCTCTATCCCCAGTGACTGAAATCATACCTGGAACACAGAAGGTGCTCAAAAAACATTGGGTAAATAAATCAACAAATGAATAAAGTGAAGTCAGTAGGAAGATCAGGGAAAGGTCAGTTAATGGGGCTTCCAAGAGATTCCCATAAAGGACATTATAGCCATAATGTGTGTCTGAGAGTGGGGCGGGGGAAAGAAGAACTGAGAGGAGCATTATAAAAACGTACACAGGGCCGGGCACGGTGGCTCATGCCTGTAATCCCAGCATTTTGGGAGGCTGAGGTGGGCAGATCACGAGGTCAGGAGTTCGAGACCAGCCTGGCCAACATGGTGAAACCCCGTCTCTACTAAAAATACAAAAATTAGCTGGGCGTGGTGGCAGGCACCTATAGTCACAGCTACTCGGGAGCCTGAGGCAGGAGAATCACTTGAAACTGGAAGGCAGAGGTTGCAGTGAGCCGAGATGGCGCCACTCCAGCCTGGGCGATAGAACGAAACTCTGTCTGAAAAAACAAACAAATGAACAAAAAAACCACACACAGACCCCACAGACTCACTGAGAACAGAGAGCGCCATGGTGGGATAGCAGGAGGGGGCCATGAGGCTTGAAAGAGCAGGAGACGGACAAACATCTGCACTAAATCAATGCTTGTCAATGCCTTCATCATCAATTCAATGCATTCAGTCATCAGGATGATTGAATGATTGAATGAATGAATGAATGAATCCAAAATGGAGTCCTGGAAGAAAACAAGACACAAGGAAACCAAAGCTTTTCAGCAATGTTCTAATAAAAGAATAAGAGGGCAGACTAAAGACAGCATGCATTTTAAGCTTCTTGCAACACAATGATAGGCAAGGGAAAATCAGGTCAGGAATTAGGAATACTAGGTCATATCTTTTGCGATACTGGATACTACTTATTCCGTGTTTAACATGTGCCAAAGTACAGCAGTGACCACAGTCTCAATACACTTAATGTGTATGGATGTGGCCGGGCGTGGTGGCTCATGCCTGTAATCCCAGCAGTTTGGGAGGCCGAGGTGGATGGGTCACTTGATACTAGGAGTTCCAGACCAGCCTGGGCAACATGGTGAAACCCCACCTCTACTAAAAATACAAAAAAAAAAAAAAAAAAAGTTGGCCAGGCATGGTGGCGGGCACCTGTAATCACAGCTACTTGGGAGGCTGAGGCAGGAGAGTTACTTGAACCTGGGAGGCAGAGGTTGCAGCAAGCCAAGATCGTGCCATTGCACTTCAGCCTGGGTTATAGAGCAAGATGTTGTCTCAAAAAAAAAAAAAAAGTTTACGGATGGTAGTTATGATCATCCTCTCCACCCCACATTCCCTAGACAGGAAAATGAGGCAAGAAACAAAGGTAATTTGCCTAAATACACTGCTTGGAAGTGGTGGAGCTGGGATTGGGATTCACACTGTGATCTGAGACACCTCTTTATATCAACTAAGACAGACCCTAACATTAAGGACACAGAGGATACCTAGGGGTAGAGGTCAGGGCCTGGCTGGCATGGTGCATTTCTAAATTCCTCAGGCTACTAGGAAATCCATACTCTTGCCAAACTCCCTAACAATGGGAGCTACCAGGGAAGTTACCAGCTGATTTACAACCCAGACCATATCAACTCCAATGGACAGAGGATACGCCTTACAAACAACATAAGCAACTGCGGACCTTAAGCCAGTTTCAGCCAGCTTATAGAGGCTGCACAAAAACTGTGTCCCCTCCTAAACCTTTGTTATTGTTGTTGTTTTGCAGTTTTCCCTCTCTTCAAAGGTATATCCCTTCAAGGGTCTCAACTGGAAACCTGGAAGTTTACCAGGGTTCCTCCCTTTTTCCAGGCTCTGATCTCCACTTTTTTTCTCCTCAGCACTGTGAGACTGACAAAAATCTGATTAATTTTTTATGCTTTGAGCACCTAGAAACAAAGATGTATTGAACTTGTATTTTACAGTTTATGAGTTGGTGAATGCCTTGAGGTGAAATTTCATGCAATCTGTTCTTCTGGGATGGAGCCCTTCAAGTTCAGGCTGACTTACTAGCCATTAACTCCAATCCTGTAGACTCATCCCAGTGAGTACCACGATCTCAATGCCACTGCTTTCTCTTCCACCTTTATACTTGTTACAGCAAATTTCCTGAGAGTAAAATGCTGTGGAAAATATCAGGCTTATGTCAATGCACTCTTCTCTCTGACTTTTTGGACCCTCAAGTCTTAGTTGTCTTGTTTACTTTCCAATACCATGAAACAGCTGTTCTGTTGTTTGCTATTCAGTTTTTATAGTTCTTCTTCTGTTTTTTGTTTGTTTGTTTTTTCAGAGGGGGCCTCAATCTGTCACCCAGGCCGGGTTGGTGTAGTGGCATGATCTCAGCTCATTGCAACCTCCACCTCCAGGGCTCAAGCGATCCTGCGATCCTCCCACCTCAGCCTCCCGAGTAGCTGAAACCACAGACACAGACCACCACGTCCAGATAATTTTTTGTAATTTTGGTAGAGACAGGATTTTGCCATGGTGCCCAGGCTGATCTCAAACTCCTGAGCTAGGCAATCCACCCGCTTCAGCCTCCCAAGGTGCTGAGATTACAGGCGTGAGCCACTGCACCCAGCCTATAGTTCTTTGTTATAGAAGCTTAGTTTTATACAAATTACTCCACTATATCCAGTCGATGTCTAAGGAAATTATTTTCCAAACAAGACTCCAAGGTTTAATAAAAGCCCCCCAAAATCAGTGGATATAATTATATCAATATTATGAATTTCTGGCCAGGCATGGTGGCTCACGACTGTAATCCCAGCACTTTGGGAGGCCAAGGTGGGCGGATCACCTGAGGTCAAGAGCTCAAAACCAGCCTGGCCAACATGGTGAAAACCCATCTCTACTAAAAAAAATACAAAAATTAGCTGGGTGTGGTGGCAGGTGCCTGTAATCCCAGCTACTTGGGAGGCTGAGGCAGGGAGAATTGCTTGAACCCGGGAGGCGGAGGTTGCAGTGAGCCTGGATCACACCACTCCACTCCAGCCTGGGCGACAGAGTGAGACTGCATCTCAAAAAAAAAAAAAAGAATTTCTGTTCAATAAGGACACCATAAATGAAGTTAACTGACGGGGGGAAGACTGAGAAGGCAATATTTGAAGCCTCTAAAATTGATGGTACCTAGATAACAAGACAGCAGACCCAGTATCAAAAATGAACAAAATATATGAATAAGAAATTCACAGAAAGGTAAACCCAACAGCCTCCAAGTTTATGAAGAGAGGTTCAATTTCATTCATGCTTAGAGAAATGCAAATGAAAAGCAACAATGGTATACACTTGACAACCATCAAATTGGTAAAAATTATAAAGTCAGATAAATGTTCATGAGAAATTAGAGAAAAAAGAATCTTTTGTGCTGCTGGGAAGAGGGTTAGTTAGCATCATCATGCCAGAAATCAATCTAACAGGCAGTGTGTACTTTATATGCCAGCAATCCCATTCCAAATGATATATTCTAGAGAAATTCACACAGGTATGTAAGGGGCCATGAGTGAGAATGTTTATTAGAATGTTTGGGGATTAGGGATTGGGAGACATTCTGACTGCCCCTCATTAGGGACATAAAAAAGTCAACTGGGCTGGGCCCGGTAGCTCACGCCTGTAATCCCAGCACTTTGGGAGGCTGAGGTAGGCAGATCATCTGAGGTCAGGAGTTCCAGACCAGCCTGGCCAACATAGTGAAACCCTGTCTCTACTAAAAATACAAAAAGTAGCCGGGCGTGGTGGTGCACACCTGTAGTCCCAGCTACTCGGAGGCTGAGGCAGAAGAATTGCTTGAACCCAGGAGGCCAAGGTTGCAGTGAGCCCAGATCACATCATTGCACTCCAGCCTGGGAGACAGAGCAAGTCTCTGTCTCAAAAACGAAAAACAAAAAACAGAACAGTCAACTGACTCTGCCAGACCGCCACGCCGCCGTCATGGACACCAGCCACGTGCAGCCTATCAAGCTGGCCAGGGTCACCGAGGTCCTGGGCAGGACCGGCTCTCAGGGACACTGCACGCAGGTGCGCGTGGAATTTATGGACAACACGAGCCGCTCCAGCATCCGCAGTGTAAAAGGCCCCGTGTGTGAGGGGGACGTGCTCACCCTGTTGGAGTCAGAGCAAGAGGCCTGGAAGTTGCGCTGAACTTGGCTGCTCACTGGGTCTTGGATGTGGGGTTTGACCACTTGGCTGGTGGGAATGGTGTGCCACGATCTGCTCCTATATTTTATTTTTTGCCCGCCACACGGGAATTGAGATGCGCCTTTAAAGCATTTGTGCTTCAAATTAAAAAGAAAGAGTAAGCTGAGATGGATGGATGTGATGGAATGCTCTGTGGCGATCCATCAACTAGTGATATCTTTAGCAGGTGATTAGATCTTAAAAGCATAATGTAGAATGAAGAAGGTATGATATAGAAGGGTATCTGTAGTACGAAAGGAAAATATCTTGGGCCACTAATATCACTAAGGAAACCTAAAGCCGGGAACTGCTTAGGGCAAACCTGCCTCCCATTCTATTCAAAGTCACCCCTCTCTGCCCACTGAGATAGACGCATATCTGATTTGCCTCCTTTGGAAGGGCTAATCAGAAACTCAAAAGAATGTAACCGTTTGTGTATCACTTGTCTGTGACCTGGAAGTCCCTTCCCCCGTTCCAATCTTCCGCCTTTGATTCAAGTTGTCTCACCTTTCCAGACCGAACCAATGTACTTCTTACATAAATTGATTGGTGTCTCATGTCTCCCTAAATGGATAAAAGCAAGCTATGCCCCAACCACCTCGGGCACATGTCGCCAGGACCTCCTGAGGCTGTGTCACGGGTGCATCCTCAACCTTGGCAAAATAAACTTTCTAAATTAACTGAGACCTGTCTCACATTTTCTGGTTTCACAGTAGTTGCACAATAACATTCAAATACATTTTAAAACACACACGCGAAACAACACAGTATATTTTAAAATATAGAGTAGATACAGTACTGCAGAGTGCTAGAGCTCAGGTTTTATGTAGCCTGGATTCGAGTCCTCACGCTGCCATATGCTAAATGCATGATCTTGGGAAAATTACTTCACATATCCATGCCTCTGTTTCCTCTTCTGTTAAATGGGAACAACAAAAGAATTTTTCTTTTTTTGAGACAGGATCTCACTCTGTCACCCAGGCTGGAGCACAGTGGCACGATATCAGCTCATGGCAACCTCTGCCTCTGGGGTTCAAGTCATTCTCGTGCCTCAGCCTCCCGAGTAGCTGAGACTACAGGCATGTGTTATCACATGGGCTAATTTTTTTTATTTTTAATAGAGATGGGGGCTTCACCATGTTGGCCAGGTTGATCTTGAACTCATGAACTCAGGTCATTCACCCACCTCGGACTCCCAAAGTGTTGGGATTACAGGAGTGAGCCACCAGGCCAGGCCAAAACAATGTTTCTCATAGTGCTGTTGGGAGGATGAAAGAAGAGAATGTGTATAAAAGTGCTTGGAACAGGACCTTGGAAAATTAAATTGGAGTCGGCAATAATATTTATTTTCAAAGACATCTATGTATAGGCAGGATGAAAATGGGGAGTGAGCATGGAGATAAAGAAAAAATAATAAAATAACCCAACAAGGTGTCTTTCATGGGCTTATGGTAAGGGTGTGCCCTGAATTGACAGGAATAATGAACTCAAGTTTTGGAACCTGACATTCCCCAAATCTGCAAGAGTTAAGCCTAAAACAAACAGACCAAAGCCCCAGGTTATGAATCTAGTCACTGTTGAGCAGTGAGCTTTCGCCATCTTCCTTCTGAGAAGGAGCTCAGTGGTTATATGGTTTTTGTAGTGTTAAACAATGCTGCTAGGCAGGGTGCAGTGGCTCAAGCCTGTAATCCGAGCCCTCTGGGAGGCCGAGGTAGGTGGATCACTTGAGCCCAGGAGTTCAAGATCAACTTGGGCAACATGGTGGGACCCCATCTCTATTTTAAAAAACAAAAAAATAAGAAAACAATGGCTGGGCGTGGTGGCTCACACCTGTAATCCCAGCACTTTGGGAGGCTGAGGTGGGTGGATCATCTGAGGTCAGAGGTTTGAAACCAACCTGGTCAACATGGTGAAACCCTGTCTTTACTAAAAATGCAAAATTAGCCGGGCATGGTGGCACATGCCTGTAATCCCAGCTACTTGGGAGGCTGAGGCAGGAGAATCGCTTGAACCTGGGAGGCAGAGGTTGCAGTGAGCCGAAATCGTGCCATTGCACTCCAGCCTGGGCAATAAGAGTAAAACTCCATCCCAAAAAAAAAAAAAAAAAAAAAAAGAAAGAAAACATTTCTGAATTTATGTAATAATTTACCTATTGTGTCTAAGCTGTTCTTTAAAAAACTAATTGCTATCAAAATGCTTAATGAGTCAATTACTAATTATAAATCAGTGAATTAATACATCCGAAGTCAAGAATCTGTTATGTTTACAAACAATTGCTACCCTCTGTCTAATCTTTGAATTTGTGCTCATGAAGAAATTGGCTACCAATGTGGTACCAGTCTCCCAGCATCCTTGAAGAAGAGTTAGGAGGCAGGAGAAAACACATGTACGTCTTTCCCTAGAGGTGACTACACTGAAATCTAGCTAAGTGATATAGTTTGGATGTTTGTACCCTCCAAATCTCATTTTGAAATGTGATCCCCAATACTGGAAGTGGGGTCTGGTGGGAGGGGCATGGGTCATAGGGGCGGATCCCTCATGAATGTCTTGAGGCCCTCCCCACAGTAATAAGTAGGTTCTCACTCTATTAGCTCAAAGGAGAGCTGGCTGTTTAAAAGAGCATGGCATCTCTTGCTTTCTCTCTCACCATGTGATGTACCTGCTCCCCCTTCCCTTCCACCATGAATAAAAGCTTCCCAAGGCCTCACCAGAAGCCAATCAGATGTGGGTGCCATGATTCTTGTACAGCCTGCAGGAACCAGGAGCCAAGTAAACCTCTTTTCTTTCTAAATGACCCAGTTTTGGGTATTCCTTTATAGCAACACAAAATGGGCTAAGACATTAAGTCAACAAGATACACAAAACAACGCAGTTAAGTACCAACACAAGGCACAACCCAATGAGAATGAAATAGGCATTGCAGAGTGCCAGTGCTCGAGAGCAGGGCTCCTCATCGCCCAGGCTGTGGACCAGCACCAGTCTGTGGCCTGTTAGGAACCAGGCTACACAGCAGGAGGTGAGTGGCAGGTGAGCAAACATTGCCGCCTGAACTCTACCTCCTGTCAGATCAGCAGCAGCATTAGATTCTCATAGGTGCTCAAACCCTATTGTAAACTGCACACGCGAGGGATCTAGATTGTGCACTCCTTGTGAGAATCTAATGCCTGATGATCTGTCACTGTCTCCCATCACCCCCAGAGGAGATCGTCTAGCTGCAGGAAAACAGGCTCAGGGCTTCCACTGATTCTACATGATGTGTAATTACACGTTGTGTAATTATTTCATTATATATTACAATGTAATAATAATAGAAATAAAGTACATAATAAATGTAATGTGGTTGCATTATCTGAAAACCATCCTTCCTCACTGGTCTGTGGAAAAACTGTCTTCCACAAAACAGGTCCCTGGTGCCAAAAAGGTTGGGGACCGCTGCTCCAGAGTTCAGAGAAGTTAGGGCAGAGACGACCTGGGCAGGCTTCTGAAGGACTTCCCCATGAACGGAATTCTGCTCAGCAGAGGCATGGGGTGAGGGCCGCTTTAGGGACTGCATCTGGTGGAAGCTCAAATGCAGACTTTGTGGATTAGCTAGGCAATTCAAGTTCCAAAAGGATTTTTGGAAATTGTGGATCTTAGGGAAATGGTAGATGTTGGGCTCATTTTGTTTTAATTAGCTGAAGAACATAACAAGAAAAAAAGTTTCTCCAAAGGAGGGAAATCAGAATATCTTCATACATTTCTATTTTTGTCTGTTTCCCAAGACCCTGAGTAAAAAAATCTAATTCTTATAGAAATAGTGACAATAATAATGGTAGCCTAAATTTATGTTGCCTTACATCTAGCGGGTTCCATTTCTTTCTTTCTTTTTTTTTTTTTTTTTTGAGACAGGGTCTTGCTCTGTCACCCAGAGTGGAGTGCAGTGGTGCAATCATAGCTCACTGCAGCCTTGACCTCCGGGGCTCAAGTGATCCTCCTGCCTCAGCCTCTCGAGTAGCTAGGACTACAGGTGCACGCCAACAGACTCAGCTAATTTCTTTTTAATAGACAAAGTCTTGCTGTATTGCCTAGGCCGGTCTTGAACTCCTGGGCTCAAGCAATCCTCCTGCGTTTGCCTCTAAAAATGCTCAGATTACAGGTGTGAGCCACCATGCCTAGACAGCCAAGAACGTTACATACACATACATCATTTTCCCACATCTGTCATGAGGCAAGCATGAAAAGGCCTTTTTTCCTCCTTGAGATGGAAAATAAACTGTAAGGCATTGGATGGTACCTGACACGGTCTGGAATCAGGATTTCCTGACTTTGAATTCGGTGCCGTGAGTGATGGCAAGGAAACTGCTGTTTTTCAGTCACCTGAAACTTTAGGTGAGTTGCTGTGTTGCCCAGGCTTCTCATGAACTCCTGGGCTCAAGCAATCTTCCTACCTTGACCCAAAGCACTAGGATTATAGGCATGAACCACCATGCAGAAGCCACGTTTGGTGGGAGTTGTGTTTTTGTTGTTGTTGTTGTTTGTTTTTTTGAGACAGAGTCTCGCTCTGCCACCTAGGCTGGAGTGAAGTGGCGTGATTTCGGCTCAATGCAACCTCTGACTCCCAGGTTCAAGCCATTCTCGTGCCACAGCCTCCCGAGTAGCTAGGATTACAGGCACCCACCACCACGCCTGGCTAATTTTTGTATTTTTAGTAGAGACGGGGTTTCATCATGTTGCCCAGGCTGGTCTCAAACTCCTGACCTCAGGCGATCTGCCCACCTCGGCCTCCCGAACTGCCGAGATTACAGGCTTGAGCCACTGCGCCCCGCCAGTGGGAGTTTTATGTACATTATCTCAGGCAATGCAACCACATCATGAACTAAGGCAATTTTACAGAAATGGACAGAGAATCAGAGGGCATCTTTCAGTTTGAGTTAAAATCCAGTACAATGAAGATATGATACTGATAGTGAGAATGAGATCAGACATGGAAGCCAGAGACTCTCTAGACACACCCTTTTCCTATGCTATGGTATGTCTTGAATTTCTGAAAATATCACTGGGCTTAAAAGTGAAGAAAATTATACTGGAGGTTTTTTCTTCTTCTAAAAATCTCCACATAAATGGGTCACCTTGAAATACTGTTCTCATAATGCAGTTACAATTTTTAAAAATTGCTGCCGGGCATGGAGGCTCACACCTGTAATCCCAGCACTTTGAGAGCCCCAGGCAGGTGGATCACCTGAGGTCAGGAGTTCGAGACCAGCCTGGCCAACATGGTGAAACCCTGCCTCTATTAAAAATACAAAACTAGCCAGTTGTGGTGGTTGGTGCCTATAATCCCAGCTACTCGGGAGGCTGAGGAAGGAGAATTACTTGAACCTGGGAGGCAGAGGTTGCAGTGAGCTAGTTGCACTGCACTCCAGCCTGGGCGACAGAGCAAGACTCCGTCTCAAAAAAAAAAAAAAGAAAGATGTGGACATGCTTTTTTCTTCTCTTTTCCAGGGAGGCAGGTATGTAGGAAGATCCACAGAGGGGCAGTGCATTTTTGGGGGACTGATGCCCAGATTTTGTTCAGGTGATAATTATCTGCCAGACTTCTCATCGAAAGGGCGATAGTGCATGCAGGGAAAAGGTACCTTGAGCCAGCACCCCTGAGGAAGATGTTTGTATTATGAGGACTCACAATCGGTCTGGGGAAGGTGTGGATGTCAGCAGAGAAGGAGCCGCACCACCACAAGGACTCTGTTCTGAGTGGGGGGGAAGAGGACCACATAGTCTCTTCCCTTGCCCAGGCAGCAAAGGTCCCTTTTTGATCAGCAAATCAAATCAGCAAATAAAAGCTGATTTGATGGGTCTTCCAAATGCTCAGTTTCTCTATTACTCCCATGACCCAAGGAAGCCATGGCCTTCTAAGAGAGAGTCATCATACATGTGACACTGAGCTCCATTAGAATTTGGTTTCAGGCCGGGCACGATTGGCTTATGCCTGTAATCCCAGCACTTTGGGAGGCTGAGGCGGGCGGATCACCTGAGGTCAGGAATTCCAGACTAGCCTGGCCAACACGGTGAGATCCCCGTCTCTACTAAAAATAAAAAATTAGCCAGGCATGGTGGTGCATTGCCTGTAATCCTAGCTACTTGGGAGGCTGAGGCATGAGAATCGCTTGAACACAGGAGGTAGAGATTGCAGTGAGCCAAGATCATGCCACTGCACTCCAGCCTGGGTGACAGAGAGAGACTCTGTCTCAAAAAAAAAAAAAATAATAATTTGTTTTCAGCCAGGTGCAGTGGCTCATGCATGCAATCCCAATGTTTTTGGAGGCCAAGATGGGATGACTGCTTGAACCCAGGAGTTCCACACCAGCCTGGGCAACATAGTGAGACCCTGTCTTTACAAACAAATTTAAAAAATAGCCAGGCATGGTAGCATGTGCCTGTAGTCCCAGTTACTTGGGAGGCTAAGGTGGGAGGATCACTTGAGCCCAGGAGTTCCAGGCTGCAGTGAGCTGTGATGGCACCACTGCACTCCAGCCTGAGTCACACAGCAAGACTCTGTCTCTTAAAAAAAAAAAAAAAAAAAAAAAAAAAAGAATTTGTTTTCCATGCTGCCAGTTTGTCACTATGACAGTGCGGTCTGGACTGAAAGAATGGCCATAAATATTGTGGACATTCAGAGTAAGGAAGCGAATCCCTGACAGGCTATGAGGCAGGAGAATAGGGTTTGGAGACAGGGAACATAAGGACTTCCTAGAGCTAAATCAAATGGAAACACTTCAGCTATGACAGAACTATCCTCTCCATTTACAAAGGGTGTACGTCGAGTAAGTGACTGTAACTTTACTTCATCCTCTTCATTTACATAAGGCGTATACCAAGTAACCAATGGAAACCTCGAGAGGGTTTTTTGTTTGTTTGTTTGAGATGGAGTCTCACTCTGTTGCCCAGACTGGAGTGCAGTGGTGTGATCTCAGCTCACTGCAACCTCTCCCTGAGGTTCAAGCGATTCTCCTGCCTCAGCCTCCTGAGTAGCTGGGATTACAGGCATGCATCACTGTGCCTGGCTAATTTTTGTTTGTAGTAGAGATGGGGTTTCACCATGTTGGCCAGGGTGATCTCGAACTCCTGACCTCAAGTGATTCACCCACCCCGGCCTCCCAAAGTGCTGAGCTTACAGGCATGAGCCACCAAACCCAGCCTTAGAGGGTATTTAAACCCCAAAAAATTCTGTAACAGGGCTCTCGAGCCCCTATGCCTGGGCCTGCTCCCAACCTGTGGAGTGTACTTTCTTTTTTTTTTGAGATGGAGTCTCGCTTTGTCGCCCAGGCTGGAGTGCAGTGGCACGATCTTGGCTCACTGCAAGCTCCGCCTCCCGGGTTCACGCCATTCTCCTGCCTCAGCCTCCCGAGTAGCTGGGACTACAGGCGCCTGCCACTACGCCTGGCTAATTTTTTTGTATTTTTAGTAGAGACGGGGTTTCACTGTGTTAGCCAGGATGGTCTCAATCTCCTGACCTCATGATCTGCCTGCCTCAGCCTCCCAAAGTGTTGGGATTACAGGTGTGAGCCACCGTGCCTGGCCACTTTGATTTTTAATAAATCTCTGCTTTTGTTGCTTCATTCCTTCCTTGCTTCATTTGTGCATTTTGTCCAATTCTTTGTTCGAGATGCCAAGAACCTGGACACCCTCCCCTGGTAACACCTGGAGAGTGAGCCCCTTATGGGAGGAGAATTGCTCACAGTTGTTTTAGCCACAGCACAAGTATGGGCAGGGCGGAAAGGGGTCTTTCATGTAATCTGTTCCAACTCCATCATTTTACAGGTGAGGAAACTGAGGCAGAGGGACTCATTCAAGGTCACCCACAGATACATGGAAGGGTTGAGAATAGGATCTAGGTCTCCGACAATCACTACCACGCATTTTTGGATATTGCAGAGTACTTGCCAAAAAACCTAGGCATCATCTTTGATTCTGTGTCTTCCTTCAACACCCCATTCCTATGACCAATCCATCACCACGGTCCTCTTAAAGACTTGCAAGCATAGCCCGAACTGATCCTCTCCCCACCACTCTGGCCCCAAACAGCTCATACTGAGTTCCTCCCTGACCCAGAGTAGTCAAGTCCTTCTTTTGTCCCTAACACCCCCGATCCACAGAGCCACCCGAGTCAGACTTTGAAACTGTAAATCCAGTCAGAACACACCTCTTTAAACTTAAAGCTGCTTCAGACCACACAGGGAATCACGTCCATACTCCTACCTGATCAGCCCACTGCACATCTGGCACCAGCCAGTCTCCCTCAGTCTGCTCCAGCCAGACTGGCTTTCTTAATGCTCTGGGAACATGCCAAGCTGCTCCCACCTTAGGACTTTGTATCTACTGTTCCTTCTGCACAGAATGCCATTCCCAGAGTTCTTCATAAAGCCGGCTCCACCCTGTCATTCCTTTCCTAGCCATTTCACCCTCTCTGAGAAGCCTGCCCTAACCAGGCATTCCTGAATAGGCCCCCGTCTATCCCCGTTTTATTTCTACCATAACATTTATCCATAAATGACATTTCCTTGTTTGTTCATTTATTGCCTGTCTGCCCCATCTCTCTCATTCACGGCCAGTGCCTGAAACCTGCTGGACACATAGTAGGCTCTTAGTAAATATCAGTTTAATTACTCAGTCAAAAGATGACAGCATAGCTGCCTCTAGGGCACAACACCCTTTTCTTTTTATATGGCATAAGGGACTTTGATCAAAGAGCTCTCTAACACCATGTACTCTCCAGAAAACACTCTCAGTAAAGAAATGCTTTTACTTACAGTAAAGAATAGCAGAAACGGCCGGGCGCATGGCTCATGCCTGTAATCCCAGCACTTTGGGAGGCCGAGGCAGCTGCATCACCTAAGGTCAGGAGTTCAAGACTAGCCTGGCCAACATGGTGAAACCCCGTCTCTACTAAAAATACAAAAATTAGCTGGGCATGATGGTGCGTGCCCGTAATCCCAGCTACTTGGGAGGCTGAGGCAAGAGAATCGCTTGAACCCAGGAGGCGGAGGTTGCAGTGAGTCGAGATCATGCCACTGCATTCCAGCCTGGGCAACAGAGCAGTACTCCATCTCAATAACAAACAAACAAAAACAAAACAACAACAACAACAAAAAACGAATAACAGAAACAAGTTTTTCCAGCTTCTGCAAGAACTCAGTGAGGAGTCTGGTCTGCTATAGCATCTCTAAATATACTTTTTGGATTGGCAGATGTCACATACCCTACTAAGACAAAACTGATCACAGCCAGAAACCTGGCATCTATGGCTCAGTGGCTGGTTCTGGTTGGCTCACCCTGAGCCAGGATTTGAAATCAAAGTCTTTGACTTTGAAATCATGCAAGCGACTTGCAGAATGGTGGATCTTCTGATGTCTTGCACTTTTTCTGTGCTCTAGTTTGTCAAACTGCTGCAGCCTTTTTTTTTTTCCATTCCCCTCCTGGGAGTCAGACCCAACCAATCCATCACTTGCCCAAACCAACAGATGCGGCTGCTGATGGTGGAGGGAGAACCAGGCAGGACCACCCCAGGATGTGAGTGAGTCTGCTTTCTGGGACATCTTCAAGAGAAACAGTTGCTAGCTGAAGTATGAAAAATGAAGAGTCTGCCCAGCAGCTTCCTTCTTGCATCTCTATCAAATCACTGATCTGTTGAATTGGATATGCGACCTGCAACTGCTAAATTGAAGATACCACAGGTCACCTGGCAGGATCTTCCTAAATCATGAAACTTTCATGCTTAGGGTCCTCCCATTCTTGGCTCCACCCTGACGCCTCAACAGCGGCTCAGTGGCTCCCAGTCATTTCTGCCTTTCCCAAGTGCACCCCCCTCACCTCCTTGCCTGAGGAAGATGTTGGTATTAATATGATAATAACTCCACAGTTGGTCCAGGGAAGGCGTGCATGTCAGCAGAGAAGGAGCTGCTCTGCCACAAGGACTCGGCTCTGGGTGAGGGGAAGGGGCCCACATAGGCTTGTCCCTTGGCCAGGCGGCAATGCTCCCTTTTTGAGGCTAGCGGCACATAAAAGCTGATTTGATCGGTCCTCCAAATGCTCAATCTCTGCATCACTTCCGTGACCCAAGGAAGCCATGGCTGCATTACTTTCATGACCCAAGAAAGCTAGTGTAGATCGCTAGCGATCTCAACTCATTCCTGGACTATTACAAGTACGGCCATACGGACGCCCCAGGTGCCGGGCTGTTCCCTCTTGCACAATCTGCTGAATTCTTTTTTCTAAAACCAAGCCCCACCATGCTCTTGTCGGCTCGGCCCCTGTAGGATCCCTGCATCCTTCCTGCCTTCACATTCAAAGCTCATCAATACCTGTCCAGCTTCTTCTAATCCCCAGAAAGTCTTCTTCGATTCCTCTAATAGGAGAAAGTGCCTTCCTCTTTAGCTTGTCATAAATGCCTTTTGCATGGCTTTCGTGACTCAGTCCTCCATAATTTATTATTTGGAGATAAAGTCTTGCCCTGTCATCCAGTTTAGAGTGCAGTGGTGTGACCACAGCTCACTGCAGCCTCAAACTCCTGGGCTCAAGCAATCCTCCTTCCTCAACCTCTTGAGTAGCTGGGACTACAGGCACGCACCACTACACCCAGCTGCTGTTTTTAATTTTTTGCAGGAACGGGATCTCGTTATGTTGCCCAGGGTGGTCTTGAACTCCTGGCCTCAAGCAAGCCTTCCACTTTGGCCTCCCAAGTAGCTGGGACTACGGGCATGAGCCACCACAGCTGCCTCAGTCCTCCACACTTTATCTTAATCTGTTGGTGCCCACGGCTTCTCTCCTCCATCCTGTTCTTCATCTTAATATTTTCCATATGGCCTTGTTCCCTGCACTATTTAAGTAGATGCGTATCAACACACACTTGTGGTAGAAGAATGGATTTATCATCTTAAATGACCACTCCAGGCCACTCGAATTGCTGTCTCATTGGCAGGAGAAAGATATAGTCACCTCTTCTTCTCCTTTATATACTGTCAAGGCTTTGGAGAAAAGCCAATTTTCTGCTTTAATATACATATTCTCTTTCTGGTGTTTTCCGCATTCTAAGGTGCTTTCACGCCTATTAACAGCATTTTACCTTCATAATAGCTCTTTTGAGATGTGTGTAAAAGTGTTTTGAATAATTGTTGATAAAGTTTCCTGAGAAATAAATATTTACTGAGTGCCATTTATGTGTTAGGCATTGTGCTGGGAGTGGGGACCCAAGGGCCAGCAGGACTTTGCAGAGACTGACAAGCAGAGGACCAGTTTCCATGTCATGGGGCAGATGCTCTGATGGGGCTGGGCTGATGTTTCTACAGGGGAACATAGGAGGCACCTGTCTCCTGGGGGGTGAGGGAGGCAGCTAGGAAATGTCTTCATAGACAGGGAGAGCTAGGCAGGCAAGGTGGGGTTGGTGGTTGGCAGTGTGGACAAAAAAAACATGATCTCAGTCTCTCAAAGAAAAGAGAACCTGAGAATCTGGCTTACTGGAACAACTGCAATGAATTCACTATTGCTAGAGAATCAGGGGTAAAGGCTGGGCACAGTGGCCCACGCCTGTAATCCCAGCACTTTGGGAGGCTGAGGCAGGAGGATTGCTTGAGGCTAGGAATTTGAGGCCAACGTGGGCAACATAGCAAGACATCATCTCTATGAGAAATTTTAAAATGGGGCCAAGCACTGTGGCTCATGCCTGTAATCATAGCGCTTTGGGAGGCCGAGGGGCTGATCATGTGAGGTCAGGAGTTCAAGACCAGCCTGGCTAACATCTTGAAACCCTGTCTCTACTAAAAATACAAAAAAATTAGCCAGGCGTGGTGGCACACACCTGTATTCCCAGCTGCTAGGGAGGCTGAGGCAGGAAAATCATTTGAACCAGGGAGATGGAGGTTGCAGTGAGCTGAGATCGTGCCACTGTGCTCCAGCCTGGGCAACAGAGTGAGACTCCATCTCGAAAACTTAAAATTAAAAAAAAAATTAAAAATAATAATAAAAATTAGCTGGGCATAGTGGTGTGCATGTGTAGTCCCACCTTCTCAGGAGGCTGAGGCAGGAGGACTGCACGAGCCTGGGAGGCCATGGCTCCAGTGAGCTGTGATCACGCCACTGTACTCCAGCTTGAGTGACAGAGTAAGACCCTGTCTCAAACATTAAAAAGAAGATACGGATTGAGAATTGACTGTGGGATTTAGCAACATGGTGGTCATCAGTGACCTCCACTAGAGCTGTTTTGTTTTATGGAATGGTAAGAATGAAAATCAAGACAGAGTAGATTCAGGAGTCAGTGGGAGAAGAGAACTGGCAGCAGTGAGTACAGACTACTACCTGGGGGGTTGATTCAGAGCAGTGAAGAGGAGTGAGGTTTAACTCTTCTCTACAGGGGAACAGACAGTTTCATTTGACTATTATTCTTCTTATTTATTTTACCCACATCTTACAAGGCGTGGAATGTTGTTTTTTAGGATGAGAGTTGTCTAAGTATGTTTGTATCTGTATTAGTCCCTTCTCATACTGCTAATAAAGATATACCCAAGTCTGGGTAATTTGTAAAGGAAAGAGGTTTAATGGATTCACAGTCCCACATGGCTGGGGAGACCTCGCAATCATGGCAGAAGACGAAGGAAAAGCAAAGGGACATCGTACATGGCGGCAGGCAGGAGAGAGTGAGAACCAAGCGAAACGGAAAACCCCTGATAAAACCATCAGATCTCGTGAGACGTATTCACTACCACGAGAACAGTATGGAAGAAACCGTCCCTGTGATTCAGTGATCTCCCACCAGGTCCCTCCCACCACACATGGCAATTATGGGAGCTACAATTCAAGATGAGATTTGGGTGGAGACACAGCCAAACTGTATCAGTATTCTAATGGGAATGACACAGCGGAGAGGTTGAAAAGCTGATCAACTTTTTGCATACGTTCCTTTATTTAAATCTCAAAATGCTCTTTGAGGTCAATATGACCCCTACTCCCTAAGTGAGAACTGCAAGAATCAGTGAATTTAGAGATTCCACACTTAAGTCAATGGCACAGCAGGGGTTCAAATCCAGGTCTGTTGAACCCCAAAATGAACGCTTTCCCCACTGGTCTAAGTGGAAAATATTACAGAACATACTGCATTGCCTTCCTTAGATTAAAAAACTGATCAACATAGAGGTAATATAGGGTACAGATCTTAAGTTTTGAGCATGCCCTGGCTCAATAAGCCCCTGATGTTCTGGAACTCAGGAGATCCGTCCTGGAAGGAGTCAGATTCCAACATGACCTGACTATGATGCACTTATTTCAGACCAAGCAGACAGACAACCTCCTCTGGGAGGAAAGTCAGAAGTAGAATGTACTCTAAGAGGGCTTGAGGGCTGAAGATTGAAAAGCCGCTATTTAGTCTGGCACCTGGGTGGTACCTGGTGATCTCAGAGCCGGCAGTTTCACTGAAAGCCCCCAACCGAGATAGTATAGACTGGGCCATGTATGTTCTGGATTTTTTTTTTTTTTTGAGATGGAGTCTCACTCTGTCACCCAGGCTGGAGAGCAATGGCACTATCTCGGTTCACTGCAACCTCTGCCTCCTGGGTTCAAGCAATTCTCCTGCCTCAGCCTCCCAAGTAGCTAGGATTACAGACATGTGCCACCATGTCCAGCTAATTTTTGTATTTTTAGTAGAGACGGAGCATCATCATGTTGGCCAGGCTGGTCTCGAACTCCTGACCTCAAGCGATCCTCACTCCTCAGCCTCCCAAAGTGCTGGGATTATAGGCATGAGCCACTGTGCCCAGCCCGTTCTAGAATTTTAATAGCAGAAAGGAACTTTGTTTCCTTTTGTGATGAGTAGGATGATTGAGGGCACATATGTATGCTGTAGGGGAGGACTTGGGAGCTACAGAAAGACTGCAGATAAGAGTGCCCGGAAATTTTACTATTGGGCATTATTTCAATTTAAAGTATTTTTTTTAAAAATTATTATTATTTTTGTTCTGATAACTTTTTTTTTTTTTTAAACAGAGGGAGGGTGTCGTTATGTTGCCCAGGCTGATCTCAAACTCCTGGCCCCAAGTTATCCTCCAGCCTCAGCCTCCCAAAGTGCTGGGATTACAGGGGCTGACTGTGTCCAGTCCCAATTTAAAGTTTTGATTGTATGTAGCAGTGCAGGCACACAGCAAGCCAGGAGCATTTACATTTTATTTTATTATTTTATTTTATTATTTGAGACAGAGTTTCACTCTGCCACCCAAGTTGGAGTGCAGTGGCACAATCTCAGCTCACTGCAATCTCTGCCTCCCAGGTTCAAGCGATTCTCCTGTCTCAGCCTCCTGAGAATCTGGAATTACAGGCACCCACCATCACGCCTGGCTAATTTATGTATTTTTAGTGGAGGTGAGGTTTCACCATGTTGGCCAGTCTGGTCTCAAAACTCGAGACCTCAGGTGATCCACCCACCTTGGCC
Organism: Homo sapiens; assembly: GCF_000001405.40. Taxonomy (NCBI): domain Eukaryota; kingdom Metazoa; phylum Chordata; class Mammalia; order Primates; family Hominidae; genus Homo; species Homo sapiens. Next base: position 71,956,954 of record NC_000007.14, read on the forward strand.
TCCCAAAGTGCTGGGATTACAGGTGTGAGCCACCACACCCAGCCCTATACTTTATTTTTTTGATAGTCAATCCCTTCATCTCCCTTCACGGGAGCTTTATGAATTGGTGGGGAGGTGGTGAAAGCGAAATGAGACACCGAGAGAAGCTCTGAAATTAATCATCTTGTTTCTATCGCAGCCGAAGACATGGTCTGGATGCTGAAGTAATCAAGCAGCCACTCTCGGCTTTGATGGACAATTCACTTTCATCTTCTGTGAGAGAATTTTGATTTACTTCTTTCAGAAAGATTGATAGGAGGTGGGTGGGACTGTGACTTTTAAATTTTTGGTTAGATCTAATATTTTTCTTGACTGTAAGAATTTATCATTAATGATTCTGGAAAGACAAAAACGTGATGAAATCTGATACAAAAGCCTAAAAAGGAAATAAAGAGGTTTAAAAAAATAAAACAAAGACACTCTTTTCGTAGTAAGCAACTCAGAGATGAAATATTTCACTCTGCAAAAAATCAAACCCCAAAAAAGACACCACTCTCAAACCTTGACACTCTTTCTCTACCCCATTACGATCTGTCGCCTGTACTGATCACTGCAAACCTAAAATGCCTTCCTCAACTTACAAATGGCAAATCTCTTAAGTAACTTCAGTTCTCAGACAGATTAATGCAATTTTCCGGTGAGTTAGACAGGCATGAAGTGAGGTGATTCTCCGGATTTTTTGTTTTGTTTTTGAAGAAGGAGAAGAAACTAGGAATGTTCTCATTTTAAGACTGAAAAATTTAGGCTGGGTGCTGTGGCTCACACCTCGCACTAAGAAAGTGCAGGTTTCTGCTGGGCATGGTGGCTCACACTTCTAATCCCAGCACTTTGGGAGGCCGAAGCAGGCAGATCACCTGGGGTCAGGAGTTCGAGACCAACCTGGCCAACATGATGAAACCCCATCTCTATTAAAAATACAAAAATTAGCCAGGCGTGGTGGCATGCACCTGTAATCCCAGCTACTTGGGAGGCTGAGGCAGGAGAATCTCTTGAACCTGGGAGGCAGAAGTTGCAGTGAGCCCAGATTGTGCCATTGCACTCCAGCCTAGGTGACAAGAGTGAAACTCCATCTCAAAAAAAAAAAAAAAAAAGAAAGAAAGAAAAAAAAAGAAAAAGAAAAAAAAAGAAAGTGCAGTAATTACCAATCTCTTACATGGTATATTCCATCATGGTGAAGTCTGAGATTTTAATGGATCCATCATCTTAATAGCGTACATTGTACCCAACAGGTAATTTTTCAAATCTCACCTCTCCCAACCTCCCCCTTTATGGAGTCCCCAGTATCTACTGTTCCCCTCTGTTTGTCAGGTTTCTTGCCCTATTCTCATACTGGTCTTGTTAAAATGAGCTTATTATTAGTTTGATCCATTCTCTGTCTCATGAGACTCTTGGCTTCCTCCAGTTCCCTGTCTTCATTGTAAGACACAACAGACAACTCAGGGAGGCCCCTTTGTGTAGTCTTCCTATCTGTCAAAGACCTTATTGGTCCTTCACAAAGTACCAATAGACTACCAAGTTTGCCCAGGCACATGTGGTATATACAGTTCCTGGGAGAAGGGGAAGCTCATTTTCCTTTCCTCAAAAGGACTTGCCTCTCCACCCATCTTAGGAAAGTTTTCCAAATATATAAAAACAGCAAAGTCTGGATTCTCCAATCCTATGTTTGCGATCTCCAAGAAAGAACAGGACACACTTCCGGACAACTTGCGTTGCCATCCTTCAGAGCTGACCACAATGGTGCTAGCCACATTATGTGGTCTCTTCTGTTAGATTTCATGTTAGCTGCTTGTTCAAAATCAGGCAGAAAGGCAGCTCCTCCTGCACTGTGAGACCTGACCCATCACTGCTACCTTAACAGACTGAGTCTCCCACCCAGCCTCACAACAGACATTGCCCAGAGTTCTTTCTTGACTGACAGATCAGACCCTCAGATCACTTTCCAACATGCTGCCTGACTTCTCCGAGTGGCTTTCCTTATGACGGGAAACCTGGAGTATCAGGCTTTCACATGCCTGTATTTTGGGTCACTTGTTAGTTATAAAAGATAGGCATAGGCTGCTCAATTAAAGCAAGGATGTTCTGGAAGCTGTGGCACTATCAAAGGCTAGGAGAGAAAGCAAACTGAATGGCTTGCCCCTCTCCTTTTCACCAGACTTAGTAGCAGTGAAGCACCTGTCATGGTAGGCAGTGATGAGTCAGGTCTCATGGTTCAGGAGGAGCTTCCCTTCTGCCTGGTCTTAAATGACAAGCTAACATGAAATCTAATATTCACATAATGTGGCTAGCAACATTGTGATCAGTTCTGAAGTTTGGACAAGTTGTCCAGAAGTGTGTTCTGTTCTTTCTTGGAGATCGCAAACACAGGATTGGAGAATCCAGACTTGGTTGTTTTTATATATTTGGAAAACTTTCCTAAGATGGGTGAGAGGCAAGTCCTTTTGAGGAAAGGAAAATGGGCTTCCCCTTCTCCCAGGAACATCTACCAAAACGACTATGTTCCTTTCCCAGAGCATAGAGCATAGGGGTATACCAGTTCTCCTGATGAGTTTTAACATGATATAGATAGAAGAGACTTGGAGTTTAGGACATCTCTACATATTCCAGGGTTTTGACTTTTTTACCTTTCCAGCTTTTTTTTTTTTTTAAGTGGGGGAAGGGTATGTGTGGTGGATACTTTCAGCAAAGGTGAGACACGATGGTCACCCAGTCCCAACTCCATCAGCACAAGAGGACAGTGGTCAGACTCCATGGTGCTCATAGGACTAGAATCTATTTCTAGTTCTAGTCTATTTCAATTCCTGGGCAAACCAAATGTGATGTCTCTTCACAGTTGTATTCTTTTTTAAAAATGCATATTTAGGCCGGGCACAGTGGCTCAGGCCTGTAATCCCAGCACTTTGGGAGGCCGAGGCGGGCAGATCACCTGAGGTCAGGAGTTTGAGATCAGTCTGGTCAACATGGTGAAACCCCATCTCTACTAAAAATACAAAAATTAGCTGGGCGTGGTGGCGGGCACCTGTAATCCCAGCTGCTCTAGAGACTGAGGGAGGAGAATCATTGAACCCAGGAGGTGGTGGTTGCAGTGAGTCAGGATGGCACCACTGCACTCCAGCCTGGGCAACAGAGAGAGACTCCATCTCAAAAATAAATAAATAAATAAATAAATAAATAAATAAATAAATAAATAAATAAAATAAAATAAAAAAATAAAATAAAAGCATATTTAGAGGATACAAATGCAGGTTTCTTACATGTATATATTGCATCATGAACCCATCATCTGGACAGTGTACACTGTACCCAATAGGGAATTTTTCAAATCTTACTTCCGTCCCAGCCTCTCCCTTTATGGAGTCCCCAGTATCTATCATTCCCTCCGTACATCCATCTGTACCCATTGTTTAGCTCGCATTTGTAAGTGAGAACATGTGGTATTTGACTTTCTGTTTCTGAGCTATTTCACTGAGGATAGTAGCTTCCACTTCCATCCGTGTTGCTGCAGAAGATAATGATTGCATTCTTTTTTATGGCTGAGTAGTATTCCATGGTGTCTATGTACCACATTTTCTTTATCCATTCCTCCACTGATAGATATTTAGGTTGATTCCATATCTTTGCTATTGTGAATAGTGCTGCAACAAACATACCAGTGCAAGTATCTTTTTGATATAATGATTTCTTTCCTGGTAGTGGGATTGCTGGATTGAATGGCAGTTCTAATTTTAGATCTTTTTTAATAGTTATATTCTTCCACTCTCTACCTCCATGCAGGTGCAAACTCCTACACCATTACCTGGTCGTGATATTAAGACTTTTTATTTTATTCTAATTTAATTGTTTTTTGAGACAGAGTCTTACTCTGTTGCCCAGGTGGAGTGCAGTGGCTCAATCTCAGCTCATTGCAACCTCCACCTCCCAGGTTCAAGCGATTCTCGTGCCTCAGCCTCCTGAGTAGCTGGGATCACAGGCTTGTGACACCACACCTGGCTAATTTTTGTATTTTTAGTAGAGATGGGGTTTCACCATGTTTCCCAGGCTGGTCTTGAACTCCTGACCTCAGGTGATCTGTTTGCCTTGGCCTCCCAAAGTGCTGGAATTACAGGCATGAGCCACTGCTCATAAGACTTTTTATCTTAAATGAATTTCACATAATCAGCAAAGTTACTATCATTGTCAGTCCAATTAGTCTATACCTATAATACATAAGGTATCTGAAAGATTACTTCTCATTCATTTATTCACAATGCCAGGAACTGTGCCAGATACTGGGTATACAATAGCAAACAAGACAGACAAGGAATCAAACCGAGCTTACATCCCCTCTTCTAAAGACAGATATTTACATCCTAATAGAAATTTCCCTACCAAATGTATTTATACATAAAACCCAGTTCTGTTTTAATGTTAGCACATGAGATCTAGCTGATGAAAATGTTACCTGTATTTCCCCCTTGGGAGTCAGCCCCATAGACCAGTAATTACCAATCTCTTTTCTGCCATAAAACCCGTAATAGATTACGTTCACTTGTGTACTGTACTCCCATGGGTACTGTTACATGAAATCTGCAAACTTCTTTCTCTCACTATTAAAACAAACAAAAAGGAATAAGAAAATGTGTGTGCGCAATTCTCCATTTGCCATCTCCACAAGCCATTCCCTCCCTGCACCTCTCTGCCCTGGGCCCTTGGAAACTGATCTCTGTAGATTGCATCTCCTAGACAAACTTGCTGCTAGCTTCTGTTTGGGTTAGGCCAATTCAGACAATGGCAAGAAATTCAAGGGCAGCAGAAGAGAGAGGGCAGGGTCCTCCTCCCCTGCATACTTTCTGACAAAACTCTGCTACTCTGGCAGTAGCTATGTCTCTTCACAAGCCTATTTCCCGCTGAGTGGCACCTCTTCCAGACCTCGTGAGGTTCCAGTAACCCTTTCCCTTCAGCCCTTGGAGTGGGAACAATTTCCAGCTATTGTAGCCTCAGGGAGCCTCATTATATCTTGTTTGTTCCTTTCACCTGCCTACCCTATGTCCATCATCTCTTCATTTGTATCTGCGTATTCCGTTTTCTCATAAAACAAGATGCAAGTGCAAGATAGGAAAGTTATTATAAGAATAACCTTGTGGCCAGGCACAATGGCTCACACCTGCAATCCCAGCATTTTGAGAGGCCAAGGCTGGAGGATCACTTGAGGCCAGGAGTTTGAGACCAGCTTGGGCAACACAGCAAGACCCCATCTCTAAAAAAAAAAAAAAAAGTTTAAAAAATCAGTCATGCCTGGTGGCATGCACCTGTTGTTCCAGCTACTTGAGAGGCTGAGGCAGGAGGATCACTTGAGCCCAGGAGTTTGAGGCTGCAGTGAGCTATGATGGCACCACTGCACTGCAGCCTGGGTGAAAGAGAGAGACCCAGCCTCCAATAAATTAATTAATGTGAGCAGAAGCCAATTACCTGTAACAAATACCAATACCGAGTCCATGCTGCGAACTGCTGGCAAAAGCCATGCCATATTTGAGCCCTCTGCATTTGCTACCGTTTGAATGGACATTCTGGACTATATAGAGAGTGAATATTTCCCCTCATCTCAACCTTTCACACTGGTGAGCTCAGGGGGCTAGAAAGTGTGAGACTGACTAAGAAGATTTCAAATTCCCCTAGAAACCTTTCATTATCTAATACCTTTTAAAATTCCACTTTGGGTGCCGTGAGGAGAAGATTTCTCTTCCACATCTTTTCTACAAATTGCTGAAAGCTTTAAACCAGTTTTATCTACAGTATGTCACAGCAAATGTGGGTCTTTTTTCCTTCTAGTGCCTGATCTGTCAGGAATTGCCAGGCCAAAAAGAAAAAAGACAATCCCTGGTGAGATGAACAAAGTAACAAGGAAAAATGAAATCAGAAGAGATCAGCGGGATCTCATCAATTCAACGCTTACTCAAATTCTAGTAACCTTGAAAGATTCAAGTATAATAAATTCTCATATATAAGGATCTCAGTTTGGCCTTCAAATACTACAAAGAGGACAGGTTTAAACATAGGTATCCAAGATTTGTAACTGGTATTTAAGTTTTGGAATCTCAGTTACCAGGTAAACCTGGAAAGTTTACTCTTGCTAGTGTCACAAAATTAGGGTCACCTGTACTAAACAGTAAGCTCTAAGAAACTTTGTTATTTTTATTATTATTATTATTTTTGAGACAGAGTCTTGCTCTGTCACCCAGGCTGGAGTGCGGCGGCGCGATCTCGGCTCACTGCAACCTCCGACTCCCTGGTTCAAGCGATTCTCCTGCCTCAGCCTCCAGAGTAGCTGGGATTACAGGTGCACGCCACCACGCCCGGCTAATTTTTGTATTTTTAGTAGAGACAAGGTTTCACCATGTTGGCCAGGATGGTCTTGATCTCCTTACCTCGTGATCCACCTGCCTCAGCCTCCCAAAGTGCTGGGATTACAGGTGTGAGCCACTGTGCCCAGCCCACACAGCTCATGTTTGTATTTTTAGTAGAGACAGGGTTTTGCCATGTTGGCCAGGCTGGTCTTGAACTCCTGACCTCAAATGATCCGCCCACCTTGGCCTCCCAAAGTGCTGGGATTACAGGTATGAGCCACCGTGCCCAGCCTAGGAAACTTTTTCTCTTCTTTTTTTCTTATCGTCTCTCCTTGGTCCCCAAATTCCACTTTTTTTCCCTTACCCCCTTGGTCACCACTTTATATGTTTTATATGTAATACTGATACATGTACTGCAATAATAGATTACACTTATTAGCACTTATTCTATATTTTAAATGCTACACGTACATTAACTCATCAAATCTGGATAGCAATGCAATGAGATTATCACCATTTTGCAAATGGGAAAACTGAGGCACAAAAATTAAGTAACTCATCTAACATAAGAGGTAAATAGTGGAGCTGGGATTAGGACCTATGAAGTTTGGCTGAGGAATTCATATTCTTATCCCCTCTGATATACTGTCCCCAAAATATGTCTTGTTTTCAATGTCCGTGTATTTAAACATAAATGTTTCCTGCTATGAATCTCATTGTTTCTTTTTTGACTAAAGGGAGCATTGTTAAGGTTTATCCACACTGCTATGTATGTACATCTGAACTGTTGCTAAGTATGTCATATCATATACTTTGGCTTACGCATTCCCCTACGGATGGACACTGAAATGGGAGTGTTCCTTTATCCCCCGTCACAGGATGTGCGACAGGGTTGTGACTCTTCTTTGCTGCCCTGCTGCTCAAACTCCTAAGGAAGCATGCAGACAGGCAGGTGTAGGGGTCGTGGGGAGCATTTTTGGGCTCTGACCCCACAGCAGTGTCTAAGGGTGAGTGTTTACAGCTCCTGAAGCCTTGGTGGGCGTCTGTTACAGTGTGCTCTTTCAGCTTTGCCGTCTGCAGACAGCTTGTGTTAATGAGCTCAATTAGACCCTCTGCTTATCGCAAGGACAGAGGGCTTTCTGTATCCTGGGTTCTTGCCCTAGTGTACTGGAAAACTTGGATCACATGTGGGCTTGGAGAATGAGTGTAAGGTTTTATTGAGTGGTGGAGATAGCTCTCAGCAAGATCATTAATATCATTTTCAAAAGAACAACCGGCTGGGCGCAGTGGCTCACGCTGAGATCACGCCACTGCACTCCAGCCTGGCAACAGAGCGAGACTCTGTCTCAAAAAAAAACCAAACCAAAACAAAACAAAAAAAGGAACAACCCTTTATTTCATTCCAAAGTATAGATATATTTAACTTATTGAACACTTCATTAAAAATGCATGCCTGTTTCCCTCTGTATAAATGATAAGTCTGGGCTTTGCAAGAAATGTTGGGAATGAGATGGGCTTTGGGTAAGAGTCTTCCAATACTGACCAATGTAATGTTCTATCAGTCCATGAAGAAATCTGTAAGGAATAGATGGTTTCACTGACTTGGGCTGAGCTCACAATCAGCACCTTAAAAACACTGCCAGACTTTGAGTTAGTAGAGACCGTTTTTGAGGATTCAGGGGAAAATAAGAATGTTTTCTGGCTCACGTTTTATTTTTAACTTTTTAATTTTGGAGACATGGTCTCACTCTGTCCCCCAGGCTAGAGTGCAGTGGTGCCATCGTAGCTCACTGCAGCCTCTACCTCTTGTGTTCAAGTCATCCTCCTGCCTCCACCTTCCAAGTAGCTGAGAACACAGGCACATGTCACCCCACCCAGCTAAACTTTTTATTATTCTTTATAGAAACAGAGTCTTGTTATGTTGCCCAGGCTGGTCTCAAACTCCTGGGCTCAGGTGATCCTCCCGCCTCAGCCTCCCAAAGTACTAAGATGACAGGTGTGAGCCACCATGCCCAGCCTCACTTTTTAAAAAGTATCCCTTTAATTGTTTAGATACTAAGATACTACTTTTGGAAAAGCACAATCTTTAGTGTGAGTCCTAGAAAGAAGGTGCCAACCTTCTGTAAGGAAAACTAAAAGCTTCCTCTCACTTGCAGATGACATAATTTTATACTCATAAGCCAGGAGTGACTTTAATAGGTATCTCATTCATTCTACAAAGAAGGGCTTCAGAGCTGCTATTTGAAAAACAGTAACAACAAACAAACAAACAAACAAACAAACATTAAATGCACTTAAATGGTGTATAGCTAAATTCCTACATAGGGACTTACCTTATTCATTTAAAAGAGATCCATTTTTCAACTGATATGGTATATGCACAACCAAAAGATATATTGGTGAAAGTTCAAAGTTAGGCATATGGTAGTGACCACTTAAAATATTTCACAATTTAAAATTATTGCAGCTATGTTCTGGGGCATAAAAAGATGCCCCAGTATCACTCAATTGAGTGATTCCTAAATAATTTACAAAGATAACTTAGTATTTAAAAGCCTAGAGGATCTTTCTTGGTCTTCTTCCTGTAGAAAAGGACAGTAGCGGTGCTTCTTAGAGCTTTTCACTGTTGAAATATGGAGTTTTGCAAAACCATCAACACCACACTTCTGCCCTCCAAGTACTACCAGGGAGTATAATCTTGCATTCAATCTACACAATACTCAATAGAAAAATCAGCTGAGACAATTTCTATTTTGCAGGTTAACCTGAAGGATATACAGTCTGTCTATGCTCCTGTGCAAGACCAGATAACAAATAGTTCTGGTGCTCCTTGTAGTTTCTATCCCAACAATTCAACTCTACAGTCAACTCTGTCACCATAAAGCAAGCAGCCATGGACAATACAAATTAGTGTGGCTATGTTGCAGTATAACTTTACTTGCAAAATAAGTGGCAAGCTGGACATGGCCTGTGAACCTTGGTCTGTGGAATCCTGCCCTAGGTCAATGTTTGATATGGTTTGGATCTGTGTCCCCACCCAAGTCTCATGTTCAATTGTAATCCTCAGTGATGGAGGTGGGGTGGTGGGAGGTGGCTGGATCATGGGGGTGGATTTCTTATGAATGATTTAGCATCATCCTTCTGGTACTGTCCTCTTGATAGTGAGTTCTCATGACATCTGGTCATTTAAAAGTGTGTGGCACCTCCCTCCTCTCTCTCTGTCTCCTGCTCCTGGTCCTGCCATGTAAGATGCACCTGCTTCCTCTTTGCCTTCTGCCATTATTGTAAGTTTCCTGAGGCTTTTTCAGAAGCTCAGCAGATTCCAGCATCATGCTTCCCGTACAGCCTGCAGAATCAAGAGCCAATTAAACCTCTCTTCTTTATATATTACCCAGTCTCAGGTATTTACAGCAATACAAGAACAGACTAATACCATGGTTCTTAACGTTTTGGGGAGCAAGTGGTGGTCACTACCCCCATTGAAAGCCTAATGAAAATTATAGTTCTTCTCTTCCAGAAAATTTAAAGCTAGATTAATTTTACATGCAACTTTGTAAGTTGTAAATCCCCCCAAATGAAGAGGCTTTCTCTAGACACTCTAAAATTTATCATTGAATTCTGTCAGAACAACAGAAAGATATGTCCTTGTTCAGCTTCCCCAGTAGAAGCTGTTTCTGGAATATTCTTTGCCATGATGTCATTGGTTTTTATTGAGAACTGTTTAGGAAACATATCTTTGAAACCCATTCACTTGTTTATTCCAATAACGTAGTGGATAAACAGTTCAAAATGGAAACAACTTAAATATTAAACCTAAAACTATAAAATATACAGAAGAAAACAGAGAAAGCCTTTATCTAGGCAAAGATTTTTTAGATAAGATGCATAAAGCATGAATAATGAAGGAGAGAAATAGCAAACTGAACTTCACAATAACTGAAAACTTTTATTTTCAAAAATCACTGTTAAGATAATGAACACACGAGATATAATATGGCAGAAAATATCACAAAACAAATACCTGTTAAAGAAACCTGACTAGGTGTGATGACTCATGTCTGTAATCCTAGGGCTTTGGGAAACCAAGTCAGGATGGCTTTAACTCAGGAGTTCCAGACCAGCCTGGGAAACATAGCAAGACCTTGTCTCTACTAAAAATCAAACAAATTAACTGAGCTCAGTGGTGCATGCCTGTAGTCCCAGTTACTCAGGAGGCTGAGGTGGAAAAATCGCTTGAGCCCAAGTCAAGGCTGCAGTGACCCGTGATCGTGTCACTGCACTCCAGCCTGGGCGACAGAGTGAGACCCTGTTTCAAAAAAAAAAAAAAAAAGAAAGAAAAGAAAAGAAAAGAAAAAAGTCTGTGCCCAGAATAAAGAATATAAAGAACTTTCAAACTCAATAATAAGAAAGCAATCAATACAATTTAAAAAGGGGAAGATTTGAGCATACATATTACTAAAGAATTTACTAAAGTAAATGAAAAGAAAGCAAACAAAAACCACAATGAGATGCCACTGTAGACTTATTAAACAGGCTAAAATTTAAAAGCGAACAAAAGAAGCTAAGAATATCTATTGCTAGCAAAGATGTAAAGCAACTGGAACTCTCATATATTGCTGGTAGGAATTAAAAATGGTATCACCACTTTGGAAAACATTTTGGCATCTCTGTATAAAGTTAAACATACATTTCTCATTTTATTCAGTAATCCCACACCTAGGTATTTACTTGAGAGAAATGAAAATATATGCCCACACAAATGCCTGTACATGAATATTTATAGCGACTCTATTCATAGTTACTCCAAACTGGAAACAAGTCAAATGTCTACTAACTAGTGAAGGGATAAATGCACAGAGTGTAAGCTATGGTAGTACACTCCTGAACAAAAAAAAGAAACAGACTCGTAATACACACATCCACACTGATGAATCTTGAAAGCATTATACTGAATGAAAAAAAGCCAGGCCAAAAGGTTATATACTGTTTCATTCTATTTCTGTGGCATTTTGAAAAATGCAAAACTACAAGAAGTGAGATCAGACCAGCAGTTCCTAGGGGCTGGGACTAGGGCTACTGACTCCAAAGGTACATGAGGCCTTCTTTGGAGTGACAGAAATACTCTCTTTTATTTTCGAGATGAAGTCTTGCTCTGTCTCCCAGGCTGGAGTGCAATGGTGCAATGTTGGCTAACTGCACCCTCCGCCTGCCGGGTTCCAGCAATTCTCGTGCCTCAGTTTCCCAAGAGGCTGGGATTACAGGTTTCACCATGCTGGCCAGGCTGGTATTGAACTCCTGACCTCAAGTGATCTGCCCATCTCCGCCTCCCAAAGTGCTGGGATTACAGGTGTGAGCCACCGTGCCGGGACCCGGGGTGATGGAAATATTCTCTATCTTTAATGTAGTGCTAGTTAGATGAGTGCATAAGTTTTATCAAAATACATAGAAGTGGCTGGCTGTGGTGGCTCACACCTGTAATCCCAGCACTTTGGGAGGCTGAGGTGAGAGGATTGCTTGAGTCCAGGAGTTCAAGACCAGCCTAGGCAACACAGCAAGACCACACCTCTACAATTTTTTTTTTTTTTAATTAGCCAGTTATAGTGGCACTCACCTGTAGTCCCAGCTACTTGGGAGGCTAAGGCAGGGGGATTGCTTGAGCCCAGGAGGTTGAGGCTGCAGTGAACTATGATTGTACCACTACATTCCAGTCTCGGTGACAGAGTGAGCCTCTATCTCAAAAGAAAAAAAAAATCATAGAACTGCACACCTAAAGGATGAATTTTGGAAATTATATCTCCAAATACTTCATTCAGTCTCCCCTTCATGTGGAGTCAAAGAAGAAACGTTTCAGCACCAGAAATGGTTATACAGCACTTCTCTTGAGTACTGGAGTTGTTTTTATCTTTTGCAGCCTGTGAACCCTGTAACTAATTAGTGTTACCCTTTGCCCAGGCTCTTAGCAAGCAGGGCACTGGGTGTCTGACATGCATTCTCGGTATTAACCTTCTCCTCAGCATCATCTTACTTTCCTACTTTCATTTGCCTTTTGTCCTGATTTCTTTCTAACAAACCGTTTTATCTTAATGTGGTCTAGATACTTGTCAGAGACTAAGTATTTTTTTAATCAAGGTACAGTGTACATAACCGAATACATACATACATAAATAAATCATGACAGTGTCTCCTCCTGACACATATTAATAAACATTCAAGCCATAAAAACATAATTCATTAAGGCTTACTATCATGCAGAATCTACCATGCTTTATTCAATTTGGGATGTTTCTTTGTATGAGGAATAAGGATCTGAACATAGCATTATCAGAAAAAGGTAAACAGGATGGTACTTAGGGAACAGGGAAGTTTATCCCGGAGAAGAGAAAGAGAGACAGTGAAAACACAAAAGCTTTCTTTAAATATTTTATGAGTTGTCAGGTAGAAGGGAAGTAAATTAATTCTGACTTGTCCCATTGAATTAGGTGTGGGGCCAATGGGTACAGGCTACTGTAGGACCATTTTTTTTTTTTTTTGAGACAGGGTCTCACTCTGTCACCCAGGCTGGAGTGCAGTGGTATGATCTTGGCTCACTGCAACCTCTGCCTCCTGGGCTCAAGTGATCCTCCCACCTCAGCCTTCCAAGTAGCTGAGACAACAGGCTCATGCCACCACTCCCAGCTAATTTTTTGATTTTTGGTAGAGAGAGGGTCTCACCATGTTGCCTAGACTGGTCTCAAACTCTTGGACTCAACTGATCCTGAACTCTTGGACTCAACTGATCCTCCTGCCTTGGCCTCCGAAAGTGCTAGGATTACAGGCATGAGCCACCACGCCCGGCCCAGCAACCCATTCCTAATGGGGCACAGAACAGATACAATGTACTGTCCGAGAAAAGACAGAGTTTCTAGGCAGTGGTTATCACTATATATACAGGTTGGATAGTCATTTGAGAAGGATCTCCTATAAAGATTCATTTAGATAAATGATTGCTTCCTTCCAATCCCAAGACTTAACAGTTACTTAATCCTGCGAGAAAACAGTACCCTTCTGATATGAAACTAACTTATTCTGACTAAGCAAACACCCTCATTTTCTTACTTATCAACTTACGTTATTATATTAAGTTATATCACAATCCCAGCATATTTGACCAAGTAGCAATGAAAAGGCTATACCAAGAAGACATTCTTATACTCATTTTAGGCTTTGGCCGTTAAGAAATCCAATGCAAAATGGCAACTAGGCTTTTTGGGACTTGTATCTGCAAAATATACCTTTTTTTTTTTTTTGCAGCCAGCTACCCTTTTATGCCCTCCAGAAATAGGCAGGCAATACAACATTCTCTGAATGGAAGTTAAAGTGATTTCCCACTTCGTCCCCGCGCTTTAACACTTAGGCAATAAAGCTCGTGACATTTTCAATAAGGAGCAGAGAAGGGAAGTGCTCCTTATTCACAAAAGGGCTCAAGTCATCACCATCCCAGCGTTTTCCTATTTGACAAGGCCCAGTTACTGCCAAATGGCAAGACCTACAATTTAAAAACCACTTTGATCAGCACCAGGGATCTGAGGCTGATAGGTTCAGCAAAATTGAGAGCCAATTTCAGGCTGGCTTGAACACCTAGATTCCAAGCCTGTGCAGGTTCACTCGGCATTCCCAGCGGAGGCAAGAAAGATCCTGAAGGCATCTTAGGTGTGATTATGACACTAGGAACCAGTAAAGGAAAGAGCAAAAGCAATACTGCAATATGACTGAGAATTACAGGCACACAGCCACAAAAGAGGACTGGTAAATAGGGAGTAATGAGTGTGTCTGCTGGAAGGCACGCTATAAAAAGAGGCCAAAGAAAGGAGATGAGGCCAGGCGTGGTGGCTCATGCCTGTAATCCCAGCGCTTTGGGAGGCCAAGGCGGGCAAATCACCTGACGTCAGGAGTTCAAGACCAGCCTGGCCAACATGGTGAAACCCCGTCTCTACTAAAAATACAAAAAATTAGCTGGGCATGGTGGCAGATGCCTGTAATCCCAGCTACTTGGGAGGCTGAGGCAGGAGAATCGCTTGAACCTGGGAGGCAGAGGTTGAAGTGAGCTGAGATCGTGCCACTGCACTCCAGCCTGGGCAACAAGAGCGAAACTCTGCCTCAAAAACAAACAAACAAACAAACAAAAAACCCCGAATATTTACTGAGACCCTTGTATGTGCAAAGTATGAAACTAAGTATTCTATATGCATTATCTCATTTGATTGTCACATCTGCAAGAAGCAAGGTCATATTATTATTCTCATTACACAGGTGAAGAAATACAGGGCCGTGTATGATGGCTCACACCTGTAATCTCACCGTTTTGAGAGGCCAACGCAGGGGGATCACTTGAGCCTGGGACTTTGAGAACAGCCCGGGCAACATGGTAAAACCCCGTCTCTACAAAAAAGTAAAAAATTAGCCAAGTATGGTAGCATACACCTCTGGTCCCAGCTACTCAGGAGGCTGAGATGGGAGGATCACCAGAGCCTGGGAGGCTGAGGCTGCATTGAGCTGTGATTGCTCATAGCTCCATTCACAGTCACTCCAAACTGGAACCACTGCACTCCAGCCTGAGCAACAGAGTGGGACCCTGTCTCAAAAAAAAAAAAAAAAAAAAAAAAAAGAAAGAAAGAAAGAAAGAAAGAAAGAAAGAAAGAAAGAGAAAGAAAGAAAAAAAGAAAGAAAAGAAAGAAAGAAAGAAAGACACACTCAGAGTTGACGCTATTTGCTCAAGCTCAACCCAACTAAAAAGAGGTGAATACGGACGTAGTACCCACGAATAGACAAGTAAATGAATACACAATACCCTCCAGACATCTGGACCCTGATATGTTTAAATTTGCATCTCTCTCTGAAACCTTCAGCCTTCTAGGGGTCCACAGGCCCAAAGCTTAATGATGACATTCAATTCGTTCTGAACACCCCACAGGATTTTTCAATAGTGGGCGTTTGCATTTTGTTGCACGCTCAGGGAGAAGAAACTTCGTGTATATCTGACTCGAAAATTGTGTGGGCCAAAAGACTTCTGGTTATAGAATGGCGGCCTTTGTGAGAAATGATCCTTTGGAGGTCTGATCCATTTTTTGTTTTAGTTTATATCTGAAAGGAGAATATTTTTACCTTCTCTTTTATGTTCATCTGCTAAGAGAGCGTGCAATACTTCCACACAGGCAGAAAGAACAGACCTAAAGTGGGATAATTTGGCCAAAGGTGTATCCTCTTTTCCTTTGGTATTTTGTCGCAAGTGATAAATGATGTCAGACAAAGCTGTCAGATGAGATTTAGATGGTGTGCAGAGAGACAGCAATCAATTTCCAACTTAGGAAATTTAATGGATTTTAATGAGCCACTCTCTGTTGATTACCATGCAGCTTTCAGCTTCGTGCGTGCTTCATTCACACGTGTGCTTGGCAGTGATTGATGGGCCGTTAAGCTCCCCTCATTTGATTCCTGTATAGCAATCAAGGCTGTCTCAGCTGTAACCAGGAGAGGCTGATGTTGAGACCTGCAAGGCGTGTGGGCAGAGTGTGATCTCTTGCGATCTTTTGTTTGTTCCCCATATTTTGCAGCTTGGAACAGTCACCTGATGTTCACTCATGAAAAGAGGGACAGTTCTATAAACATTGAGCCCCAGGAATTGCCAGCCAGGTGAGAGAATTGTCCTCCAAAGCCCTCACACCATCCCCTCACTGGAGGGTGGGTTCTTTGAGGGCAAACGCTGATCTATTCCAGTTGATGGTCTCATTAACAGCAACATAAGTAGGTGCTCTCTATTTTTGAAAAAATAATCCTGCACTACTTAACAGGCACATTCCCTGAAAATTGAATTCTGTTTTGGGTTTTTTTTTTCCCTTTTTTTAAGACACAGTTCTCACTCTGTTGCCCTGGCTGGAGTGCAGTGGCACAATCTCGGCTCACTGCAACCTCTGCCTCCCGGGTTCAAGCGATTCTCCTGCCTCAGCCTCCCAAGTAGCTGGGATTACATGTGCGCACCATCACGCCGAGCTAATTTTTGTATTTTTAGTAGAGACGGGGTTTTGCCATGTTGGCCAGGCTGGTCTCAAACTCCTGACCTCAGGTGTTCCATCCGTCTCGGCCTCCCAAAGTACTGGGATTAGAGGCGTGAGCCACCTTGCCCAGCCTGAATTCTGGTTTGAGTATTCCTTGCTTCTGATGTTTGCACCATAGAAATAATGGGTAAGCCAGAAGATACGTATCTGTGAGCCAATATATGGTTATCTCACCGCGTGGCAAGAGCAGAAATGTGTCTTCTCCTTGCTTAAGATGAGGCTTTTAAAACCAGAGACGTGTTTATGAACTGTAAACCCTCATTAAGAATTTTAGATTTGGCACATTTAAGATGCATGATAATTTGATGAGGGGAGGGCCTAAGTCTTCATCTCCATTATCACTGAAAATGAGCTCCCTTGCCAAACAAAGGGTAAATAAAATGACGCAGCTACGTTTAAGTGACTTAAGTAAAAAGAAAACTTCCAGAGACTTTGGCGTTTTAATTGAGGGTATAAAAGGATGCTCTAATTATCAATGTGTCTCAGAGATTCCATTTAAAAATACTTTTTAAAAGTAGCAGTTAGTTTCAATTACCTTCGATATACAAAAATGTGGGGATGTGCTGTAATAAAGCCCCATTTCTTCAAAATGTCTAAATAATGAGGTATCTCTAAGTAGTCCAGGCTGGCCTTCCCTGCATAGTCTGAATTGATGTAATTCAACCAAATATATGGTAAACAAAATGATGATCTTTATTAACTTGGATCATCCTTGCAATAAAGACACAGCTTGGCTGGGCATGGTGGTTCACGCCTGTAATCCCAGCACTTTGGGAGGCCGAGGCAGGTGGATCACCTGAGGTCAGGAGTTCGAGACCAGCCTGGCCAACATGGCAAAACCCTGTGTTTACTAAAACTACAAAACTTAGCCAGGCATGGTGGTACGTGCCTGTGATCCCAGCTACTCAGGAGATTGAGGCAGGAGAATTGCTTGAACTCGGGAGGGGGAAGTTGCAGGGAGCTGACATCATGCCACTGCACTCCAGCTTGGGTGACAGAGCAAGACTCCATCTCAAAAAAAAAAAAAAAAAAAAAAAAAGGAAAAAGAAAAAGAAAAAAAAACCCCACACAGCTTATATTGCTATCTAGTCCTTTTTAGAAAAGAATACACAGGCTAGGTGCCTGTTCCACCACCCCTTGAGGTGTTTTCTTCTGCTACGATGCTTACTGACCATTCTGTCCTTGAAGATTCTGGGCAGAAAGCAGTAGACTATAGTGACAATCTGTGATCTGGATGAATTGACAAGCATTAAGTGGGCAGGTATTGGCAAGTTCTGGGGAACAAACCATCCGCAGAGATGTCTGTGACTTGGAAAGTGCAGCCACAGACGTTCTTTTCCCCTGGCCCTGCTGTCAGTTGGAACAAACTTTCTGGCACTCTGGGAAGGAAGACGGTCACCACCTGGCCTACGGCTCTGTAGCTCCGAGGTTGGACTGGTGCAATTCCGCTCGGATTAGCAATTAGGTTGGAAGCCAGCACAGGCTCCATTTGGGCAATAGTTCTGGGAGATGAGATGAAGGCCCCTGAGATGTTTTGCTCTCTGTTCTCATTAACCTTCTGTCTGGGGAAAGAAGGTCCTGTCCTTAAGCCAGGAAGCCACAGCAGGGCGGCACATCAGTCACCAAATCCCACCCAACCAGCTGGGGCTTTCACCAAATCCAATTAGTCACTGGCTGTGTTTCTTCTCATCAGCAAGAAGGGTGCTGTGCAGGGACAGATACTCTTCTCTGGGCAAACCCATCCCAGCAAACAAGCCCAGAGACAGGTCCTGCAACAGAGGCACATTTAGGGAGGGATGTGAGCCCCGTGCTAGCCTCTTGTTCCACCAATTTGACATTCATTCCTCTGGTGGGTGGCATCTGTGTCCTCAGTCATAAAAAACAATAAAGTTTAAATCCAATGGCAGAATCAATATTTGTAGTCTCTATCCCATCCACCACCTCCCTTGTTAATTTTCCTGGCACAATCCATATCCAATATCTTCCATGTGCTTCATGGAACATACCTGTGCTCTTTCATTTTTATTTTTATATTTTTTAAAGAAGGGGGTCTTGTTCTGTTGCCCGGGCTAGAGTGCAGCAGTGCAATCATAGCTCACTGCAGCCTCCAACTCCTGGGCTCAGGAAATCCTCCTGCCTCAGCCTCCACAGTAGCTGGGACTACAGACATGCACCACCACAACCAGCTAATTTTTTATTTTTATTTTTCTAGAGATAGGATCTTGCTTTGTGACCCAGGCTGGTCTTGATTTCTGGCCTCAAGTGATCCTCTTACCTCAGCTTCCAAAAGCGCTGGGATGATAGGTGTGAGCCACCACACCCGGCCTCTTTTTTATTTAGTTTTTTAATGAGATCACACCAATAATTATTTTTAACCATGAAGACCCATGCCCCTTAATCCTCCCTCCATGCACTAACTTTCACTCTCTTGCTCTTCCATCCTCTTTTCATGATACCAGTTTCAGTACAAAACACATTAGGTTAGGTTGGTGCCAAAGTAATGGCAGCTTTTGCCATTACTTTTGATGGCAAAAACTGCAATTACTTTGGCACCAACCTAATAGTATTACCAGCTATATTAAGGCTTTTAAAATTTGAGATCTCGAGTACACTCTAATTATGCCAGACTCCGGTCTCCACAAGAGACAATTTCCAACCATTCACACCAGACTGAGAGGATTCTCAAGACAAACATTTATTTCTGGTCACTGGTCTTGGGTCCACCATTGACTTTATTTGAACAATGATTTCGGTCAAGAACCAAAGAACTTCAGAGGATACACTGATGTAAAACACATGGGGGTAGATCCCAAGGCTGGCCATCTGGTCATGGCAATGACTGAAAGGTGATGAATCACGTAACATCCCCAAGCAGGGTGGACTGAGAACCAGAGAGAAAGGCAAATATGATAGCTGGACGTGACCTTCCAGGGACCCTTCCTTTGTGGAGCTAGGTCATGGGGATGGTCTTGGGCCACACATTCCCAGCACTGAGCCTGGCTCCTTCTCCCAGAGATTCTCCCTCCCCAAATGCAGAAATGGGAGCAGCCTGTGTCCTGGAGCATAGATGGCCTCTACAGACTCTTGCACGGAACCCTAGCCTAGGTTCTGTCCAGAGACAGGAGCGCTGGGCGCAGGGATGGCTGAGATGTTCCCAGAGATGGGAAATGAACGAGGTCCTCCCTTTGATCCTTATCCTATTGAAAATGGATAGGCTGCTTGAAAGGCTGCGTGCAGTGACTCACGCTGAAACTGTGCCCCCAAAGAGTTAAAAGAAACCAAAAGTGAATGGAAATTCTTGAGTCTGCAGGATGGCAGATAGAAAAAGAAACAACTGGCTGAAACTCCCTCTGCTTATGAGATAAAAGAACTGACTGAAATCGATTGGAACCAAGATGGCTGGCTGGAGTTTGCACAGAAGGAGCCTGCTGATGTCACAACCTGAATTTCCCCTGCCTGTTTCAGACTAACTCCCCCTGCAATTTGCACGTGCAACCCGTGAGCTAACATGAAGAGATAACTGCGCATGCCCAAGGACTTTCCAGAGCACTTTCTTTCCACCAATCACCTAATCTCAAAATCCACCCGAACCTTTTCTAATAAAAATACTGCCTTGAAGCCAACCACAAACAGACGAATTTGATCTTGACACTTCTGTCTGCTTATGAGTTGACTTTCCATATAAAGCTTTTCTTTTCTAAAAAACCTGATGTCATAGAACTGATTTTGGTCAAAAACCAAAATCAATTCTAGTGCATTGGGCACCCTTTTGCTTGATAACAATGTCTCTAATCTCAGTGCTTTGGGAGGCCAAGGGAAGAGTCTGAAACCAGCCTCGGCAACATAGCGAGACCCTATCTCTACCAAGAAAAAGAAAAAAATCAGCTGGCACAGCGGCATGCACCTGTATAGTCCCAGGAACTTGGGAGGCTGAGGTGGGAGGATCACTTAAGCCAAGGAGTTCAAGGCTGCAGTGAGCTTTGATGGCACCACTGCACTCCAGTCTGGGCAACACAGCAAGACCCTGTTTCAAAATTTTTAAATAAATAAATAAAAATGAAAACGTGAGTTTGATGAGAATTTAGACCAGACAGTGTTGCACCTGCTTCCTCTCATCAGATTTTACAATCAGAGGGGCTAGTGCCTGGCACTCAGCCACACAGGTCTGTCTCATGGGCTATGGACACCTGCTGGGAGTTTACCTGAGACACATGTCTCCACAGTGCTTACAAAAAGCAATGCAAAGAGCCAGGTGTGGTGGCTCACACCTGTAATCCCAGCACTTTGAGAGACTGAGGCCAGTGGATCACCTGAGGTCAGGAGTTCAAGACCAGCCTGGCCAACATGGTGAAACCCCATCTCTACTAAAAATATAAAAATTAACCGTGCATGGTGGCGGGCGACTGTAATCCCAGCTAGTTGGGAGGTTGAGGAAGGAGAATCGCTTGAACCTGGGAAGCAGACGTTGCAGTGAGCTGAGATTGTGCCACTGCACTCCAGCCTGGGAGACAGAGTGAGACTCTGTCTTTAAAAAAAAAAAAAAAAAAAGCAATGCAAAGAAAACCAAAATCATCCCTCTTCATGCCCACCAGCTCCTGAAGCAAAAGCAGACTAACACACATCTTAGCAGCTGCCAAAGATATGTGTCCAAGCAAAGTGTAGGCTCAAGATCTGCATTCCTTTCTTACGTCTGGGAGCTTCCCCACCATAAGAGTCTTGGTGGGAATTTGAGCCACTTCTGAGAATAAACCCTCAAACAAGTCAGCTTCTATGCCTAAGGATCGTCCAACCAGATGCAGGCAATCACGATGCTGAATCTTGAGTCAGTATTGCAAAAACTCAGGGACTCTAGAGAATTCTTTTTTTTTTTTTTTTTTTTTTTTTTTGAGGGGGAGTCTTGCTCTGTCACCCAGGCTGGAGGGCAATGGCGCTATCTCGGCTCACTGCAAGCTCCGCCTCCTGGGTTCACGCCATTCTCCTGCCTCAGCCTCCCAAGTAGCTGGGACTACAGGCACCCCCCCACCACGCCCAGCTAATTTTTTTTGTATTTTTAGTAGAGACGGGGTTTCACCGTGTTAGCCAGGATGGTCTTGATCTCCTGACCTCGTGATCCGCCCACCTCAGCCTCCCAAAGTGCTGGGATTACAGGCATGAATTCTTTACGGTGCTGGCCGAAGAACAGTAGCAGCCTTAGCACTGAGGGCAGGGGCAGCGCCAGCTGTGGCTCCAGGTGTTGTCACGAGACCTATTGTTGACAGGCTTTTGCCTGGTCCTATTACTTCCCATTGTGCATATAGAGAGAGACCAAACTTCCCTGAATTGACTGCAGTTTATCCCAGAGTCATAGGCAACACTAGAGATCCATCCTCCATCTCTGGTGACTATTATGCTTTCACTATATCCTATCACTGTAGTACATTTATGCACATAATGAAACTGCGGAAAAGACTTATTGAGCAACTATTTGTTGGAAGACAATTCTCTGTGGATCTCTTACATTTCTGTATGTCTTATAAGCACAGGCACCAAATGCTTTTGTTCAGTACTGTCTTTTCAAGGATGTTTGCAGAGAGAACAGCCTTTGAAGCCACAGTGTCTCCCTCCAGAGAAAGTGCAAATTTAATTACTGCCCAGTATGGTAGAGATGATGTCTCCCTCCAGGACTGAGGTCAGGCAAGCCTACTGCCCCTTAGCTAAGGGGTCCTCCCCTATAATTTTATGCAGATGACACTGTGTCCTCTGAGCATCACTCTATGGTAGTGGTCCCCAACTTGGCACCAGGGACTGGTTTCATGGAAGACAATTTTTCCTAGGACTGGGGAGAGGGGATGGTTTTGGGGATGATTCAAGCACATTATATTTATTGTGCACTTTACTTCTATTATTATTAGATTGTAATATATAATGAAACAATTATACATCTCATCATAATGTAAAATCAGTGGGAGCCCTGGGCTTGTTTCCCTGTAACTAGACAGTCTCATCTGGGGGTGATGGGAGACAGTGACAGATCATCAGGCATTAGATTCTCATAAGGAGCGTGCAACCTAGATCCCTCACATGCGCAGTTCACAATAGGGTTTATGCTTCTATGAGACTCTAACGCTGCCGCTGATCTGGCAGGAGGCAGAGCTCAGGCAGGAATGAGAGGGACAGGGAGAGGCTGTAAATACAGATGAATCTTCACTGACTCACCCACCTCTCACCTCTTGCTGTGCAGCCTGCTTCCTAACAGGTCATGGACCATTACTGCTCCACGGCCGGGGGGTTGGGGACCCCTGCTCTATGGGAACTGGGGCTCAGGGGACCAACTAAAAATAATGATACTCTGCCTACTGCTATGGCTTGAGGAATAAAGTTCTTTGTATAATTTAGGTGTCTCATGTCTTCTGCTAGCATCCAGAAAACCATGGCAGGTCACTGGTTAGCATGCAAGTAGTATAAAATCTCAGACACATCAGGATTCTTTTTTTTTTTTTTTTTTTTTTTTTTGAGACAGAGTCTCACTCTGTTGCCCAAGCTGGAGTGCAGTGGTACAATCTCTGCTCACTGCAACATTTACCTCTCAGGTTCAAGGGATTCTTCTGCCTCAGCCTCCCATATAGCTGGGATTACAGGTGTGTGCCACCACATCCAGTTAGTTTTTGTATTTTTAGAAGAGACAGGTTTTTACCATGTTGGCCAGGCTGGTCTCAAACTCTTGACCTCAGGTGATTCTCTTGTCTCAGACTCCCAAAGTGCAGGATTACGGGCGTGAGCCACCATGCCTGGCCTCTTCTTTTTCTTTTTTTTTTTTTTTTTGAGACAGAGTCTCACTCTCTTGCCCAGGCTGGAGCACAGTGGTACTATTTCTGCTCACTGCAACCTTCACCTCCCAGGTTCAAGTGATTCTTCTGCCTCAGCCTCCTGTGTAGCTGGGATTACAGGTGTGCACCACCACGTCCAGTTAATTTTTGTATTTTTAGTAGAGACAGGGTTTTACCATGTTGGCCAGGCTGGTCTCAAACTCCTGATCTCAGGTGATTCTCCTGTCTCTCGGACTCCCACAAGTGCTGGGATTACAGGTGTGAGCCACCACGCCCAGCCAACACATCAGAATTCTTGACACCACTTTACAATGGCATAGTGTTCCTCATAGGGATATAGAAATGAAATACTTTAAATGGTTCTTATCCTCAAGTAACTCAGGATCTAGCAGCAGTACACCAGTCCAGTGGGCGATAGAAGGGCCTGCTCTGAGCACCACTTCCACGCCCTCTGCAACATAAATAAGGGAAAGACACTGTCCATTTAAAGAACAAAGTAATCATTTCTATAGGCCAAAAACGGAACCCAAATGTAATGCAGAAAATTGCCCTGAAACTGAAGGCCTGCTGACTTCGGGTACAGAAACAGAGAGAGGTAGCGGGGTGCTCCTCCCCTCCTGTGGAAAGATGTCTAAAATTGCCCCCTACAAAATGAGACACCTGGGCTCAGCTCATTCCTTGAAAGCAGGTGCTGAGAGCAGGCTCCTCGACTCAGGAAAAGAGGCCACAGGGTTCTTTCCAACCCTGGGGCTGACATGGAGCTGATCTTAAGAAGGCCACAGGAAGCAGAAAAACCACACACCAGGACACCGCCACACTGCCCGTGGCTCCCTGGCTAAGACTACAGGAGTCTACAGTGGGAATGTGGACACCGGGAATCATTCACCGCAGTGCTATGATATATATTAGTTTTTATCCATGGTTCCTGGTCCATAACTCCCTTAGCCCTCGTTATAGTCTTTTGTTATAATATTTAGTGTGTTAGATCTTAGGAACAAGTCTCAGGAGACAGAATCTCTCTGATTTTCCCCTGCCCCCCTTTCATCTGCCCAAAGGCAGGACTCTAATCTTCCCCTGCCTTTCTGATTGTGGGTCTTAAGACCCTTTCCAGAGAGGGTCCTCCCCTATACCCTGGGGGACAAAATGCTGACATCGTGAGGCATCCATAAAAACCCAAGAGGGGCTGGGGGTGGTGGTTCATGCCTGCAATCCCAGCACTTTGGGAGGCTGAGGCGGAAGGATCACCTGAGGTCAAGAGTTTGAGACCAGCATGGTGAAACTCTGCCTCTACTAAAAATACAAAAATTAGCCAGGCACACCTGTAGTCCCAACTACTCAGGAGGATGAGGCACAATAATCGCTTGAACCTGGGAGGCGGAGGAGGTTACAGTGAGCAGACATCACACCACTGCACTACAGCTTGAGCGACAGAGCGAGACCCTGTCTGAAATGAAAAAACAAAACCAAAAAAAAAAACAAGAGGACAGGGTTCAGTTTGGGGAGCTTCTGGATAGCTGAACACGTGGAAGTTCCTGGAGGGTGGAACTACCTACCTCTCTCTAGGTAGATAGTGTCAGAATGGAATTGAAGGACTCCCGGCTTGTGTCTGCTGCTTGGTGTGGGAGGAAAACCCCTGCGCATCTGGTCACAGAAGTCTTCCTCTGTGTTGACAGTTGTGGTGGTGGTGGTACGAGAGTCGAGGAAAAACACAGCTGAAGAGTTTTTCTGAAACACTCACTCTTTTCCTGCAATGGGAAACACTGCAGGCTCCCAGCTCATCCCAGCCAGGCACGCTGCCTGGCTTCCCTCGCCTTGCCTTTGGTGTTTTCTCACTTTTTAGTTGACTTCTAGCTTTCTCTCTTAGGTGATCTATTCAGTATGTGATTATCGACTGGCTGTTTTGGTTCTTCTTTGTGAAGGAGGTGAGTACCAGATGCCTCTGGTCAGCCAATGTGAAGCCCCTCTGTCTCCCTGCCTCTGTGATATTATCAGGGTCACCCAAAAAATCAAGAAAAAATGAAGGTGGCGGTGGCCACAGAGATGCTGAATAATTAATTTTGAACTTCATTAAAACATTTTAAAAGATATTAAAATGCAAGGGTCGGCCGGGCACAGTGGCTTACGCCTGTAATCCCAGCAATTTGGGAGGCGGAGGCAGGTGGATCACCTGAGGTCAGGAGTTCAAGACCACCCTGGCCAACATGGCAAAACCCTGTCTCTACTAAAAATATAAAATTAGCTGGGCATGGCAGTAGGTGCCTGTAATCCCAGCTACTCTGGAGGCTGAGGCAGGAGAATCACTTGAACCGGGGAGGCAGAGGTTGCAGTGAGTCAAGATCACGCCATTGCACTCCAGCCTGGGCCATAGGAGTGAAACTCTGTCGCAAAACAAAACAGAATAAAAAATAAATGCAAGGGTAACCTCTAAATTAACAGAAATACAATTTATAGCTTCCAAACCAAGGAAGTGAAATAGGAGTTAAGAAGAAATGATTTGGGCAGATAGTGAGGGTAAGGAAGTCCTCAGTAAAGTCTTCCTTTCAGTGGAAAGCAGCCCCCAAATCATTTCCTTTTCTAACAAACAGCAGCCTGTAAAACTGAGCTGCAGACATAGAAAGGCAGGCCAGAAGCTTGCATGGGTGAATGCCGGCAGTTGTACCAGTAGGAAAGGGGCTACCTGGGACTAGGCATGTCCAACATGGCGGCTCCATCTTCCCTTCTCTTTGCCAACCACGTGTGCAGTAAGGAGCAGACAACCTGGTGCAGGCCAAGTGAAAGCCCATTTGCATAATAAGATTAGGGTGGGGCAGCCAGCTTCCCCTCACACTATATAAACATCACACCTGGTCCAACCAATCTGTGGGCCCTATGTAAATCATGCACTGCCTCCTCAAGCCTGTCTATAAAATCCAGTGCAGTCTGCTGCCAGCTGGGAGTCCCACTCAGGCACCCTTCTCTCTCGAGAAGAGCAAGCTATTCTCCTTTCTCTTTCTTTTGCCTATTAAACCTTCACTCTTAAACTCACTTCTTGTGTGTGTCTGTGTCCTTGATTTCCTCGGCATGAGGCATGAACCTCAGGTATTTACCTCGGACAATGATGCCAATTCAGAAGGAAACAAAATGAGAAGAGGGTTAATCTACTCAACAGGTAAAGAATGCAACCTAACCAATGATATAGAAAACACAAAATAAGGATAGTACAAATGAGTCCAACAGTGTCTCTATTCACACATACACACACCCACATATGTGCACACACATACACACAGAGGAAGTGGATTAAACTGATCTCTTTAAAGGCAAAGACTATCTGATTGGATGCTTTTTTTTTCTTTTTTTGAGACGGAATTTTGCGAGTGTTGCCGAGGTGGGAGTGCAATGCTGTGATCTTGGCTCACTGCAGCCTCTGCCTCCTGGTTCCAAGCAATTCTCCTGCCTCAGCCTCCTGAGTAGCTGGGATTACAGGTGCCCGCTACCATGCCTGGCTAATTTTTGTATTTTTAGTAGAAACGGGGTTTCGCCATGTTGGCCAGGCTGGTCTCGCACTCCTGACCTCAGGTGATCCACCCACCTCGGCCTCCCAAAGTGCTGGGATTACAGGCATGAGCCACCACACCCAGCTGATTGGATGCTTTTAAATCCAGCTATATGCTACTTACAAAGACAAACCCAAGTAAAAACACACAGAAATGCTGAAAATAAATATAATCAAACTATATTAAAGAGACATTAATAAATTATGATCGAAAAAAACAGAGGAGATGATAACCGCGCCAAAAGATAATAGTTTGTAAAGACTAATAATATAGATGGACCTCTAGCTAATCTAAAAAATATATATAAACTCTTAAGAGTAAATAATTAATCAAAAGAATACTCTCTTACAAAGGAGGAAAGAAAAGATGATGGCTTTCTAGCTAGCGAGGTTAATTCAGGTGAAACAGCACAGATGAGCCAAAAAAACACTCTTTCTCTTTGCATAGTGGAGGGTGGAAGAGAGAGAGTGAGGGGGGAACAGGCAGAAGTGTGAAATGATTGGGAGCCTTTGACCATTTAAATGAGAAGGCCAAGAAAGTAGTAGGAAGCCAGCCAAGTAGAATTAAATGCTTGATCAAAGTCGCAAGGTGTGTAAGCCACTCCTGGTTGCTTTAGAATCAGAATCTACTCATCTCATGAAATAAACGGTAATTTGAAGAGAGATGTAGTGTATCATCCTTCAAAGTCACAATAACCAAAATAGCAAGAATGATGTTATCCAGGTGAAGAATTTGAGTCATGTATAGAAGAGTTAACTTGCCCCCACGCACTGGAGAGAACATTTGGACCATGCTGACTGGTTCCAGCCTCCAGTGACTCATGAACATGTGGAGGTGCTTATTCTCTCCCTCTTCAATCCTGCCCCACCATGTGAACATCACTGGAGGGGTACAGGAGACCCATGGCAGGGGCTGGTACCCTTCTGGAGAGATATGGGAGACCCATGGCAGGAGTTGGGTCTTGCCACCCAAGGCCATCCCAGACCAGCTGCAGAGTAAATGCACCTGACAGCAATAACTTTAGCATACACTTAGAGTAACCCTGTATGGCAAACACACCTGAATGACTCTGGCTAAGCTTATGTAGGAAATGAACCATGGAGTTGCAGATTCACGCAATTAAGTATCCACACATGGTTGGCTGTTATCCTCATTCATTACTGCCCAGATTCTTCTACTTGGCAAAGATGGAAGTTCTTTCTCTCTCCTGGGGACGTAGCAAGTTGGCTTGAGTTTGGAGCCGTCCAGGCAGACTGTAGCTTGAGTTATTATTTCTCTGCTTGCTACTGCCCAGGAGCACTGAGTTACTCCATGTAAGAGTACAACAATGAATCAAAACAAAGAAGAAAAAGACACACCACCAAATTGAAAAACCTGGCAAAGACGATGAACAGGCAAGCTACAAAAGAGAGAACCCAACTGGCCAATAAAGACGGGGAAATGTTCAGCCTCTCTGAAGTGAAAAGCAGAGCAAATCAAAACGACTATGAAATATCATTTCACACTCTGCGTATTGGCAAAGATTAAGTTACCAAGGATGCAGGTAAGTGGGAGCTTTCATAAGGTATTGATGAGATTGTGCATTGAAACAAAGCTCTTTAGAAAGCAACGCAGCAGGCTGGGTGCAGTAGTTCATGCCTGTAATCCCAGTACTTTGGGAAGCCGAGGTGGAAGGATTGAATGAGCCCAGCAGTTGAAGACCAGCCTGGACAACATAGCAAGACCCCATCTCTACTTTAAAAACAAAGAGAGAACAACTTACCAATTCTTAATGGAACTAAAGATATGTATTCCCAATAACACAGTCCTAAAGAAACTCATGCTGTACAGGTAGTTTTCTTTTTTTTTTTTTTTTTTTTTTTGAGATGGAGTATTGCTCTGTTGCCCAGGCTGGAGTGCAGTGGCTCAGTATCAGCTCACTGTAACCCCTGCCTCCCAGGTTCAAGCGATTCTCCTGCCTCAGCCTCCTGAGTAGCTGGGATTACAGGTGCACACTACTATGCCCTGCTAATTTTTGTATTTTTGATAGAGACAGGATTTCTCTGTGTTGGCCAGGCTGGTCTTGAACTCCTGATCTCAGATGATCCACCCACCTTGGCCTCCCAAAGTGCTGGGATTACAGGTGTGAGCCACTGTACCTGGCCAGTAGTTATGATTTCAATAGCAACATGACTTGTAATAATAAAAATTTGGAAGCAATCTAAATGATCCATGGTATGAGACTGGATGTATTGATGATGGTATAATGAAATATTCTGCAGCATTTAAAATAATCTATATTGACACGCATCAACATGGATAAATCTTTCTCTTTTTTTTTTGAGACAGAGTCTTGCTCTGCACCTAGGCTGGAGTGCAGTGGCACTATCTCAGCTCACTGCAACCTCCTCCTCCCTGGTTCAAGCAATTCTCCTGCGTCAGCCTCCCGAGCAGCTGGGACCACAGGCATGTGCCACCACACCCAACTAATTTTTGTATTTTTAGTAGAGATGGGGTTTCACCATGTTGGTCATGCTGGTCTCGAACTCCTGATCTCAGGTGATCCACCTGACTTGGCCTCCCAAGGCCTGCCTCAGGCCTCAAACCTGAGGATTACAGGTGTGAGCCACTGTGCCTGGCCAGATAAATCTTAAAAAGCATCTTGATGCTTAAAAATATAAACCCAGCTCATTGCAGTCTTACACCATTTAGATAAAATTATACAAGATATTCTCAACACGCACAGTGTGGGTGAACAGAAACTGGCTGAGCAGAATAAAGGTCTTGATCTTCAGCTGCAGACATCACCTTTCATTGATGCCTTTTATGTAAAGCACATTACTGTTTACACTACACACCTACATAGAAAAACAGAAAAATGTGGTTAGAAAAGATAAAAGCCAATGTGGCCCAGTGGGAAAAAGAGAAGAACTTAAAACCGGGAAGAAAACTAAGAGGACACAGATCTACAATATTTCACCTCTTTAGAAATTCTGAAGCAAATGCTGCATAGTTTAACATTTGTTCAGTACAGGTGATTTGTTATATAACATGGTGTTTCCTATATTTGCTCTGTACTTTGTTGTAGGAGTAAAATATTTAGTTCTTAAAAGTCTTGTGGGGCCAGGCACGATGGCTCATGCCTGTAATCCCAGCACTTTGGGAGACTGAGGCAGGCAGATCACTTGAGACCAGGGGTTTGAGACCAGCCTGGCCAATATAACAAAACACCGTCTCTATTAAAATTACAAAAATTAGCCGGGCGGTAGTATACGCCTGTAATCCCAGCTACTCGGGAGGTGGAGGCAGGAGAATCACTTGAACCTGGGAGGCAGAGGTTGCAGTGAGCCGAGATCCCGCTACTGCACTCCAGCCTCGGTGACAGAGCGAAGCTTCGTGTCAAAAAAAAAAAAAAATCTCCTCCACACTGAAGTCACAGGCCTGCCAGAATTTTCACCTAGGGACAAAGTGACATTTCTCTGATGGGATACATTTTAAAGGGGCAACAGAAGGAAACAAATATAAAAGTTGTGCTTTGATTATGTCACGAGTTGTGCTTATTCAGTGTCTGTGAACACGAGGAACCACTGGCTTCAGGACAGGGGCCCGTGTGCTATTTCACAAGTCCATGCGGGGGCTGTGAGGACACAGGAGCAGGGCCCCCAGGGGTGGGCTAGGCAGTCTGCTTCCCCAGCAAGCCCTGACTACTAAGCAGCCTATGAATGCATGATGCAGGCATTAGCTTCAGGGAGGAGAGCAGAAAGGGAGGGGCCCATGGGCACAGGGAAGAGCCACTGGGCAAGTGTGGAGGTGCGAGGACATGTGTTGGGACCATGAGTAATTTGGGAGGTTTTCAGGGTAGGCTTGTGAAAGTGTTACGCAACCCCCATGAGAGGGGACTGGGCTTAGGAGGCAGATCATGAAGGGTTTCGGAATTTGCACTGTCCTCAGGGAGAAGTGGAGTCTTTGAAAGATTTTGAGCAGAGGCGTGACCTTGAAGGATCATGCAGTTCAGTCTCTTGCCTGCAGGCAGATAAATGTCTAAATCTTTCCGGATAGCAGGCTCGTCTCTTTTTTATTGTCTCTAAGGACAGGCTCTAGAGTCTCCATCCTTTATCTTTTTTAGTGTTGGGCATATATAGCTGGGAGTGGAGAAGGTGACTGCACAGTGCAGGACAGATGGGGAAGGGAATGAGACCTCACTCCTCGAATCCAGCGGGTCCAGGGACACAGACTGGAGAGCAGTGGGGGAAGGGAGGCCGTGTCAGTCAGGCAGCAGGGCACAGAGTGCCCAGGTGTGACAACAGGTGTCAGCAAACAGTCTGCAGCAAGAGACAATGTCTGATGACAACGACAAGGATGGCCATCTTCATCATCATCATCATCACCACCATCATTGTCGTCATCACAGCAGACACTGATACAGTACTTGTCATGTGTCAGGAAGTGTTTAATGCTTTGCACAGTTCCATCAACCCTAGGAGGTGTGTAAATCATATCCCCACTTTAAAGATGAAGGAAATGAAGCAAAAATAAGGAGAAGAAGTTGACTGTGCTTCCACAGCTTGTAAGGGGCATCTGGCACTCAGAAGCAGCCAGTTGGCTCCAGCATCTATGAGCCTAACCACAACACCATATCGTATCTCCAAAGGTGTGTGCGCGCATCCTGCCAGGCACAGAAACTGCGGCAGAGGCGGCTCTCAGGAAGGCATAGCCGGTGCCCCAAGCCCACAGTCATGTGGAATAGACTCAGAGAGCATACTTGTTGGTTTCATTCTACATCCTTTCTCCGACACATGGCTGAATTAGTGGAAATTCCTCCCAGATATAGGCCTGTGGTCATCTTTTATCTCCAGGTCACAGTTGGCACTGACTATATTTTTAATTTATTTCTGTGTGTATTCTTCTGGGAAATTAGGAGAAGTCTCCACGTATGAGACGCTAAAAGCAGGGCCCTAGCTATGAGAATGAGATCCAGGCACAGACGCTGACCCGGGCCATCGATCAGAGCTGGTTCACAAGAAATCTGATGCTTGCTGTTTCCATGTAGAGCACTACATGGGAATAGGAGGGAGGGGACTGGACACACAGTGAGTGACAGTGTGTCCAGCATCTCAGATGTGGTCTCTCATTTCATCCTCACAATGACCTTGTCATGCAGACATTCCTATGAGAGCTAAGGAAGCAGGCTCAGAGGGGCACAATAACAGGCTCACAGTCCCACAGCAAACAGGAGGCACAGCTGGGAGTAAGTTTATTTGCCTCAAAGCCCTGTGCTTTTTTCTATTACTCCTCACTGGGAATTTTGCAAGTATCAGCCAATTGCATGCTGGCCCAGAGTCAAACCAGATTTCCTTGCTAATTTCCCAGAAGAATACACAAAGAAATAAAAAAGATAGTGCCAACTGTGAACTATAGATAAGAGATGACTGGCTGGGCACGGTGGCTCATACCTCTATTCCCAACACTTTGGGAGGCTGAGGTGGGTGGATCACCTGAGGTCACGAGTTCGAGAGGAGCCTGGCCAACATGGTGAAACCCCGTCTCTACTAAAAACACAAAAATTAGCTGGGCGTGATGGCATGTGCCTGTAGTCCCAGCTACTCAGGAGGCTGAGGCAAGAGAACTGCCTGAAGCCAGGAGGCGGAGGTTTGCAGTGAGCAGAGGTCGCATCACTGTACTCCAGCCTGGGCAACGGAGTGAGATTCCATCTATTAAAAAAAAAAAAAAAAAGATGATCACAAGGCCAATATCTGGGAGGAATTTCCACTAATTCAGCTATGTGTCTAATTCAGCCGTGTGTCTGAGAAACGATGTAGAAAGAAACCACCAAGTACACTCTCTGAGCCACAAGAAGACAAACAGCCCCAAAGAAATTGGAAAACCAAGATAGATAACCTTTGCACTTTGCGACAAATCGCAGGATACTGGGAAAATACGGATCCGGGGCGAGGGTTGGAGGGGAGTTAGCACAATAGTTTTGAAAAGGAAATGAAGGAAAATAAACATTATCCTGATTAGAGGAGAAAAACAACTCCAAAAATCACTGTTAGCAAACAAAGATGGTGCTTTAACACAGCTTAGTGTCTTAAAAAAAATCCAGGCACACTATGGAACAGAAGCAGGAGGAGAAGAAATTGAAAAGGGAATGAAGCCGAAAGGGATTCAAGAAAGACAGAAGAAGATACTAGGAAAATAAAAAACCAAGAGCAAAATCAAAATTACGTTGTAGGTTGTGTAGGCTTTGAAACCAGGGTGACTCCATCTTGAATAGGGGCTGGATAAAATGAGGCTGAGACCTACTGGGCTGCATTCCCAGGAGGTTAAGTCATTCTAAGTCACAGGATGAGATTGGAGTTTGGCACAAAATACAGGTCACAAAGATGTTGCTGATAAAACAGGATGCCATGAAGAAGCTGGCCGAAACCCACTAAAACCAAAATGGCGATGAAAGTGACCCCTGGTCGTCCTCACTGCTCATCATATGCTAATTATAATAGATAAGCATGCTAAACGACACTCCCACCAGCACCATGACAGTTTACAAATGCCATGGCAATGTCATATGGCCTAAAAAGGGGAGGAACCCTCAGTTCCAAGAATTGCCCACACCTTTCCTGGAAAACTCATGAATAATCCATCCGTCGTTTAGCATATCATCAAGAAATAACTATAAGAATACTCAATCGAGCAGCCCATGCCACTGCTCTGCCTGTGGTGTAGCCATTCTTTAATTCATTTACTTTTTTTTTTTTCTCCATTCTGTCACCTAGGCTGGAGTCCAGTGGCGTAATCTCGGCTCACTATAACCTCTGCCTCCCAGGTTCAAGCAATTCTCCTGCCTCAGCCTCCTCAGTAACTGTGATTACAGGTATGCATCACCACGCCCGGCTAAGTTTTGTATTTTTAGCAGAGATGGGGTTTCACCATGTTGGCCAGGCTGGTCTCAAACTCCTGACCTCAAGTGATCCACCAGTCTTGGCCTCCCAAAGTGATGGGATTACAGGTGTGAGCCACCACGCCCAGCCTATTCCCTTACTTTCTTAATAACGTTATTTTACTTTGTTAATAAACTTGCTCTTACTTTACTCTAAGGACTCGCACCAAATTCTTTCTTGTGCGAGGTCCAAGAACCATCTCTTTGGGGTCTGGATTGGGGCCCGTTTCTGGTTAACAGTTTCATACAGCACAACATACACTCCAGAAATCAAGGAGTACTAACGCAGAGGACCAACATTAGAATCTCTCTAAATCAGGAGTACTAACGCAGAGGACCAACATCAGAATGTCTCTGAATTCAGATGGAAAAGGTATGAAACAGTGAGGGGGGGGGTCGACAAATATGAAGGAAGAGAACAGAAGTAAGAATTCGATGTGTTGCACAGGAGAAAACCATAAGGCTGAGTAAGAACAAAACGAAAGCATAAGCAAGAATTAAAAAAGAAAATAATAGGCCAGGCAAGTTGGCTCACACCTGTAATCCCAGCAATTTGGGAGGCCAAGGCGGGCAGATCATCTGCAGTCAGGAGTTTGAGACCAGCTTGGCCAACGTGGTGAAACCCCGTCTCTACTAAAAATACAAAAATTAGCCAGATGTGGTGGTGGGTGCCTGTAATCCCAGCTACTCGGGAGGCTGTGACAGGAGAATCACTTGAACCCAGGAGGCAGAGCTTTCGATGAGCTAAGATCATGCTACTGCACTGCAGTCTGGGCAACAGAGTGAGATTCTGTCTCAAAAAAAAAAAAAGAGAATAGCAGAAAACTGCACTGGATGGAAGGCCTGTGCCTACATTTTAGAAGTGCAAAGCAAAGTAATAAAGATGAACCATTCTGACCAATCAATCTATAACATGATTTTAAACAAATAAGAAAAAAAAATCATAAGCACCAGGCAGGTTGTACAAAACAGATTCTCTACAAGGAATATAATCAAGCCAAGTTCAAACTTATTTTCTACAAAGAACAAGAAAACAAGGGACAGATACTTAAAAGTAGTTCCAGTGAGGCATTCTGCCTACAATTTTACTTAGAGGAAGGTTGTGGCTGGTGCCATTTGTGGTATGGCCAGAAGCCACTCACTTCCCCTCTTCCTTTCTTAAAAAACAAAACAAAACAAAAAACTGATTTGATTTGATAATAATGAGTTGTAAAAATAAGTAATTCAAAATCTAAGCTGTTGGAACTTTAAAATACTTTGACCCTTAAGGGCATGTGATTATGGGAACTGAGTCACATAAACAGGCAGCTGTAACCTAGGCAGCTATAACCTTTGTTTGTATGATTATAGATTATTCTTCTTCCTTACCTGTTAATACATTGTTTTAGAAATTGTAAATGATGAAAGCACATCAGGGAAGACCCCTTCTCTGTTCACTGTTTATCTTCATTATAGATTAACTTCCCACTTACCTTTCTAACACAAAGACATTATGACTATCACATTGTCTAAGATGGAATGTTAAATACACTTGTTTAAATTGGAAAGGAAATGAAAACAAGCTGCATAGAAAAGAAAATAAACTGTAACTAACTAAATTGCTGCAGCTCATAAACTAGCCTTGTATAAGAAAATGTTATAATTCTACTAAATTCCTTTGTTTACTGCCTATATAAGCAAGACTTTCACATTTTTTTTTACTATTATTTTTCTTAGAGAAAGAGCCTCATTGTTGCCCAGGCTGGGATGCAGTGGTGCAATCATGGCTCACTGCAGCCTCAAACTCCTTGGCTTGAGCCATCCTCCCACCTCAGCCTCCTGAGTAGCTGGGACTACAGGTGCACATCACCATGCCCGCTAAGTTTTAAATTTTTCTTGCAGAGATGGGGTCTTCCTATGTTGCCCAGGTTTGTCTCAAACTCCTGGCTTCAAGCAATCCTCCAGCCTTGACCTTCCAAACCAATGGGATTATATGTGTAAGCCATCGCACCCAGCAAAGACCTTAACTTTTAACTTGAGAGCACTGACCCCATTTCTCTGGAGTTTGTGTTTCCTGAATGGCTATTCTTACCTTTGGGCTGCAATAAACTCTATACTTAATCATATTTTCGAGACCAGCCGAAATATCGTTATTAAATCTCGTTACTTAAGGTTGACAGACTCCAGCACCAAGGGTGGATCATAGCAGATCTAAGCCAATCACGATCACTGGCCTCTTTTCCTATTTTCTCAGCTTCTCTTGCTGCTAAGAGTAGGCATACCATTCTGATCTTGCTGATGAAACTTACAGGGAAAAGCTGCTAGGAGATTTCTGAGAAAGAGTTCCCTTCGCTCATAAGAAAGAGAACCATTGGAGAAGAAAGAGAACCATTGGAGAAGAAAGGCTTTTTTTTGCTACCACCCCCACCCCATTCCAAATATAGTTCTGGTGTCTGAGGCTGTAGCAGCCCTTTTGTAGCCAGAAGGCAACATGGATGAGGATGTACTTCCTACAGGCTGAGGATGTAAAGTGGAAGACGGAGGTGCAGAGGCCCAGGAAGACATATCACCAGCCTCTGTTGCCACCTTGACTGCCCATTTTTGTTAGGTCTGTGTCTTTAGTATTTAAGTCATTGTCAAGTTCTCTTTTAGATATAAGTAAGTGCTCACTTATTATATCTCTTAGTGGATGGTGTGTGCCTGTAGTCCTAGCTACTTGGGAGGCTGAGGTGGGAGGATCACTCAAGCCAAGGAGTTTGAGGCTGCAGTGAGCTATGATTGCACCGCTGCACCCCAGCCTGGGCAACAATGAGGCTTTTTTTTTTTTTTTGTCTGTCATGGAGTCTCACTCTGTCACCCAGGCTGGAGTGCAGTGGTACAATCTCGGCTCACTGCAACCTCTGCCTCCCGGGTTCAAGCGATTCTCCTGCCTCCACCTCCTGAGTAGCTGGGATTACAGGTGTGTGTCAACACACCCAGCTAATTTTTGTATTTTTAGTAGAGATGGTGTTTCACCATGTTGGGCAGGCTGGTCTCGAACTCCTGGGCTCAAGTAATCCACCTGCCTTCGCCTCCCAAAGTGCTGGGATTACAGGCGTGAGCCACTGTGCCCAGCCTGAGGATATAAATATTAACAGGAAAAGCACACCACACAAAAATTCCATCATCATCATTTTATCACTTGAGACACGATACGCTAAACAAAATTAAACAACCTTCTCAAATGAAGGCCTTAATTAAACTAATGTACATTATGAACCTGCAAGAGATGAACTGATATGAAGCATTTTTACTACAAAAAATGTTGAATTATACGACTGAAATTTAAATGTTGTGACCCCAAACTCTATATTCAGTCCTATTTTAATTTTATTCATAAAGTTAATGGAATAATATTTTCAGATCTGCAAAGGCCTAGAAAAATATGTCTCTTGAGTAATACCCAACCCCTACTATAAAAATTTTTAAGAAATGTTTAAATTTTTAAAAATTTTATGAGATTAATTATAATTAACAATTCAGATGTAAGAAATTTAAAGTACAAAGGAATGACAATGTAAATAAAAACTGTTTACAGATAGTAAAATTGGGCCAGGCACGGTGGCCCATGCCTATAATCCCAGCACTTTGGGAGACTGAGGCAGGCGGATCACCTGAGGTCAGGAGTTCAAGGCCAGCCTGGCCAACATGGCAAAACTCCGTCTCTACTAAAAATACAAAAATTAGCTGGGCATGGTGGTGGGTACCTGTAATCCCAGCTACTTGGGAGGCTGAGGCAGGAGAATCATTTGAACCTGGGAGGCAGAGGTTGCCGTGAGCCGAGATCGTGCCACTGCACTCCACCCTGGGCGACAGAGCAAGACTTCATCTCAAAAAAAAAAAAAAAAAAAAAACAGTGATAGTAAAATTGAAGTGGTGTTATTCATCTGGAGTAATACATGAGATTCGTTGCCTCATGCTAAGGAAATTAAGGATACCAACACACCAGAGTGAGGTTAAGAGCAAAAGTTTAATAGGCGAAAGAAAGAGGAGAGCCCTCTGTACAGAGAGGGGTCCTGGAGAAAGATGAGTTGCCAGTTCTGTGCTGAAATGCAGAAGGTTTCATAGAGTAGCTTAAGGAGGTGGTGTCTGATTTACATAGAGGACGAAAGATTGGTTGGACCAGGTGTGCCATCTGCATAGCTCACGAAGAACCTGGCTGCCCCTTCCTATTTTTTTTTTTTTTTTTTCGAGACGGAGTCTGGCTCTGTCCCCCAGGCTGGAGTGCAGTGGCGCGATCTCAGCTCACTGCAGGCTCCGCCTCCCAGGTTCACGCCATTCTCCTGCCTCAGCCTCCTGAGTAGCTGGGACTACAGGCGCCCGCCACCACACCTGGCTAATTTTTTATATTTTCAGTAGAGACGGGGTTTCACCGTGGTAGTCAGGATGGTCTTGATCTCCTGACCTCATGATCCGCCTGCCTCGGCCTCCCAAAGTGCTGGGATTACAGGTCTGAGCCACTGCGCCTGGCGCCCCTTCCTAATTTTTTATTACGCACATGGGTTCTCTACCTGCCCAGGGCCATGTTGCCTGGTCCTTACTGTACACGTGATGAAGAGAGAAGGGAAGACAGAGCCTCCGTGCTGAACGCACCTGGCTTCCAGGTTCCTCCTTTATTAGCACAGCTGCTGTCATTCACCCGTGCAAGCTTTAGCCTGCTGATTTATGTTTGCAGCTGGAGTTTTTAGGCTGCTCTTTGTTAGAAAAGAAATTATTTTGGGGCTGCTTTTTGTTAAAAGGGAAACCTTGCTGAGAATTCCTTTAGCCTCACTATCTGCCTAAGTAATTTCTTTCTAGCTCCTGTATCAAAATTAACTGTTGTAAATATGATACAAAACTAAACACAAGGCCGGCTGCCGTGGCTCACACCTGTAATCCCAGCACTTTGAGAGGCCGAGGTGGGTGAATCACCTGAGGTCAGGAGTTTGAGAGCAGCCCCAGACAAACCCCACATGACAGGCAAGGAGGATCTATTGGAATACCACTAACAGTAAAAAGCTAAGGGAGGTGCTTTCCTTCCCTGGCAGGCCTGAAATCTCCCTCTCTCACCAAAATATAACACGACAGCCCCAGCAAGGTAGATCTCCACCAAAACAAACAGCCTGATCCTTGTGGTTGAATCCACTATACTGTTGCCCAGAGATTGGAGGCAACAGTATAGTGGATTCAACCACAAGTGCGTGGCCTGGGGAATGCTCTGTTCCCCACAGCAGAGGAGAATCTCGTCATAAAAAGCACTTGGCTTAGGAAGCCTCCTTGTTCCTGCTTAAGAATCTCCTCCCGCAAAGAGATACACCTGCCATCTTTGCCTAAGAAAATCTTTTCTGCCCCGTCAAGAAGCACCAGGAGGAACCACTGGGACCCCAGCAGCCCTGTATAAACCAGGCTGGCTAATAGAGCACCATAAAGGCACTGCAAACAAGTTCTCATTGCAACCATAGTCCGCAAAAGTATACCAGAATCTAAACCTAAACGAGGTGACTAAACCTAAACATGACTAAACCTAAACAAGATAACTGCCTACTAAAAGAAAAGATTTAAATAGAATCCAGAGTCCATGAAGCTACCAGATGAAATATCTGCGATAATAATAGAAAATCACTCATCACATCAAGAACCAAGAAACTCACAACTTGAATGAGAAAAGACACTTAACTGACTTCAATACTGAGATGAGTCAGACATTGAAATCATCCACAAAGGATTTTAAAGAAACCATCATGCCCCAGTGAGTGTTGTTCCCCTCCCTGTGTCCATGTGTTCTCATTGTTCAGCTCCCACCTATAAGTGAGAACATGTGGTGTTTGGTTTTCTGTACCTGAGTTAGTTAGCTGAGGATAATGGCTTCCAGCTCCAGCTATGTCCCTGCAAAGGACATGATCTCATTCTGTTTTATGTCTGCATAGTATTCCGTGGTGTATATGTACCACTTTCTTTATCCAGTCTGTCAGGAGAGCAAGGGGGAGGGAGAGCATCAGGATAAATAGCTAATGCATGCAGGGCTTATTACCCTGGATGATGGGTTGATATAGCCACCATGGCACATGTTTACCTATGTAACAAACCTGCACTGTCCTGCACATGTATCCTTAAAATAAAATAAAATTAAATTAAAAAAAGAAGTCACCATGATGTTTCAACAATCAATTAAAAAGTCTACTGAAACAAATGAAACATAAGAAAATCTCAACAAGTAAATAAGAGTTATAAAAAAGAACCAGCTGGGCTTGGTGGTGCAAGTAAATAGGAGTTATAAAAAAGAACCAGCTGGGCTTGGTGGCGCACATCTATAATCCCAGTACTTTGGGGAGGCCAAGGTGGGAGGATTGCTTGAGGCCAGGAGTTCAAGACCAGCCTGGAAAACACAGTGAGACTTTATTTCTACAAAAACAAATTTAAATTAGCTGGTTGTGGTGGCATGCACTGATAGTCCCAGCTACTCATGCGAGTGACTGAGGCAGGAGGATGGCTTGAGCCCAGGATTTGGGGGTTGCAGTGAACTATGACTGCACCACTGCTCTCCAGCCTGGGCTACAGAGCAAGATCCTGTCTCTAAAAAAAAAAAGAAAGAAAGAAAGAATCAAATGGAACCAAATGGAAATTACAAAACTGAAAAAAATCAAAATGTACTGGATAGGAGAGTAGAGGACAGATGACAGATGTCAAAATCAGTGATTGTGAGGACAGATCAATAAAATTCACTCATTATGAACACCAGAAAGAAAATAGATGAAATGATATAAACAGATCCTCAGGGGCAATTAAAAAATTCAACGCTCATCAGAGTCCCAGAAGGAGAGGAGACACAAAATGGTGCTAAAGAGTATTCAAAGAAGGAATAGCCAAAAATCTCCAAATTTGGTGAAAAACACAAACCAAAGATGCAACAAGCTGATCAAACCTCATACAGAAAAAATCCAAATAAGCCTATGCAAAAACATGTTACAATTGAACTTCTGATGATAACTAAAAACTCAGAAAAATTCTAGAAAGCATCCAGAAAGAAATGATGCATTACTTATAGGCAAAAAAAATTCAAATGACAATAATGTCCCTATCTGAAATTATGGAGGCCAGAAGTGGCACAACATTCTTCAAGTTGTGAAAAATAAAAATAATTTTTATTTATGAATTTAATTTTATTATTTATTTAGTTTTGAGATGGAGTTTCGCTCTTGTCCCCCTGGCTGGAGTGCAATGGTGTGATCTCAGCTCACTGCAAACTCTGCCTCCAGGGTTCAAGCGACTCTTGTGCCTCAGCCTCCCAAGTAGCTGGAATTACAGGTGCACGCCACTGTGCTTGGCTTATTTTTGTATTTTTAGTAAAGATGGAGTTTCACCATCTTGGCCAGGCTGGTCTGAAACTCCTGACCTCCCTAGGTGCCTCCACCTGCCTCAGCCTCCCAAAGTGCTGGGATTATAGTCGTCAGCCATGGTGCCCAGCCCATCTATGAATTTTACATCTGGCAAAATTATTCTCTAGAAATGAGGGGAAATAAAAACATTCTTGGATAAAGAAAAACCAAAAAATTTA
The DNA here is from genome assembly GCF_000001405.40 of Homo sapiens. Lineage (NCBI taxonomy): Eukaryota > Metazoa > Chordata > Mammalia > Primates > Hominidae > Homo > Homo sapiens. The sequence continues at coordinate 71,998,214 of NC_000007.14, forward strand.
CCATGATCAGATTTACCCTTAAAAACTGCCCTAAAAGAAGTTCTTCAAACAGAAAAGAAATGGGAAGAGAATCAAGCTTGGGGCATCAAGGAGGAGGAAGAAATAAGAGGAACAGTAGCAATCTGGGTACATACAATAGACTATCCTTTTCCTTCTAAATTGTGTAAATTATATTTAATGATTGAGACACAAATTATTAACAACCTCTTGTACTCAAGACAATGATATTTAAGAGCAGGGAAGGTAATGGTTCTAAAAGGAAATGCGGTTTTCATGTTCCACTTGAAGAGGCAAAATGTCGATACCAGTAAAGTCTGATGTCACAGAGCAACCACTACAAAAACTATACGAACAGATATACTTTTTTTTTTTTTTTGAGACAGTCTCACTCTGTTCCCCAGGCTGGAGTGCAGTGGCATGATCTTGGCTCACTGCAACCTCTACCTCCCCAGTTCAAGCAATTATCATGCCTCAGCCTCCCAAGTAGCGTACACCAACATGCCCAGCTAATTTTTGTATTTTTAGTAGAGATGAGGTTTCACCATGTTGCCCAGACTGGTCTTGAACTCCTGGACTCAAGCAATCGCCTGCCTTGGTCTCCCAAAGTGCTGGGATTGCAGGTGTGAGCCACCGCACCCAAAGAGATATACTTTAAAATGCAATGAAAAAATCAAGATGGAATCCTAAAAGCTGTTCAAGTACCCTACATGAAAAGAAAAACAGAGGAACAAGAATCCAAGGAACCAAACAGAAAAAAATTAATAAAATGGTAGACTTACATAGATAATTAACTTAAATGTAAATGGTCTAAGTACACCAATAAAAAAACAGATTGGCAAAGTGGACAGAGACACAATCCAATTTTATGCTGTTTACAAGAAACTGACTTCAAATTCAACAACATAGGCAGAATGGAAAATTATATAACCTGAAAATATTAATTTTAAGAAGCAGCAGTGGCTACATCAATACAAATAAAGTCAACTTCAGAGCAAAGAAAATCACTATTTAATAGAAGCAAAGAGGGACATTATATAATAGTCAAAGGATCAATCCACCAGGATGATATGCAATCTTAAATATGGCCACATCAAAAAGCTTCACAATACATGAAGCAAAAACAGAGTTAACAGGGAAAACAGACAAATTCACAATTATAGTTGGAAACCTGAACAGCCACCTCTCAGCAAAGGACAGAACTACTAGGGAGAACAATCAGTATGTATACAGAGAACTACATAGCAGAATCAACCAGCAGGATCTAGCTCATATACACAGAACACTCCATCCAACAGCAGCATATGCATTTTTTTTTTTTGAGTTGGAATCTCACTCTGTCACCCAGGCTGGAGTGCAGTGGCATAATCTTGGCTCACTTGCAACCTCTGCATTCTGCCTCCCAAGTTACTCTCCTGCCTCAGCCTCCCAAGTAGCTGGGATTACAGGCATACACCACCACACCCTGCTAATTTTTCTATTTTTAGTAGAGACAGGTTTTGCCGTCGGCCAGGCTGGTCGCAAACTTCTGACCTCAAGTGATCCACCAGCCTCAGCCTCCCAAAGTGCTGAGATTACAGGCATGAGACACTGTGCCCAGCCATATGCATTTTTTTTAAATGACTACGGAACATTCACCAAGACAGATAATATAAAGGCTATAAAACAAACCACAAAGATATAAATAACTGAAATCACACAGAATATGTTACCTGGCCATAATGAAATCAAACTAGAAACTAGCAACAGAAAGACACCAGGAAAACCTCTAAATACCTGGAAAATTAATAACACGCTGCTGAACTCAAGGTTCAAAGAAGTCTCAAAGTAAATAAAAATACAGAGAACTGAAAGAAAGTGAGCGTGGAATGTCAATCAATAATCGAAGTTCCTATCTCAAGAAACTAAAAAAAGAACAATACAAAACAAAAAGCTACAAAGCAGGTGGAAAGAAGCAAATAGTAAGCTAAGAGCAGAAAACAATGAAATTGGATATAGAAAAATAAGAGAAAAATCATTGAAACAAAAGCATATTTTTCAAAAAAAAAGAATAAAATTGACACACCTCTAGCAACAGTGACAGAAAACAGCCACAGAAAACACAAATCACCAATATCAGAAATGAAACAGGGAATATTATTATATATCCTGCAACCATTAAGAAGAGAATAGGGGAATACTATGAATAATTTTATACTCATAAATTCAACAACTTAGAAGAATTGGACCAATTCCTGGAAAACCACAAACCCCTAAAACAGATGAAATAGATAATCTGAATGATGCTACACCATTAAAGAAATTGATTTCATAATTTAAAAGATTTTGAAAAAAAGAAAAAATCTCCAAGCCTAAATAGTTACATTGGAAAATTCTACCATTTAAATATGAATTAAAAACCATTTTATACCATCTCTCCCATAAACAGTTTTACACAACTCCCCACAAAATAAAAGAAATAGAAACACTTACTAATTCATTTTACAAGGCCTCATAACAAAACCAGACAGCACAAAACAAACAAACAAACAAAAATTGCAGACCCTATCTCTCATGAACTTAGATGTAAGAATCTTAACAAAATACTAGCAAACTGAATCCAGTAATGTATAAAAAGAATCATACACCATGACTGTTACAGTAGGTAGTCAGGCAGACATCAGCAGGGCCGGAGAGGGTTCCCTCTCGACCAGGAATGTCAGAAGACCATCAGGTGATGGGCAGGTAGTTGTTAAGTTGTCTCTCTAAAATAGTAATTGGTCATAGCTAGCACCAGGGAAAGGCAGTCTCCCAATAGGTAGAAAAACCTGAAGCAGGTGATCAACTTCTCAATAAGATCTCAGGAGTTGGGTGAATGGACTCATGTATATGCACTAAATAACAGTAATTGGTTGTAGCCAGCATCAGGGAAAGGCAGTCTCTAAACAGGTAGAAAAACCTGAAACTGGTGATCAGCTTCTCAATAAGATCTCAGGAGTTGGGTGAATGGACTCATGTATATGCACTAAGTAACAGTAATTGGTTGTAGCCAGCATCAGGGAAAGGCAGTCTCTAAACAGGTAGAAAAACCTGAAACTGGTGATCAGCTTCTCAATAAGATCTCAGGAGTTGGGTGAATGGGCTCGTGTATGTGCACTAAGTGGCAAAGTGGCAGAGTTTAACAGGTGCATGACCTTCTAGGAGCATCCAACTCAAGAGAGCATGAGTGCAACTCCAGTACACCCATGTGTACTGTACACTGTATACACATGTGGCCTCTCCTAGGTGCTGGCAGGCCACTGTGCATGTGGACAGCCCACCCCAAGGGGAGAATAAGGGGAGAAGGGACACAAGACCCTGGAAGTATGCCAACATATAAAACCCTAAGTCAAAGGTCAAACCACGCACTTGATAGCTCACACTGCCCACTTGGCCTTCTTCCAAGTGGACTTTACTTCCTTTTGTTCCTGTTCTAAAGCTGTTTAATAAACTTTCACTCCTGCCTTAAAATTTGCCTCAGTCTCTCACTCTGCCTTATGCCCCTTGGTTGAATTCTTTCTTCTGAGAAGGCAAGAATTGTGGTTGCTGCAGACCCATACAGATTGGCCACTGGTAACATGACAAAGTCAGATTCATGTCAGGTAAGCATGTCTGGTTCAACAGCCAAAAATCAATCAATTTAGTCATATTTAACATTTTAAAAGTCAATCAACATAATCCACCATATCAACAAACTAAAGAAGAAAATCATATAACCATATCAAGTGAAACAGAAAAAACATCTGACAAAATACAACACCCATTCATGATAAAAACTTTCAGAAATTAAAGAAGAGAAGAATTAACTGAACTTGGTAAAGAACAACTACAAAAATTCTACAGCTAATGTGAAGGACTGAAAAAATTGAATGCTTTCTCTATAAGATTGGGAAGGAGCCAAGAATATTTACTCCCACCACTGCTAGTCAACATCATACAGATGCTCCTTGAGTTATGATGAGATTTGATCCTGAAAAACCACTGTAAATTGCAAATATGGTTAAGTGGAAAATGCATTTAATACACCTAATATACTGAACATCCTAGTTTAGCCTAACCTACCTTAAACATGCTCAGAACATTTATGTTAGCATACAGTTGGACAAAAATCACCTAACACAAAGCCTATTTTATAATAAAATGTTGACCATCTCATATAATTTATTAAATACTATACTGAAAGTTAAAAAGCAAAGCAGATATATGGGTAATTGAAGTACAGTTTCTAGTGAATACATATCACTTTTGCATCATTATAAAGTTGAAAAATTGTAAGTTGAACAACCATAAGTCAGGAAATGTTGGTACCAGAAGTGCTAGCCAGCTCAATAAAATAAGAAAAATAAAAGGTATACAGATTGGAAAAGAAGGAATTAAATGGTCTTTATTTGAAGATGACATCAACTTTGATGTAGAAAATCCCAAGAAATCTACAAACGAATCCCTCCTAGAACTAAGTGAGATCAGTAAGGTTACAAGACAGTATTATATTCAGCTTTTAAAAAGAAGGAAATCCTGTCATCTCTGACAATATGGATGAACTTGGAGGACATTATGCTAAATGAAAAATAAACCAGGCAAGCACTCCATGATCTCACTTATATGTAGAATCTAAAAAAGTTGAAATCACAAAAACAGAGAATAAAATTACAGTTATCAGGGACTGAGGAGTTGTGAGGTGGGGAGATATTGAGGAAAGGATACACAATTTCAGTTATGCAGTAGGAGAAAGTTCAGGAGATCTATTATATAATATGGTGGCTATAGCTAACAGTCTATTGTACACTTGAAATTCCTGAGAGATTAGATTTTAAATGATCTCAGTAAGTATGTGAAGTAATTGATATGTTAATTAGCTTGATTTAGCCATTCCACAATGTATACAGATATCAAAACATCATGTAACTATAAATCTATACAATTTTTATTTGCCTATTTGAAAAATTAATCCTATTAATTAACACAAAAAATCACATTTCTATTTACTAACAATAAACATGTTACATTCACTCCAAAGAAGATGAAATACTTAGGTATACCCTTGTCAAGACAAGTATAGGATCTTTATTCTTAAAATTACAAAATGTGGGTGAAAGAAATCAGTGACTTAATGAAAGGAGAGACATATTGCTTTCATGGATGAAAACAGGTGTCCCCAACTCCCGGGCCATGGACCGGTACCAGATAGCAAGAGGTGAGCGGTGGTTAGGAACTGGACTGCACAGCAGAGGGAGAACGGCAGGCTAGAGAGAGAAGCTTCATCTGTGTTTACAGCTGCTTCCCATCGCTCGCATTACCACCTGAGCTCCACCTCCTGTCAGATCAGCAGTAGCATTAGATTCTCATAGAAGTGTGAATGTTATTGTGAACTACACATGTGAGGGATCTAGGTTGTATGCTCCTTAGGAGAATCTAATGCCTGATGATCTGTCACTATCTCCCATCACCCTTAGATGGGACTGTCTAGTTGCAGGAAAACAAGCTCAGGGTTCCCACTGATTCCACATTATGGTGAGTTGTATAATTATTTCATTATACATTACAATGTAATAATAATAGAAATAAAGTGCATAATCAATGTGATGTGCTTGAATGATCCCGAAACCATCCCCCACCTTGGTCCATGGAAAAATTGTCTTCCACGAAACCAGTCTCTGGTGCCAGAAAGGTGATGACGCTATTCCTAGACCACTGGACTAGAAGACTCAACATAATAAAGATGCCAATTCTCCCAAGTTGACTTATAGGTTTAAGGCAATTCTTATCAATATCCTGGTGAATTTTAGTAGGCACAGACAAGTTTATTCTATAATTTACATGGAAATACACAGATCTTAGAAGAGTTAAAACAATCTTGACAGGAAAGAATAAAGTACAAGAAATCACTTAACTGATATTAAGTCTTACTATATAGTTACAGTAATCAAAATAGTGTAGAATTGGCAGCAGGACAGACACATGGATCAATGAAACAGAACAGAGAACCCAGAAATACACCCACATAAATATGCCCAATTGATTTTTGGCAAAGTCATCAAAGTAATTCAATGGAGAAAGGACAGCCCTTTCAACAAATGATGCTGGGGTAAGTGGATATTTGTAGGTAAGAAAATGAATCTTGACCTAAAGGTGTGAACCTTATCCAAAAATTAACTAAATTCTGGATCATGGACTTAAATGTAAAACATAGAACTATAAAACTTTTAGAAGAAAAAAATAGGAGAAAATCTTCAGTATCTAGGGCTAGGCAGAGTTCTTAGACTTGACACTAAAATCACAGTCCATACTGGGAAAAATCGAAAAGCTAGACCACATCAAAATTAAAAGCTTTTGTTCTTCCAAAGGTTGTAAGAAGAGAATGAAAAGATAAACTACACACTTGCAGAAGACATTTGCAAACAACATATCTGACCAAGGAGTAGTATACAAAATATATAAAGAATTCTCAAAACTCAAGAACAAAACAAAACAAAACAAAACAAAACAAAAACAACTAACCAATTTGCAAACAACATATCTGGCCAAGGAGTAGTATACAAAATATATAAAGACTTCTCAAAACTCAAGAGCAAAACAAAACAAAACACAAAAACAACTAACCAATTAGAATATGGGCAAAAGACATCAACAGACATTTCACAGAAGAGGACATACAGATGGTAAATGATCACTGTTAAAGATTAGCCATCAGAGAAATGCAAAACTGCAGTTGAGAGATCACTCCACACCTACCAGAATGGCTAAAATATAAAATAGTGACATACCAAAGCTGGTGAGAATCAGAAAACCTGAATCACTCATACATTGCTGGTGAGAATGTAAAATGCTACCATCACTGTGGAAAAAAAATAGCAGTTTCTTATAAAACAAAACATGCAGTTATGATACCAACCTGCAAGTGCATTTGAGCTCTTTTATCCTGGAGAAATGGAAACATGTTTACACAAAAGCCTGCATACAAATGGTCGCAGCAGCTTTATTCATAAAAACCAAAAACTTGAGACAGCCTAGGTGTCCATCAACACGTGAGTGGGTTAAATAAGTTTCATACCATGAAACAGTTCATCCTGTAAAATACTACTCAGCAGTAAAAAGAAGCAAACTGTTTTTTCTGTTTTGAGACAGGGTCTCGCTCTTTCACCCAGGCTGGAGTTCAGTGGCGTGATCACGGCTCACTACAGCCTGGAACTCCCAGGCTGAAGCCACCCTCCCACCTCAGCTTCCCAGGTAGCTGGGACTACAGGCACACACCACCATGCCCAGCTAACTTATGCATTTTTTAAATAGAGATGGGGTTTCTGCCATGTTTCCCAGGCTGGTCTCAAACTCCTGGGCTCAAGCAATCCCCCCACCTCAGCCTCCCAAGTGCTAGGCTTATGGACATGAGCCACCCATGCCTGGCCCAGAGCAAATTATTGATACAACAATTTGAATGAATCTCAAGCATATTATGATGGAAGAAAAACGCCCACTCCAAAATTACATAGTATGTGACTCCATTTATATACAATTTTTGCAATGGCAAAATTTTAGACTTTTTAGAAAACCAAGACCTAGTTGACAGAGTTAGGGGTGGGGGTGGGAATGAGGAGATGTTGTCATTAAAGGGCAACAGGGGTGATGGAATTGTTCAATAGCTTGATTGTGGTGGTAGACACAGAAACCTACACACATGTGATAAAACTGTATGGAAGTCAACACACTTTCACATGTGAGTACAAGCAAAACTGGGGAACTCCGAAGACTATTAGCAGTTTGTATCAATATCAAAATCTCAGTTATGATATTGTATTATGGTTTTGGAAAATGTTACCATTAGGAGAAAATTGGGTGGAGTGTACATGGGATCTTTCTGAATGATTTCCTACAACTGCATGTGAGTCTACAGCCATTTCAATAACTTAAAAAAATCCAGCTTGCATAGTGCCAGATTTAACAGACATTGGGAAGTAAATGGGGAAAGTAAATATAAGCCAAATTTTCTTCCAGGAAAAATAAGAGGTTAGTTTTTCCTTTGAATTTAATATTCAGACAAATATAATTTTAAATACATATTTCATGAAGGTAAAGAAAATCAGTAAAAGGCTTCTAACAAGAAGAGCTATTGTTCCATTTAATTTAGGAGATAAAATATACAAAACAATCAATAGAGCAAAAGATGGAAAATAAAATAGCTTAAAAGCAAAAAGAATAATATGGGGCCACTGAACTGTGAACAAGCAACAGTTATAACAGGATTGCCAATGGATTAAACCACTCTATTAAAAGACAAATTCTCTCAGACTGGCTTATAAAAATAATTCTGACACGATGATTTTTATAGAGAGGGACATCTAAAAAAGTAGATTTTTTTTAAAGAAAAAGGATGAATGAGGTTATACCCAGTGAAAACAAATAAAGAGAAAATGAGATGAGGTTAGTATTAATATTAGAAAAGGAGGATTCAAGAAAAAAATAATGGATGGACCACGAAGGCTATTTATAGGTATAAATGGTAATCATGGATGCATAATGGAAGTGCCATATATTAATTTAATGAACAGCTGTAATTCAAATATAAAGCTCATGTCTGTTCCTTACACACCATCTCAGCTCCTCCAACCCTAGTCCGAGTCATCCGCATGCCTCCCAGACTCCTAAAATAACTTCATAACTGGGTCCCCATTTCCATTCTAGCCCCTACACTCCTTCACACAGCAACCAATGATGTACTTTGCATACAGATTAAATCAATCCACTCAAGTTCTTAAAACACTCCAATGAGAACTGCTTGTACATGAAATCATATCCAAACTCCACACACTGATGAGATGAGAGACAGTTCTTCCTCACGTGTCAATTCACCCTTTCTTAATGGCAACCAAATCCCCAATTTTTAAAATTCTTGGACCAGGACTGTTCGGAATAAAGACGACATTTCCCAGCTTCCCTTGCTGCCACGTATGGCACGTGACTGACTTCCACCAGCCACGTGACTAACATCTGGCCGGGGAACATAAGTAGAAGTGATGCTTGCAACTTCTTAAAGAACTTGTGTCCAGGTGAAGTGGCTTGCGCTTGCAATCCCAGCACTTTGGTAGGCCGAAGTGGGCAGATTACCTGAGGTTAGGAGTTCAAGGCTAGCCTGGCAAACATGGAGAAACCCTGTCTCTACTAAACATACAAAAAATTAGCTGGGTATGGTGGCGGGCACCTGTAGTCCCAGCTACTTGGGAGGCTGAAGCAGGAGAATCACTTGAACCCAGGAGGCAGAGATTGCAATGAGCCTGGATCGCATAACTGCACTCTAGCCTGGGCAAGAGAGCGAGACTCTGTCTCAAAACACAAAACAAAACGAACAAAACAACTTAATATTATCTGAAATTTCCTTATTCATTATCAATTTATTTAATGCCTATCTTTCTCCTACCCCTTACACTAAAATGTAAATTCCATGAGTGCGAGAGCCTTGTTTATTGATCACCACAACATCTGCGCTCTATGCAAGAGACTTTTTAAAAATTATTTTGTTAAAAAACAATAGAGATGGGGTTTTGCTATGTTACCCAGGCTAGTCTTGAGCTCCTGGCCTCAAGTGATCCTACTGCCTGGGCCTCCCAAAGTGCTGGGATTATAGCCATGAGTCACTGGGCCCAACCTCAAAAGACTTTCAATAAGCCTCTGTTGAATGAATGAATGAATCAATCAAATAATGGCAGGCAATATCAAATACACACAGACACACACAAAGAGAAAGTGTCAGAAACAGAATTGAGACAAATGTTAACACTATCAGTCTAAGCCAGTGAGTAGATAAAAAATAAATGAGGACATTCATGATTTTAATGTAATTTTTAGTGGAAAGGGGTCATGGATCAGTAGCTCTATTTCTTATAAATTGTGCAAGCAATCTATTCAATTACCATATTATGTTTGCAGAAATCAAACACATATTGAGACACAATAAATGGATACAATAAATAGTATGAAGATATTATATATCTGACATTCTATGATTATGCAAAAAAATGAAAAACCAATAACAAGTATTTAAACAAGGTATTCAGTAACATTCTCCCAAATAACTATTGAGTGAATGAAAATATTATCTACAATTATAGACCATATAGTAAGTGATCACAATACATATAAAAATCTCCAGAATGGTAAAGCTATACGAAGAAGAAAATTTATATCTAAATTATTTCATTAATAAAAAAGAAAACTAAATAAAATAATTTACACAAATTATTATTATAAATGATAATAAATGATCAGAACAAGAAGCAAGAGAAGGGAAATGAAGAGAAAAGCTGAAAATACTAGAATGAAAACAGAGAAAAAAGGATTATTCATTAAATAGAAGCATAGATTTTCCCCAAAATCACTAAAATAGACAATCATCTGGCATATCAAATTAATTCAAACCATGGTATGAGAAGACTTTCAATTTTTTTTTTTTTTTTTTGAGACAGTTTCACGCTTTTGCCCAGGCTGGGGTGAGGCAGTGTGATTTCGGCTCACTGCAACCTCCGCCTCCCGGGTTCAAGTGATTCTCCTGCCTCAGCCTCCTATGTAGCTGGGATTACAGGTGCCCGCCACCACGCCCATCTAATTTTTGTATTTTTAGTGGAGACGGGGTTTCACCATGTTGGCCAGGCTGGTCTCAAACAACTGACCTCAGGTGATCCACCCGCCTCCGCCTCCCAACGTGCCAGGATTACAGGCGTGAGCCACTGTGCCCGGCCTCAAATAAATTTTTAAACAATGTTATATGTAAGTAAATGCTAATAAACTAAGTAATTTTGAGGAATTGGTAACCTGAAGATAATATAAGTTTTCAAAATAGACTGAAGAACAATTAACTTCTAATATTTATCAAATAATCACCTCAAAAAAATGAGAACAAAACAAAAAAGCAGTTTATGAACTAGCAAGCCTAAAGTCAAAGTTATAAATCAATTCCATACTGTACAGAATTTATTATACATCACAGAAAATAATATAAAGCAAACAAATTAATTTCATCATGCTAGGTTAACTATGTTTCAAGAACTAACAATGACACTTGTAATTTTGTATAAACTATAGGTCACTTTTATTTATAAATATGAATAAAAAATAAAAATGGCAAATCAAATTCAAAACTTACACTACAAATTCAAATTGCATTAAGAAAATGGGCTACCATGACAACTAATATTAACCCTAAGAATACAAAAATGATTTAATAATAGGAAATCTATTAATTATCACATCTTGTCCAAACAAGAATAATCACATGATCCTATTATTATAGATTCAAAGGCCATTTGAGAAAAAGCTATCATATATTCATGGTTTTTAAAATGTTGGTAAGTTAGATATGGTTTGGCTGTGTCCCCACCCAAATCTCATCTTGAATTGAAGCTCCCATCATTCCCATGTGTTGTGGGAGGGACCATCCCTGGGGGAGATCATTGAATCATAGGGGTGGTTTCCCCCATACTGTTCTCATGATAGTGAACAAGTCTTACAAGATCTGATGGTTTTATAACGGGTTTCCCTTTCATTTGGCTCTCATTCTCTCTTGTCTGCCACCATGTAAGACATGCCTTTCACCTTCTGCCATGATTGTGAGGCCTCCCCAGCCACGTGGAAACGTAAGTCCATTAAACCTCTTTTACTTTATAAATTACCCAGTCTCGGGTATGTCTTTATCAGCAGCATGAAAACAGACTAATACAGTAGGTAAGAGGTTAATTTCCTAAAATCAACTATCACCCTTACTGTTTATTAGTAATAAATAGGTGTCAGTCAACACAAATGGGATAAAATATACACTGCTGAAAGGAAGGTAACAAAATTGCTGCAATTTGTAGACAAAGTCATTGCAGGGATAAAGAGCCTAAGAAAATCACTGGAAAAATCCATGACTGCTGTCTGTGTTTTCCCAAAATTCATATACTGAAATCCTAACCCCCATTGTGATGGTATTAGGAAGCGGGCCCTTTGAGAGCTGATTAGATCCTGAAAGTGGAGACTCATAAAAAGGATTAATCCCCTTATCCCAAGGGATGAAGGGATAAAAGGACCCAAGGAAATCAGTTGATATTCTGCAATCTGGGAGAGGGCCTTCACCAGAACCTTCTAGAACTGTAAGCAATGCATTTCTCTTGTTTATAAGCTACCTGGTCTGTAGTATTTAGTTACTGCAGCCGAAACCACCTAGACTCTTGCTAATGAGAGAATTCAATAAGGCAGCCAGATGAAGCCCAAAATTCCAAAGCCATTTTCCATCATACTGGCAGAAAGGGGTTAGAAACATTTAATGAAAAATTAAAATCAGGTGCGGTGGCTCACATCTGTAATCTCAGCACTTTGGGAGGCCGAGGTGGGCGAATCACCTGCATTCAGGAGTTCAAGACCAGCCTGACCAATATGGTGAAACTCCATCTCTACTAAAAATACAAAAATTAGCCAGCATGTGGTGGCGCGTGTCTGTAATCCCAGCTACTCAGGAAGCTGAGGTAGAAAAATTGCTTGAACCCAGGAGGCGGAGATTGCAGTGAGCCAAGATCGCGTCACTGCGCTCCAGCCACAGAGGAGACCCTGTCTCAAAAAAAAAAAAGAAAAGAAAAGAAAAGAAAAAGAAAAAGAAAAGAAAAGGAAAGGAAAGGAAAATTAGCCAGGCGTGGTGGCTAATGCCTGTAATCCCAGCACTTTGGGAGGCTGAGGTGGGCGGATCATGGGGTCAAGAGATCAAGACCATCCTGGCCAACACAGTGAAACCTTGTCTCTTCTAAAAATACAAAAATTAGCTGGGCGTGTTGGCACGCACCTGTAGTCCCAGCTACTTGGGAGGCTGAGGCAGGAGAACTGCTTGAACCCGGGAGGCAGAGGTTGCAGTGAGCCGAGATGGCGCCACTGCACTCCAGCCTGGCGACAGAGTGAGATTCCGTCAAAAAAAAAAGAAAAAAAACAAAAAAGAAAGAAGGAAAATTAAAATCCTATTCACCATGGCAATATAGGAAAAAACAAAAAAAAACAAAAACAAAAAACCAGACAGCAGTACCTCCACAAGACAGTATAGGGCCTGCTCCCCAGTGTCTGGCTGGGAGGAGGTCAGGAGTGTGGGGATCAGGGCCCACTGACCAGAGAGTCAGGTGGCTGTAGCCACCTCCCTGGTCTCTTGGCTGCACCGTTGAACCTCTGAACTCTGCGCTGTGGGTCAAGAGCATTGGAGCCGTGGTCAGAGGCTCCTCCAGGACACCATCCCTGAAGCACAGGAAGACCCCTGTTCCCTCTCCTGAACCTGCCTTTGATCACTTCTGGTTTGGGGTTTGAAGGGATTTACCTGACTGACCCCAAGAGGTCCCCATCAGCTTCCATGCCTGTCTCGCTCCTTTCTCTGCTTCCTCTGAAGTTTAACAAGTTCAGGGCCAAGATTCTACTTCTGATAGCATCCATCCTAATCATCTTTCCTTTCTCTCCTGTTTGCTTCATTGAGAGAGAGTCTCACTCTGACACCCAGGCTGGAGTGCAGTGGCACGATCCTAGTGATCCTCCCACCTCAGCCTCCCAAGTAGCTGGGACCACAGGTATGCACCACCAGACCCAGCTAATTTTTAGGTTTTTTTTGTAGAGACAAAAAAATGTTGCCCACACTGGTCTTGAACTCTGAACTCAAACAGTTCTCAGCCTCTCCAAGTGCTGGGATTACAGGCATGAGTCACCATACTCAGCCCATTTAGATAACTTTCAATGAAAATTCTGCACCTTCCTGGGCGTCTACAGTTCACATCATACCCTATGGGTTAAACACTTGAGGATAAGTAGATTGAATAAAAAAAATACTTTTAAATATAATTTGGGAAGGTTCTATGGAACAGAGATATGAAACCAGTGGTGCCAGGACTTTCCCGATAATGTGACCAGTGATTTTTCTCTTCTCCCCACCTACAGCCGCTGGTCAGCTCATCTCAGCTACAGGCTGAAGTACCAGCCATGAGGTTATTTTGAAGCAATTTTTTAAAATTACTTTTAATCGGCCGGGCACGGTGGCTCAAACCTATAATCCCAGCACTTTGGGAGGCCGAGGCAGGCGGATCATGAGGTCCTCTTGAGACCATCCTGGCCAACATGGTGAAATCCCATTTCTACTAAAAATACAAAAATTAGCTGGGTGTGGTGGCGGGTGCCTGTAGTGCCAGCTACTCAGGAGGCTGAGGCAAGAGAATCACTTGACCCAGGAGGCGGAGGGTGCAGTGAGCCGAGGTCGTGCCACTGCACTCCAGCCTGGCAACAGAGTGAGACTCCGTCTCAAAAAACAAAACAAAACAAAAATTACATTTAATCAATTTATTTTTTGTGATCATAAAATCATTTCAGACTTTTTCCCAAAATATGAGTTTTCAGCATATTAACTGGACATAAGGCTGGTATGTGGAGAGCAGCATCTGTGACAGTCCTGCCTTGCGCCTCCTGCAGCCTCTGCAGCAGAGGGTCATACAGTGGCTTTGGGTGACAGCTGCCACTCAGTGGTCTCCAGTGAGTTCTTTTCCTCCTGGCAGCTGGCAGCTGCATTAATTTTGATTTTAGGCTTTATTTATTTATTGATTGATTTTGAGACAGAGTCCCCTTCCGTCACCCAGGCTGGAGTGCAAGGGCGTGATCTTGGCTCACTGTAACCTCCGCCTCCGGGGTTCAAGCAATTCTCCTGTCTCAGCCTCCTGAGTTGCTGGGATTACAGGTGCACGCCACCACGCTTGGCTGATTTTTTTGTATTTTTAGTAGAGACAGGGTTTTACCATAATGGTCAGGCTGGTCTCTAACTCCTGACCTCAGGTGATCCACCTGCCTCGGCCTCCCAAAGCACTGGGATTAAAGGCATGAGCCACTGTACCCGGCCGGCTTTTATACTCTCATATCAACTTTGTGCTCCATTTACCATAACCATGGGCGTGTGAACTAGAAATGCTTTAAATTCCAATCACTTCTCCCCTTTTTGTTTTTGCCCCTGAAAACAATTGTTGGATAATGTAATTTTGCTAATTTGAGATTTTTTTTTTTTTTTTTTTTTTTTGAGACAGGATCTGGCTGTCACCCAGGCTGGAGTGCAGTGACGTGATCATGGCTCACTGCAGCCTCAACCTCCTTGGCTCAAGTGATCCTCCTGCCTCAACCTCCCCAGTAGTTGGGACCACAGGTGCATGACACCACACCCAGCTAATTTTTTTAT
This sequence comes from Homo sapiens, assembly GCF_000001405.40. Lineage (NCBI taxonomy): Eukaryota > Metazoa > Chordata > Mammalia > Primates > Hominidae > Homo > Homo sapiens. The sequence goes on from NC_000007.14 coordinate 72,013,428, forward strand.
TTTTGGTAGAGACAGAGTCTCACTATGTCGCCTAGGCTCCTGTCAAACTCCTGGGCTCAACTGATCCTCCTGTCTTAGCCTCCCAACGTGTTGGAATTACAGACAGGAGATACCATGCCCAGACTAATTTGAGATTTTGTTAACTTTACTGAATAATAACAGAATAGACCGTATAGCCTAATACAAACAAGTATAAAGAAAAAATTATTCACTTTTGTGCCAGTCAAAATAAGTACAATCAGAATTTTTTCCATTTTTTTCTATGACTATAAATGGATGCATAATAGATTAATATAATGGGCATAATAGATGTAGGATGGTAATGTAATTATACTGTAAATTCCATCTCTATCTTGGCTTTTCCATTTACTATAAAGTGAAAATATTATTTCTAACAATTATATAATATTTTATCTTTATAATTGCATTTTCCTACATCTCTGACTGATTTTATATGGTAGATTACTAAATGTAGAAAATTATTTTAAATCACAGGGTTTGAACATATTTTAAATTATAGGGCTTTAAAAATTATGGCCAAGTGTCACCAAATAGTTTTCTGAAAAGTTGTATGATTTACAAATTTACATTTCTACAAAGAAATTGTAAATACATTTCTTTCTATTTACATTTCTATCAGTGTTATATGAGTTGGCTCTTTTTTTTTTTTTTTTTTTTAGATGGAGTTTCACTCTATTGCCTAGGCTGGAGTACAGTGGCTTGGTCTCAGCTCACTGCAGCCTCCGTCCCCTGGGCTCCGGTGATTCCCCTGCCTCAGCCTCCCAGGTAGCTGGGACTACAGATGTGCGCCACCACGCCCAGCTAATTTTTGTATTTTTAGTAGATACAGGGTTTCACCATGTTGGCCAGGCTGGTCTCAAACTCCTGACCTCAGGTGATCCGCCCACCTCAGCTTCCCAAAGTGCTGGGATTACAGGCGTGAGCCACTGCAACCAGCTGAGTTTGCCTATTTTATCTTGCTCCTGACAACTTTGAGTATTACATGATTTATTTTCCATTCTGAGAAGATAACTGTTAACCAATCCCTATTTTAATTAACATTTCTAAGATTTCCGGTGAGGTCGAGCTGTTTTAATGTTTATTTCAAATGTCTATCAGTTGTCTATTGCTCTTTATCCCATTTATTGTCAAGAGGTTTCACATAGCTTTAGAAATGTTCTGTACCTGTGTTTTATTCTACAAATTGCCATATTTTTGCCAGTTTGTTAGCTTTTCTGTTTGTTTACTTTTTGAGACAGGGTCTCGCTCTGTTGTCTAGGCTGGAGTGCAGTGGCATGATCATGGCTCCCTGCAGCCTCGACCTCCCAGGCTAAATTGATCCTCCCACCTCAGCCTCCCTAGTACCTGGGACTACAGGCATGTCCCACCATGTCTGGCTAATTTTTGTATTTGTTTGTAGAGTCAGGATCTTGCTTTGTTACCCAGGCTGGTCTCAAACTCCTGGGCTGAAGCGATCCTCCGCCTCAGCCTCCCAAAGTGCTGGGATTACAGGCGTGAGACACTGCGTCCAGCCTTTGTTAGCTTTTTAAATATTCTTATAATCTAATAGTATAAGTTAGTATTATTTGATTGTTCCATTGCCTCCAATGCTTAGAAAATTATTTCCTACTTAGAAATTAGCTACATATTGATAGGTAATTTCTCCACCTTTTCAAAACAGTTTAAAATTATAGTGTTAAATAGACTAAAGATCAATTACACTTATGAATAAGGATAACTAAAAGAAAAACCCAAATTACCAAGCCTGGAAGGAAGCAAGGGTCAGAACCAGATCAGTAAAACTAACTCGCTGCCTTGTCCCAAATGTCAGGCTCATTAAAATCCTGTAACTAAGTGGATCTCAAACTCAAGCCAGCGTTGACGTCACCCAGAGGGCTAATAGAAACAGATTGCTGGGCCATAGGCCTGGAGTTTCTGATTCAACAGGTCAGTATTGAATATTCAATTTAATAGGTGGGGCCCAGGAGTTTGCATTTCTTTCTTTCTTTTTTTTTTTTTTTCTCTTTTTGAGACAGGCTCTCACTCTTGTCGCCCAGGCTGGAGTGAGGTGGTGCAATCATGGCTCACTGCAGCCTCAACTGCCTGGATTCCGACAATGTCCTCACCTCAGCCTCCAGAATAACTGGGACTACAGGCATGTGCCACCACGCCAGGCTAATTTTTTAAATTATTATTTCTAGAGATGGGGTTTTGCTATGTTGCCCATACTGGTCTTGAACCCCTGTGCTCAAGAGAGCCTCCCACCTCTGCCTCCTAAAGTGCTGGGATTATAGGTGTGAGTCACTTGCTGGGCCAGAATTCCCATTTCTAACAAGTTCCAGGTATTACTAATGCTGCTGGTCCAGGAACCACACTTTGAGAACCACTGTTAACATGAATGCTTCCCATATTCCATTTTTCCACACTTGGTAAGATCCCTGTGGGGAATGAAGGCTTGCTGTCAGTCTAGCAGGCCTTGATATAGACATCACTGCTGAAAACTATTAAGGTTCCATTAGATGATTAAGAATGGAAGAGAGGCCAGGCACGGTGGCTCACACCTGTAATCCCAGAACTTTGGGAGGCTGAGGCCGGCACATCACCTGAGGTCAGGAGTTCCAGACCAGCCTGGCCAACACGGTGAAACCCCGTCTCTAACAAAAACACAAAAATTAGCTGGGTATGGTGGTGGGCGTCTGTAATCCCAGCTACTTGGGAGGCAGAGGCAGGAGAATTGCTTGAACCCAGGAGGTGGAGGTTGCAGTGAGCTGAGATTGCGCCCCTGCACTCCAGCCTGGGCAACGGAGTGAGACTCCATCTCAAAAAAAAAAAAAAAAAAAGTCACTGTCAATGATTGAATATATTTCCTTCCAGTCTTTTTATGCATAACAGATTTGCAGTCACATTGTATTATAGCTTTTTGTATGTAATATTTCCTTCACATGTCACAACCATGAAATGCAAATGCTCTCAACTGTCCATGGGTCAAGAATTTTATTTATTTTATTATTATTATTATTATTTTTTGAGACAGAATCTCCCTCTGTTGACCAGGCAAGAGTGCAGTGGCATGATTATAGCTCACTGCAGCCTCAACCTCCTGGGCTCAGGCAATCCTCCTGCCTCAGCCTCCCGAGTAGCTGGAACTACAGGTATGTACCACCATGCCTCGCTAATTTTTGAATTTTTTGTAAAGAAAGGGTGTCACTCATTGCCTGGGCTGCTCTTAAACTCCTGCTTTGGCCTCCTGAAGTGCTGGGATTATAGGTATGAGCCACTGTGCCAGGCCTAAAGTCAGTAATTTTAAAACCAAACCACCTGCCCATCTCTGCCATCACGGTGGGACCAGCTTATAAAATGTCCCAGACAAAAGCCTGGGCCTGGGCTGGGAAGAACTAGGTTTTGCATGAGGACCTGAGACAGAGATCAAGATTCCTAGACCAGGCTGGGCACGGTGGCTCATGCCTGTAATCCCAACACTTTGGGAGGCCAAGGTGAGTGGATCACTTGAGGCCAGGAGCTCAAGACCAGCCTGGCCAAGGTGGCAAAACCCCGTGTTTACTAAAAATACAAAAAAAAAAAAAAAAAAAGCTGGGTATGGTGGCACACACCTGTAGTCCCAGCTACTTGGGAGGCTGAAGCATGAGAATCACTTGAACCCGGGAGATGGAGGCTGCAGTGAGCCGAGATGATGTAACTGCACTCCTGCCTGGGCAACAGAGAGAGACTCTGTCTCAAAAATTAAAAAAAAAAAAAAAAAAAAAGAGTCCAGGACCAAAGCAGAAATGGAAAGCCACAGGAGACACGAGACCACAGCAAGAACTGGGATGGAGAGACAAAAGGTAAAGCCTTTCCGGAAAGGTTTCTGGGGAGTAGATGCAGGTATTTTACTGCACCTGCTGCATATTCTCCCACCAGATGAGTGAGGATTGGACAGCAGCAGACCTATGATTGATAACCAGGGAGAGGCAAAGCAAGTCAGCGTGGCAAACAGACTTTCATCCCAACCAAATTGGGGAACGAGTACCCTATGCACTTTCAGGCTAGGGTAATTTACAATGTCTTGCACATTGCACACAGCTGTGGGATAAACAAGCTATTCTAAAGACCAGCTTGCAGAATGGCTCCCTGGACTTCGTGTGTGCTCGGGAGTATTGCCCAAAAGTCCTGAGCATGCAAAAAGACCAGGGAGCTATTATGGGCTTCTTGTCTCCCGACCTTTAGCCCCGGACTCATTCCAACACGACCAGCACCATCCAATGAGCAGATCTATTTGCTCACAAACTGTGAATATTTCATTTCTTAAAACAGAAAGTCTAAATTAGTGAAGTCTTCATGAATAAGGTTTGATTGTGAATAAGATTAAAAATGTGAGCAAAGGAACCCAGTTCTACATGAGATGTTTTCGGCGTCACTCTGGCCGAGGTGTTCTTGAACCTCACGGTGGCAAAAGTAAGACACACAAACAGCTCAGCTCTCCTCACCAAGTGTGGGACTCATTTCTCTGTTTCTTCAGAGGGAAAAGAGGTTAACAGAAGTGTTGGCTGGCCCCCAGGACTGGCAGACCTGTTTAATCTCCCATGATCCTTTCACATATGCTCTCTATAGCTTGCTGTCTGCAAACTCATGGCAGAACACGGTTGCACGGGGCTTGAGGTCAAGCAGAAGAAAATGAAAAAGGCTGCTGGGGTAAATTCATGAAAACACCATGATAAAATAGCAGGGCTCTTTCCTCTGCCACTTGGGGACATCTACTGTATCATAAGCCTCTTATTCTTGGATACAAGTAGGCACATGATGTGTGGCGTAAATAAATGGTGGAAAAGCAGGGACCCTGAGGACCGTGCTTGACTTCTTGGCAGGTGCAATTAACCTGCAGCATTGAGCAGGAAGCCTACCCCCCAGTCCTGAGTCTCAGCCCCGCTCAGTCCCTTCCTTCCCTCCTCTCCTCTCTGCCATTCCCATATACCATATCCTAAGGCTGACTCCATACACAGTTTCACATTTCCTCAGCAAATATACCACTGCAGTAACAAAAAAACACACAGAAGCTTGATGAACGAAGACTAAGAACACAATCACAGCTTTACAACTTATGCATAGGAAAGCGGTTCTGAACTGGCTGCCAAGAGTCTCACACCCAGAGGGCTGAGCGTATGCCGGGAGGACTGGAGACCCTGGGGCATGACTCTCAGACCATCCTCCCCGGAAAGGAAGCCGCATTTGTAGCCAACTATATTCCCCCTTCACTGTTAATCAATTTCCTGCAAAGAGCCAGGGGCTCATAACTTTTGCGACTAGTACCAACCAATAAATAGCTGTTTTTGCTGAATCCCATTTGATTTTATTCTACCCTTGGCACTATAGGCTAGAACACCAGTAAGGAAAGCACTGGAAAAAAATTATTTTATTTATTTATTTATTTTTGAGACAGGGTCTTGCTCTGTCACCCAGGCTGGAGTGCAGTGGCTCGATCTCAGCTCACTGCAACCTCCACCTCCCAGAATCAGATGATTCTCATGCTTCAGCCTCCTGAGTAGCTGGGATTACAGGCGATTACCACCATATCCAGCTAATTTTTTTTTTTTGTATTTTTTTTTTTCAGTAGAGATGAGGTTTCACCATGTTGGCCAGGCTGGTCTCAAACTCCCCGCCTCAACTGATCCGCCCACCTCGGCCTCCCTAAGTGCTGGGATTATAGGCATAAGCCACCCTGTCTGGCCTGGAAGAAGGATTTTATTAGGAAAAGGCACCTAGTGCTTGATAGGATTGCTTCTCAGTGATACAGAGAATAGCCTTGGTTATAGGTTTCCTCTAAGGTAGGAAGAAACCCAAGCCTGGGGAAAATGGAAGGCTTGGGGCAGCAATGTCAGATCAGAAGTTGAAGTCCAATTACAGAATCTTTACCCTTTATGGTAGCTAGCCTCCAAAGTGATCCACAATGGCTCCTGCCTCCTGGCATTCACCGGGAGGCTGTTCTCTCCCACACTTAATAGGGATGACCTGTGTAACCAAGAGAATATTGCAGAAATGATTGTGTCCAACTTGATAGCTAGGGCATAAAAGATATCATTGCTCTTGCCTAGCACTGTCCTGGATCACTGGCTTTGAGGGAAACTGGCTGCCATGTCAGGAGGACACTCAAGCAGCATTGTGGCAAGGTCTGTGCAGTAGGGACCTGAGGGCTCCCGTCAACCACCAGCGTCACCTTGCCAGCCAGGTGAGTGAGCCACCAGGAAGCACATCTTCCAGTCCAGTCAAGCCCAAGGCTGGTCACAGCTCCAGCCAGCATCTTGGCTGCAACTGGATTAGAGACCCTGAGCTAGAACCACCCAGCTCAGCCAGCTTTCAAATTCCCAACCCACAGAAACTAAGTGAGATAGAAAATATTTAGTGTTGTTTTCTGGCCCTAGATTTTGGTGTAATGTATTATGCAGCCAAAGACCACAAATATATACCCTTCTAGAAGTAGTCTCAGGTCTGTTTCCACGGAAAACTGACTATGTCACTGATGGGAAGCCTTGCTAGAGTCTCTTAAGTAGGATGGTCTTCTTTCAAGGATATCAGTACCTCCTAAGATCAATATCTTCTGCCTGGATATCTGGAGGTGAAAAGCTACTTTTCCTATTTTTTATTTTTGTTTTATTTTTTGAGACAGGTCTCAGTCTGTCAGCCAGGATGGAGTGCAGTGGCACAATCACAGCTCACTGCAGCCTCAAACTCCTGGCCTCAAGCAATCCTCCTGCCTCAGCTCCAGAGCAGCTAGGACTACAGGTGCATAACACCATGCCCAGCTAATTTTTCAATCTGCTTTAGAGACAGGCTCTCACTGTGTTGGGAAAGCAACCTTTCTGCTTCTTTTTTGTATATTATCTTCAATCACTTCAAGGAAGGAAACACACATGTATATATATGTGCACACACACACATGCACACACTCAGCTTTCTTCTAAACCTGAAAAACCACCCAAGCACTGGGAACCTGAACTCTTTTCCAGAAACAAGCCAATGCTGTAGAAGTTTTAAGTACCATTTTTTCACGCTGTCTCTGAAGGGGCAGGCAGTCGCAGGGGGAAGAAGGGGAGGCTGATTACTGAGAATTGATGGATGTTTTTGTTCTTGCTTGCTAGTCGTAAAATTCTGAGCTGGGTGAGCACTAGCAGGAGAGGAAAGCCACAGCCACTAAGTCTGTGACTTCCAGCATTGATTTAAATATTTCAAGATGGAATTTTCCCTCCTTTCTCCAGCCTATCTTTTCACCCTGAGTGGGGAAGAAAATCTTGAGTAAGACAAAAACATGGAGACTTTGTGAGCATTATAGCATGTCTGAATTAAGCTACAGGCAGTCCATATATTGTAAGAGATATATTTCCTTGCAGTGTACACGCTCTACTGTGATGAACCTGGAAGACAGGAGGAGTAGGAGTGTAGATTAAGTAGCCATAGCTCCTTCTCATCCAGATGAGGGCCAGAAAGAAGAATGCTTAGAACTCACAAGGCCTTGGAACATTCTCCTTAGTTGGCCCTAAGGATGGAGGTAAAGAGTAGGAAGCATTCAGGGGCTCAGGTGCCATGGCTCACTCCTGTAAACTCAGCACTTTAGGAGGCCAAGGCAGGAAGATTGCTTGAGGCTAGGAGTTTGAGACCAGCCTGGGCAACATAGCAAGACACCATATCTACCAAAAAACACAGAAAAATATAGCAGGGTATGGTGGCTTGCACCTGTGGTCCCAGCCACTTGGAAGGCTGAAGTGGGAGGATCACTTGAGTCCAGGAGTTCAAGGCTGCAGTGAGCTATGGTTGCATCACTACCCTCCAGCCTAGGTGACGGAATGAAACCCTATCTCTAAAATACACAAAAAACAAGCAAAAAGGCATTCAGGAGAATAGATGGAGAATGAGAGAAAGAAGAAGGAGAAACGCCCAGGGGAGAAGCAACTCGCCAAGGCCCATCATCAGAGTGGACCTCCATGGGTCAAAAGATGGCCAGATGGGAAACAATATTCCTTCATCTTCTGAACTCTGGGGTCATTTCTTATTTCCACCAGGGGACTCTACCTATTGGTCCTTGCAAGTGTCAAGTCATAACTGAAGGTTCCATGAGCACTGCAATATTCTCCTTGCATGGTGAGTAGGGTCCTGGAGATGTTCTGGATCCTAACAACAGTTCAGGGAGATGGCGTTTTCCTGTCAGCAGTGGGGGATTCACGAGCCCCTGTCTCACTCTCCCCTGATCCTGGATGTCCTCTGGGACCAGGTCCCATCTCTCTGCTCATCCTCTTTTATGCACCTTCCCTCGGTGAGCTCATCCTTGCCTATAATTTTACCCACCAGCTCTCATGAATCTCAATCCGGTGTTCCAGCCCCAACTGATTTCAGCTGTGCATAGACTTCCTCCCTTTACTTGGCTGCTTGACCCTCACCTTCTACTCAGCATGTCCAATTGAGGATTCAACCCCACAAGACTTCTCTGTTGCTCCATGATCTGACCCCTGCCAATAACAGCAAGTTGGGAACTCTGGAATCAGCCTCACCTCTTCTGTTTCTTCAGGCCCTAAATCCATTCTGCCAGTGGGTTTTGAGGTCTTGCCCTTCAAACGGTATCTTAGTCATGGTCAATGACTTCCCCATGCCAACCCCTTTTCAAACTCTCATCATGGCAGAACTGAAATGCCCTCTTTTCTTTCTTTGCATTTAATTCCACCCATACTTCAAGGTTCAAAGCAAGTGTCACATTCCCTAAATTCTTTTCTGACCCTTCAAGACTGTATTTTCCTCCTTTCTTGCCCTTCCATTCATCTATTGAAACAAATAGTTATTGAGGGCTTGCTGTGTACAGCATGCACAGAGTGAGCTACAACTCTGAAGCCCTGTGCTTCAAGGAGTTACAGTCTAGTGACCATCACACTAATTAATCACTTGTTTGTTTTCCCTCTCTTAATTGTGTTTCCCTAGCCAAATTATTATTTTTGTTTGTTTGTTTGAGACAGGGTCTTGCTCTGTTGCCCATGCTAGAGTGCAGTGGTGTGATCATAGCTCACTGCAGCTTTGAACTCCTGGGCTCAAGCGATCTTCCTCCCTCAGCCTCAAGAGTAGCTGGGACTACAGGCATGCGCCATCACATTTGGCTAATTTTAAAAATTGTTTGCAGAGACGGGATCTCGCTATGTTACCCAGACTGGTCTTGAACTCCTGGCCTCAAGCGATCCTCCTGTCTTGGCCTCCCAAAGCACTGGAACTACAGGCATGAGCCACCAAATTCAGCTTCCCCAGCCAAATTGTGAAATAGCTAGGTCTGAGTCTTAAATGCCTTTTGTAAAACCCACAAGCACTGATAGATTATAGCATATGTAAGTTCTTACTAAATACTTGTTGGTTCTATGCAAGATGGGTACCTGAATAAGACTAGAAAGACACACCAACTGCAACCCTTATCTAGGTTAGAGAAATCTCCTGGTGAAGGGAAAAAACAAAAAATAAAATAAATAAAATTAAAAAAAAAAAAAAAAGAAATTTAAAAAAAAGAAAAATCATGCTGTGTCTGAATGGCGTTTTACGTGTCTAACTGGTAATTTAATTTAATTTGACAGACAACTTACGTGATTCAAATTTTTTAAAATAATGATTGATAACCCACTCCCTAAATTTTATAATCATAAAATAATTGTCACATTTTAAGAGTAGAGAACTAATATAAAAATGATTTCATTATACTTTAATAATTACAATGTTAGATGTTTGGAATTTCCTAAGAGATTTTACAAGATAGAAACAGGAGCTAATTGAGAAGCACTGAATACACATTCTTAGACAAAACCATTCTCTCTCATTAAGTGCAAGGATATTGACGGGATCCAAATGTACCAGGCAACCATGCCATTCTCTCAGCAAAGATATCCCGGAACTGGGGTCAAACACAGAACCGGTTCAGATAATATCAGTGTGCCCCTTTGAAGTGTCCCCAGGAAAAAGACTTTTGTGAATGTGCAGTAGAATAATTTCATTTTTCCCTAATGCAAAAAAAAATTGCTACAAGAAAAAAATGGGGAGATATTTCACTCCTCCAAACCCTAAAAAAGTAGTTGTTTTGATTCTTTGTTCTGGAACATATGTCGCTCAGCCCAGAAGAGATCTTCACGTGCCAAATAGAAGTTCAAGAATTCAGTCAAAAGTTAGTCTCAGACACATTTACTGTCAAACTTAGTCTGAAAAAAAATATTCTTACTCACCTGCCAGAATATGCTGTCTATCGTGTTCCCAAGAAAACCATCGCGACCTTCTGAAGACACCAGTTTGGGGCCAAGAATGGTCATGAATTCATCAAAATCCACCTGGCCATCCCCTGCAAGGAGAAGATGTAAATATGAGTTGCAAACAAGCTGAACTTGACCTACCGTACCTGATGCAATAAACACCTCTACGCTTTTCTTCTTGGCATGACCTCAATCAATGAAGAAGAGCTGGTAACATTACTTAAAACTGTTCAATGTTCTTCAATGACTGAAAGTACCACAAGAAACTGGCAATTATTAGTACAACCAAAACCACATATTCCTAAACATTTGACAGTATTTCTAGCTAAATGTCCAACCATCACTTCCCACTTAACATGGTTATACCTCACCCCTGCTTCTCCTTTTACTCCGAATTGCCCAGTTGTACATGATGGAAGTGGCAGCTTCACCCCATCTCTTCCACCATCCTTGTCACCCACATATACATGTAGTCATCAAGCCTTCTTGATTTCACCTCTTAAGTATCTGTGGTTGCTGTATCTTCCTCATTACTCAATGGCTAGTTCCCTTTTCAACCATGAAGGTGAGAAAATCCTTCTAAGAATTAATGTTCCTAGCTACGATTCTGTTATGAGTAGCACGGCTTTTACACTCTTACCTTCGCAGTCTCTTCTATGCAGTTCTGAGTTTAATTCCCCAAGACCAAATCTCATCATGCTTTCTATATTTGAACAGCACTTTTTTTGTTGTTTTTGAGATGGTGTCTTGCTCTGTTGCCCAGGCTGGAGTGCAATGGCGTGATCTCGGCTCACTGCAACCTCTGCCTCCTGGGTTCAAGTGATTCTCATGCCTCAGCCTCCAGAGTAGCTGGGATTACAGGAGCAAGCCACCAAGCCTGGCTAATTTTTGTATTTTTAGTAGAGACAGGGTTTCACCATGTTGCCCAGGCTGGCCTCAAACTCCTGACCTCAAGTGATCCGCCTGCCTTGGCCTCTCAAAGTGCTGGGATTACAGGAGTGAGCCACCATGCCCGGCCTGAACAGCACCTTTGACTGAAAATAGGGATACCACCTCAGCATAGTGTTCAAGCCTCACTATCTCTTTTGCATCAATTTGTCCCCAACCTTTGCATAAAATACAAGCTCCTTTACACCTCTGCGTGCATGTGTATGCCTATCCCTCTGTCCGGGATGCCTTCCCTCACTTGTCTATCTGGTGAATTCTCTTTCTCTAAGACGGAGCTGAAATGTCATGTTCTCTTTTTGTTTTGTTCCTGATCTCATTAGGCAGAACTGGTCGAACTTTTTTTCTCTCTCTCCTACTAACTCCATGTGTACCTACTGTAGAATTTAAAACCATGTATCCTGGCCAGGTGCGGTGGCTCATGCCTGTAATCCCAGCACTTTGGAAGGCCGAGGTGGGTGGATGACCTGAGGTCAGGAGTTCTTGACCAGCCTGACCAACATGGTGAAACCCTGTCTCTACTAAAAGTACAAAATTAGCTGGGTGTGGTTGTCCATGCCTGTAATCCCAGCTACTTGGGAGGCTGAGGCAGGAGAATCGCTTGAATCTGGGAGGCGGAGGTTGCAGTGAGCCAAGATCGCACTGCTGCACTCCAGCCTGGGCAATAAGAGCAAGACTCCATCTAAAAAAATAATAATAATAAAACAATAAAATAAAATAAAACCTTATATCCCAGTCACTGATTTGCATGCCTATCTCACAAGCAAAAGATTGTCAGTTCTGCAAGGTCAAGGACTTGGTCTGAAACATCTTTGTATATTGAACACCAAAGCAGGCATTCAGTATGTACTTGTACAATGAATGAATGATGTCTCTTGCTCGTTCTTTCTTTGTTCAATTCAGCATCTGCTGGATCTTTCATGCTAGAGCTGACAGTAATCAGAAGGTGGACTTGAGCCAACTCAACAGACAAGAGCGAACCTTCAAGGCATTGTTGGGTCCTCCAGGAGTCATCAGTGTAGCATTCTGCACCCTCTGAACTGCTCAAAAGGGCAACTCCATCAAAAGTTCACCACATCCCTACCTTGGCTGCAGCCAGCACAGACAGCCAGGTGTCTGCACACAAGAGTTTGTCCAAATGCCCACACATAAATCAATGCCCTCTCAGAGTGCATTCACCTTCAAAGAATATTCATTCAAAACCTATTTCACAATGCCAAGCAGATGTGAGCATCAAGATGCCAATAATTCAGAACAGATTGTCCAGGAACAGATTGTCCAGGAACAGATCCCAGCAGAGGTAAAATTTCCTAAAGGATTAGGGAGGCGTGGCAAGTCAATGGGAAAGGGAGGATTTAACCACCAAATGAAGAGGGGCAGTCGGTGGCCTCTGGAGAAGAAATTGATTTATCTTATCATCCAACAAGATAAGTCTAAAATTTCACTCTTGCTGGTAATCGTAAGAAAGCTAATTCAAGCAACGAGTTACCATCTTGCCTTCAAAATTATCAAATACTTCCAAAAGCACACTAGTCGATGCTGCCAGAAATACAGAGAGATCACCTCTATAATGCATTCCTGGTGTACTTGTCCCAGATATAGACAGGAAGTACCAATCAAGATCCTGTAAAGTGCTGTTTCCTTTGGATCTAACAATGCACTTAACAAAATAGAGGGGGGTTGGGTGAGGTGGCTCACACCTGTAATCCCAACACTTTGGGAGGCCGAGGCAGGTGGATCACCTGAGGTCAGGAGTTCGAGACCAGTCTGGCCAACATGGTGAAACCCCATCTCTACAAAAAATACAATAATTAGCTGGGTCTGGTGGCAGGTGCCTGTAATCCCAGCGATTCGGGAGGCTGAGGCAGGAGAATCGCTGAACCCAGGAGGCAGAGGTTGCAGTGAGCCAAGGTAAGACCACTGCACTCCAGCCTGGGCGACAGAGCAAGACTCTGTCTGGGGAAAAAAAAAATAGAGAGGGGGTCTTGCTATGTTGCCCAGGCTGGTCTTGATCTCCTGGGCTCAAGTGATCCTCCTTCCTCAGCCTCCCAAAGTGCTGGGATTACAGGCATGAGCCACCATACCTGACCTTAATAACTTCATTTTTAGAGAAAAAATAAAACAACATTTATCTTGAATATAGAACAAGATATTTGCCTACAGATAGATACTCAACTGGTATTTGTAAAAGTGAAAAGTAGAAAGCTAGAGGGAAAGGAGAATGGCCCAGTCTACCTAGAATTTGACACCTCTGAAAGCTAACTCCACGTGGCTCCACGTCTTGGATAGACATGCTTGTTACATTTGTGCAGTAACTCTCTGCTCACCCCAAATCACCTCCACTAGTCACAGGTGGGGCTGGATGGCCAAACAGTCTTGAACTAAACTATACATTCTCAAGAGTGACAGTATCACCCACAATGGGGTGAAAATGGCTTCTTAGGGAACAAAATAACATTAGCCAATGTTAGATATTACAATGGCTTGCGGCTCTTCTAGGGCTACAGTACATAATACACAGTGTATCTGTACAAAATTTCAAGAGGGTGGGACAACTAGAAAAATGCATATCTGAAAAGGTTCTTGGGAGGTGCTTATTTAAAAAAAGAAGAGGAAGGTTAAGAAGCACTGGACTAGGAGACGCCCCAAGTACTGTGGTTCTTTTGCCCAGGTACTCCCTCTGGAATGTCGGTCTATCAGCAGTGGGCATCATCTCACTATCTGCACCCACAGTGAGGTCTAACTGTTCATAGAGGCTTAGAAGCTCAAGGACACGAATCTATTTTTGCAAAGACATCATGAGGGCCAGGTGCAGTGGCTCATGCCTGTAATCCTAGCACTTTGGGAGGCCGAGGAGGGTGGATCACTTAAGGCCAGGAGTTTGAGACCAGCTTGGGCAACATGGTGAAACCCCATCTCTACTAAAAATACAAAAATTAGCCAGGTGTGGTGGCGGGCACCTGTAGTCCCAGCTACGTGGGACGCAGAAGCAGGAAAATCACTTGAGCCTGGGAGGCAGAGGTTGCAGTGAGCTAAGATGGCACCACTGCACTCCAGCCTGGGTTGACAGAGTGAGACCCTGTCTCAAAACAAACAAACAAACACACACACACACACACACACACACACACACAAAAACACATGAGACCTGGCCGGGCGCGGTGGCTCACGCCTGTAATCCCAGCACTTTGGGAGGCCGAGGTGGGCGGATCACGAGGTCAGGAGATCGAGACCATCCTGGCTAACACAGTGAAACCCCGTCTCTACTAAAAAACACAAAAAAATTAGCCGGGCGTGGTGGCGGGCGCCTGTAGTCCCAGCTACGTGGGAGGCTGAGGCAGGAGAATGGCGTGAACCCGGGAGGCGGAGCTTGCAGTGAGCCGAGATCGCGCCACTGCACTCCAGCCTGGGCGACAGAGCGAGACTCCGTCTCAAAAAAAAAAAAAAAAAAAAAAAAAAACACATGAGACCTGATCTAAGATATGCCCACCAGGCTGCTCCTGACCGTGATATAATGGGCACCATTCTCTCCCACTTGGGAACCTCATAGTTTACGAGATGTGGCAAAACCCATGCTTGCCAGCACCAGGAGAACGAGGCTGTCTTTGAACAGTGCACCTTCAAGGTAGCAAGAGGAGCAAGACCACCCACCTCTGAAACCTCGACTCAGGGTGCAGGGAGCGCAGCAGTTTGGAACTGGTGCATTTCACAGGTCCACATGGAGCTCTGGGCCAAATCATCACAGTACCAGGCAGTGCTCACAGATGGTGCACTTGGCTGGGAACTACAGACCAAAAGCTGACAAGCAGAAATGATGCTTCTGAAACACATCTTGGTCCTGGCAAAGGGAGCAGCTCATTTGCTATTCCAAATTGTTGGCCAGAGAAGAAGCGATGGAGAAGGGCACTCAGGATCCTATGGGCAGGGCCAACTATGGCGTGGAGTACACGTGACTTGGCAGAAGAGGTACAGATCATGGAAATATTTGCTTCTAGTCATTTAGGAGAGGACGTTTGGAATTCCAGATTGGCCAATGTATGTTTTTCGCTTGTGATACTTTGATTTATAATAAGAAATGCATATTGGCCAGGCGCAGTGGCTCATGCTGTAATCCCAACACTTTGGGAGGCCGAGATGGGTGGGTCACTTGAGGTCAGGAGTTTGAGACCAGCCTGGCCAACATGGTGAAACCCTATGTCTACCAAAAATACAAAAATTAGCTGGGTGTGGTGGTACAAACCTGTAATCCCAGCTACTTGGTAGGCTGAGGCAGGAGAATCGCTTAAGTCTGGGAGGTGGAGGTTGCAGTGAGCTGAGATGATGCCATTGGCCTCCAGCCTGGGTGAAAGAGCAAGACTCCATCTCAAATATATACATACAGATAGACAGACAGATATAGCTATAGAAATCTTTGTCTCTGTTTCCTGGTACACAGCTCATAAAACACTGATAATTCCCTAAGTAATAGAGTTGCAAAGAGCATCTTTTGTTCTAATATTTGGTCTTTTTTTTTCTTTTTGAGACAGAGTCTCACTCTGTTGCCCAGGCTGGAGTGCAGTGGCACGATCTCAGCTCACTGCAAGCTCCGCCTCCCGGGTTCACGCCATTCTCCTGCCTCAGCCTCCTGAGTAGCCCACCACCACACCCAGCGAATTGTTTGTATTTTTGGTAGAGATGGGGTTTCACTGTATTAGCCAGTGAAGATTAGCCAATCTTCTGACCTCGTGATCCGCCCACCTCAGCCTCCCAAAGTGCTGGGATTACAGGTGTGAGCCACCGTGCCTGGCCAATATTTGATCTTTGACCCCATTTCCTGGCCAGAACTCCTAAATCCTTTGGAATTCCCTGGGTGATAGGAATGTCTTTTGTTCTAATGAAGCACTTCTTGGTGGGCTTCCAGTGGGAGATGATCACCAGAAACACCAAACCATGATTAGAACCTTGGAAATTTCAGTGCCATCTCCCCAACCTCCAGGGAGGAAAGAGGAGCTGAAGACTAGGTTCATAATCAATCAGGCGCACATGATGAAATCTGCATAAAAATCCCTAATGTATGAGGTTCAGACAGTTTTCAGGTTGGTGAACACATGGAGATGCTGGGAGGATGGAGCTCTCAGAGAGGGCGTGGAAGCTGCATGTACCACTCCCATTACCTTACGCCTCTCTGCCTTTCCCTGAGTTGTATTCTTTTCTAACAAATGGGTAATAATTAGTAAAGTGCTTTCCTGAGTTATGTGAACTGCTCTAGTAAATGAATGAACCCAAGGAGGGAACCTCTGATTTATGGTCAGAAGCACAGGTGGCCACGTGGACTTTGAAATGGTGTCCTAAGTGGGAGCAATCTTGTGGGACTGAGCCCTTGACCTGAGGGACCTGATGCAAATGGAAATTGTCTAAACAGGTGCTCCTCAAATAATGTTAACTCCAGATAGATAGTAACAGATAGTAACGGAATTCAATTTAATTGTAGGACATCCAGTCCAGTGTTTGCAGATAATTGGGGAATTTCTTGGTGAGGGAGAAAAACCCACACTTTGGTATATTTTGTCTTGAGCGTTAGAGTATTGGGAAAACAGTCTTCTTTTCTCATGCACTCTCTTTGTTACTCAATGAGCAAAGGGGGATGTCTCCAGGCCCATGGTTGGAGGAACAATCAGGATAGGTCCCCCATATCTCCAGCTGTCTCCCGATATTTCTCAGCTCTGGTTCCTAAGTATGTAAGGACACAGCACATTTTCTGCAGACCTTCAGTAAATGAAGACTCTTCCCTCTAATCTACAATTCTATACCAACCCTACTGGTAACATAAACATTCAGATTTAGACTACAGAAATGACCTCTTTACCAGATTTTAATTTAACAGACAAACAGGGCTGGGAATACCCCCCAAAAGTTATCAGCATTGTACCCAGAGGTCTGATCCCTATGCCCCCACACCCTCAACCTTAGGGGAACGGAAACAAATAGAATCTCAGAGGTAGGTTTTACACTAAGTCCCTAAAAACCACTCCCAAGCTGCCAGGCTGAAGCAAGGTCCAGGAAACCTGATAATCATAATAATATCTAACATTTACTGGGCACGCACAACGTGGTGGACATGGTTTTTTAAAATACCCACACAATTTTTTTTTTTTTCTTAGAGGCAGGGTCTTGCTCTGTCACCTAGGCTGGAGTGCAGTGGTGCCATCATAGCTCACTGCAGCCCCAAACTCCTCGGCTGAAGGGATCCTCCTGCCTCAGCTTCTGGAGTACCTGGAACTACAGGAGCATGCCATCACACTTGGCCAATCTTTTAAAATTTTTTCAGAGACAAGGTCTTGCTATGTTGCCCAGGCTGGCCTCAAGCAATCTACCTGCCACCGCCTCCCAAAGTGCTGGGACATATACTAATTCATTTACATCTTCCTGCTGCCCATTTGACAAATGAGAAAACTGAGGCTCAAAGAGGTTCAGTAGCTTGCAGAAGCTTACGCAGGGAGTAGAGCTGAGATTCCAGCCCCAGCAGTCTGCCTGTGCTTTTTGTGACCTTTCAAAAGGTCACTCACTGACATGGTCTGTCTGGATCACTGTCTCCTGATCCCAGCTTTTCTTACCAAGCGAGTGCTATGGCGACCAGGTACACAGAGTCAAACTGAAATCTAAATGGCTCCCTGTGGTCTAGCTCTTGCATCTCAGGTCAGCCACCAGAGGCCATTCTTCATCATTTCAGAGAGTAATAATAAATAATAGGAACTACTTATTTAACACTTGCTATGTGCCAGGCACTGAGCTCAGGGCTTTACATGTATTCCCTTGTTGAATTCCATGCCAACACTATAAATAGGTTCTCCCCTTCCACATCTTATCAATGAGATAACTTAGAAAAAAAGAGGTTAAGAATAACTGTATCAAGGCCATGCAGCTACCATGAGGCAGAGTGGGGGCTCAGCTCAGAATCTTAATTGTTTTGTTTTCTGTTTTGCTAGAGACAGGATCTCACTCTGTCACCCAGAAGTGCAGTGGTGCAATCATAGCTCACTGCAGCTTTGAACTCCTGGGTTCGAGTGATCTTCCCACCTCAGCCTCACGAGTAGCTAGGACCACAGTTATGTGCCACCACGCCTGGCTAATTTTTTTTTTTTTTTTTTTTTTTTTGAGACAGAAACTCGCTCTGTCATCCAGGCTGAAGTGCAATGGCATGATCTTGGCTGATCGCAACCTCCGCCTTCCGGGTTCAAGTGATTCTCCTGCCTCAGCCTCCCAAGTAGCTGTGATTACAGGCACCCACCACCATGCCCAGCTCATTTTTTGTATTTTTAGTAAAGACAGGGTTTTGCCATGTTGGCCAGGCTGGTCTCAAACTCCTGACTTCAGGTGATCCGTCCGCCCTCCTCCACCTCCCAAAGTGCTGGGATTACAGGCGTGAGCCACCACACCTGGCTCCTGGCTTTTTTTTTTTTTTTTTTTTTTTTGAGACAGAGTCTCACTCTGTCACCCAGGCTGGAGTGCAGTGGCACGATCTCAGCTCACTGCAAGCTCTGCCTCCTGGGTTCACGCCATTCTCCTGCCTCAGCCTCCTGAGTAGCTGGGACTACAGGCGCCCACCACTGCGCCCAGCTAATTTTTTGTATTTTTAGCAGAGATGGGGTTTCATCGTGGTCTCGATCTCCTGACCTCGTGATCCGCCCGCCTTGGCCTCCCAAAGTGCTGGGATTACAGGCATGAGCCACCGCGCCCAGCTACTCCTGGCTAATTTTTAAATTTTTTGTAGAGACAGGGTCTCACTATGTTGCCCAGGCTAGTCTTGAACTCCTGGCCTCATGTGATCCTCCCACCTCAGCTTCCCAAAGCACTGGGATTACAAGCGTGATCCACTGCACCCGACAAGAACCCTGGTATTAACCCCCGTATTGTACTGCCTTCCCTTGATATCAGAGACCCCAGCCCTTGGTCCTGGCATAGGATCACAGGATCTCAAGCTCTTTTCAAAGTTTGAGAGTTATAGTATGTTTTCCTATCTGGGTGTTTAGGAAGAAAGTTAGTGGGAAATTGGGAGAGATAGCTATCAGGAGCTTTAATGCAAATGGCAATTGTCAAAACAGATGCTCCTTAAATCGCCTCTTTGTCTGCAGTCAGGATCTTAGTAATTCTCTATGGGTGCTCCATTCCCAGGGAGGGGATACAGGTCGTTCACAGAGAACCCTGCACACGTCTGAAGTCTCTTCCACCAGAAAAGAATTGGTCTGATGAACAAAACCTGTTCAGGCCCTGCAGGGTCCCATCAAACTGCCATTACAGAATCACATGCCCCCAAAAGACAATGGTGAGTCTCTTCCTAGATCTGCAACCTTTCATGGAATGCAGGAGGTCCTAAATGCAAAAGCTTTGATTAAATTCTTTTATCACTCTTGAATGAGCAAGTAGCTGCAGGAAGAAAGAATGTAATTCACTCAGACCAGGCCTCATTTTCCCTTCTCTAGCTTCCAAATATCATGATCCACTTAGCAAGAAGCACAGAAAGCTAGCCTGCCAAGGACTGTGTCTCGTGGTTTCCCCACTGCTATGTGAGTCAAAGTAATGAACTTGAACTAGGGCAGGAAGCTGCAGGAGTGCCAGGACTGTACAACATTCATTAAGACCAACCAGCCAAAATTCTCATAAGGAGGTAAAATAATCCTTAAAAAAATCACTGCAAAATAAAAGGGAGGAGAGGAATATACAGGAAAAGTGGGTGGGCTTCAAAGGGTAACAAGAAGAAAAAATGTCTATCTGAGACTCCATTCAAATTAGTTGATGAAATCTCCAAAGCATAAGGCGCAGCTTAGCTTCCAGGGGCTTGCAATCCATTACTCAAGGCAGAATGAAGGGAGTGCTATAATTGACCTAAAAGCATTGTGTTAAGGCAGGACAAAGTCAGGAACGCAGGGTCCAGACAGGTCATTTTCCATGATTTTGCAGTGAGCCTTTAAAAGAGGGAAGGATTCTAATGAATTGCAAAGGGAGATAAGCTGAGTGGCCTGAGCAATGGTGAGGATGCCAGGAAGGAGGGAAGGTGACCGACCACCCTTCATGCTGGATAGAGGATCCCCATAGGAAGAGAGCAGGACAAGCTGGGCCCAGAAGGTCAAGGCAGGCTGAGGGGCTCATCTTCGATGCAGAGTCAGTAGAACCTGCCCAGGCTTGGGTATGAAAGCGCCAGAACTTTGCTCACCAAAGATCAATCTGGGGACAGTATGAAGGTTAGACTTGGTGGGGTAGAGCTGACTGGGGAAAGGGTCTTAGTTAAGACAATAGGGAAGGCAGCCAGTGTGGAGGATGGGGATTGGAGAAGTCTGGATAAAAGAAAAGGGCATTTCAGATGGAACTAACGAGACATGGCAACTGACTGGAAGGGCAGGAGGCAAGAGTGATGCTGAGGTGTCTGGTTTGCGACACCAAAGGGACCATGAAACTAATTAGGAACAACAGGCCAGGTGCGGTGGCTCACGCCTGTAATCCCAGCACTTTGGGAGGCCGAGGTGGGCGTATCACAAGGTCAGGAGATTGAGACCATCCTGGCTAACACGGTGGAACCCCGTCTCTACTAAAAATACAAAAAAATTAGCTGGGCGTGGTGGCGGGCGCCTGTAGTCCCAGCTACTGGGGAGGCTGAGGCACGAGAATGGCGTGAACCCAGGAGGCGGAGCTTGCAGTGAGCCGAGATTGTGCCACTGCACTCCAGCCTGGGTGACAGAGCAAGACTCTGTCTCAAAAAAAAAAAAAAAAAGAAAAGAAAAGAAACTAGGAACAACAAAGAAGTCAGGAGGAGGACGTACTGGGGAAATGCTGGTTTCAAGGTGCAGGCAGGATGGTGTCAAGGAGTGCCTGACAGCTAAAAAAATGTGGATTTGAAAGTCTCCAGGATGTGCCCGGGAACGGTGGCTCACCCCTGTAATCTCAACACTTTGGGAGGCCGATCAGACAGATCACTTGAGGCTAGGAGATCGAGACCAGCCTGGCCAAGATGGCAAACCCCATCTACTAAAACACAAAAATTAGCCAGGCATGGTGGTGCTTGCCTGTAATTCCAGCTACTCAGGAGGCTAAGGCATGAGAATCGCTTGAACCTGGGAGGCGGAGATTGTGGTGAGCTGTGATCATGCCAATGCACTTCAGCCTGGGCGACAGAATGACAGAGTGAGACTCTGTCTCAAAAAAAAAAAAAAAAAAAAAAAAGTCTCCAGGATCTATAGGAAGATCCCTAAGATCTTCAAGATAGCTTCTCAAGTTGAAGAAGCAAGGTACAGAACTGTATTTTAGTATGCTACAATTTGGTTAAAAAAATGGGGAGGTCAAGGAGAATATATAGTCTGATTTCTCTGCATAAGTATTTATATAAAAATATCCAGACATGTACCCACTCCCGAAAAACTAATAATAGCAATTTATTCATTGGCACGTCTGGCAGGTGGGGCATAGGAATAGTAGAGCATGTTCTCATGACAGCTCCTTCTTTTTTCTTTTAGTAAAATATACATAATATAAAATGTACCATCACAACCATTTTTAGGTGTGCAGGTCTAGTATTAAATGCATTCATAATGTTGTGTAACCATTACCACCACCATCCATCCTCTGAATTCTTTTCTTCTTGCAAAACTGAAACCCCCACCCATGAAACCATAGCTCCTCATTCCCCCTACCCTCCAGCCCCTGATGACCACCATTCTACTTTCTCTCGGATTTTGACTACTCCAAGTATCTCATGCAAGTAGAATCATGTCCTTTTTGTGTCTGGCTTATTTCATGCATAAAGTCCCTCAAGGTTCATCCATGTTGTAGCATATGCCAGCATTTCCTTCCTTTTTTAGACTAATAAGGAGGAACTTACTTCTGTCATTTTCCTATTTGTTTCCACATGCCTTAAGGCTTTTGGTTCCTCATTTTCTGCATTGCTGTATTCTTTTGTGTGTAGTTGATCTTTTTGTAGTGAAATATTTAAATTCCTTTCTCATTTCCTTTTTGTGTATATTTTATATCTATTTTCTTTGTAGTTACCATGGGGATTACATTTAATATACTAAAGTTATACACTCTAATTTGGATTTATACCAGCTTAACTGCAATAACATACAAAAATACTACTCCTTTACATTTCCATTCCCACTCCTTTCAATTGTTGATGTCACAAAATTACCTCTTTATACATTACATGGCCCAAACCACAAACTAGTAATTTTTGAAAACGCATTAATGTCTTAAATTATGTAGAAAACAAAATGTAGAGTTACAAACCAATGTTACAATAATATTAGCTTTTATGATTGCCCACATAATTGCACCTTTATTGTGATCTTTATTGCTTCATATGGCTTCAAGTTACTGTCTAGTGTCCGTAAATTTCAGCCTGAAGGACTCTCCTTAGCCTCTGTTGCAGGGCAAGTCTAGTCATAACAAACTCCCTCAGATTTTTGTTTATCTAAAAATGTCTTAATTTCTCCCTCACCTTTGAAGGACAGTTTTGCTGGATATTCCATTCTTGATTGACAGGTATTTTTTTCTTTTATCATTTTGAACATATCAGCCCACTGCCTTCTGGCATCCAAAGTTTCTGGTGAGAAACATGCTGACAATCTTACTGACAATCTCATATGTGATGAGACACCTCTCTCTTACGGCTACAAAGATTCTCTTTGTCTTTGTCTTTTGAAAGCTGATAATGTGTCTTGCTGTGGGTCTCTTTGAGTTCATCTTACCTGGATATTGTCAATCTCCTTGAATGTTTAATATTTTTCATCAAATTTAGGAAGTGTTCAACCATTCTTTCTTCAAATATTCCCTCTGCTCCCTCCCCTATCTTCTCTTCCTCTGGGACTCCCACAATAGGTCAATTGGTCCACTTGATGGACACGATTCCTTAGGTTTTGTTCACGTTCCTTCAATCTTTTTTCTTTCATTTCCCCAGTCTTGGTAATTTCCTTTGTCCTATCTTCAAGTTTACTGATTGTTCCTTCTGCCTGTTTGAACCCTTCTAGTGAGTTTTTCATTTCCATTATTATACTTTTTGGCTTTAGAATTTCTCTTATGTTTCATTTTAGGTTTTCTATCTCTTTACTGATATAAACTTACTTCAAAATTATTTTCTTGACTTTCTCAATGTCTTTCTTTATTCTTTGTGTATTCGATCTGCTATCAGGTCTTTTTCAGGAACAGCTTATTTTTTTTTCCTTTGAATGGGCCATTCTTTCTTGTTTCTTTTATGCTTTGTGATTTTTTTTTTGCTGAAAACTGGATATGTTAATGTAATAAGTGGTATCTCTGGAAATCAGATTCTCCCCTCTCCCAAGGATTTATTTTTTGTTATTATTTTTGTCATTTTTTATTTGTTTTCATTTACTTGTATTGTTTTAGTTTTTGTTTACTGTTTTGGTTGTTGCCCAGGCTGGAGTGCAGTGGTGTGATCACAGCTCACTGTAAACTCAAACTCCTGGCCTCAAGCCATCCTCCCAAAGTGCTAGGAGCTAGGACTATAGGTGTGAGCCACCCTGCCTAGCCTTAAATATCTTTTCATAATTTTTTTTTTTTGAGACGCAGTCTCGCACTGTCACCCAGGCTGGAGTGCAATGGCGCAATCTCGGCTCACTGCAAGCCCCACCTCCTGGGTTCGCACTATTATCCTGCCTCAGCCTCCCGAGTAGCTGGGACCACAGGTGCCTGCTACCACCGCAGCTAATTTTTTTGTATTTTTAGTAGAGATGGGGTTTCACTGTGTTAGCCAGGATGGTCTCCATCTCCTGACCTTGTGATCCACCCGCCTCGGCCTCCCAAAGTGCTGGGATTACAGGCATGAGCTATTGCACCCAGCCTCCTTTCATAATTTTTGATAGTCGAACCATATCATTTATTACCTGTTTAAAAAATAAATAAAATGTAAAGACTAAACAATGAATTCAGTTGTTTGTATCCAGCCAGATGAACTCATCAAGGTTCAGAGGAAGGAAACACTGCAATCATCAGTGACCAGAACACAGATCCCTGATATTTCGAGGACAGGATGTTTTTATTTAACCTAGTTCTTGGAAACTGTGTGCAAGCTACTCCTGGAATGCATACACAGCTTCCTGAAACACTAGTACAGGGTTGTGGGTGGGGAATGGGGAGCTGTCTTTACCACCCAAGCCTGAATATCTTGTCTCTATGCCAATGATCAATCTGACTAAACTGAATGTCTTCTCAGGTCTTTTCTGTGCCTGTACATTTCCCTGGGCCTGTGTAGTCACTTTCTAGCGTTCCTTGTAGAGGCAATTGCTTTTGAATGTCCCACTCCTTAATGTCTGGCTCCCCACAGGGGGAAAATAAAAGTGGAGAAGTTGGGGAAGGCGAGATGGAGGAACAGGATACTGGACCTTAAAATCCCCTGAAAGCAACTTCAACCAGAGGGGAAGGGGCTTGCAATAGGGGGCCAGGTGCACCACCAATGGCTTCCAGCCTCTTTGTCTGCACCTCTGTAGTCAGAACCACTGATCAGTGGTCAGAACACACGTCCCTGATATTTGGAGAACAGGATGTTTTTATTTAACCGAGTCTCGCAAATTGTGTGCAAGCTACTCCTGGAATGCATACACAGCTTCCTGGAACACAAGTACAGTGTTGTAGGTGGGGAATGGGGAGCTGCCTTTACCCCACCCCCAAAGCTTCTCCTGGAAGTTTCAGGTCTCCATGGACTCCAGAATTCCCATTACATCAGCATGGCAAAAACTGCAATTACTTTTGCACCAACCTAGTATCTATTTTTTTTTTTTTCTTTTTTGAGATAGGGCCTTGTTCTGTCACCCAGGCTGGAGTGCAGTGGTGTGATCACAGCTCACTGTAACTTTGAACTCCTGACCTCAAGCCACCCTCCCACCTCAGTCTCCCAGAGTGCTAGTGTCAGAGGTGTTTGAACCAGAGCAACTCCATCTTGAATAGGAGCTGGGTAAAATAAGGCTGAAACCCTCTGTGCTGCATTTCCAGATGGTGAGGCATTCTAAGTCACAGGATGAAATAGGAGGTCGGCACAAGATACAGGTCATAAAGACCTTGCTGATAAAACAGATTGCAGTAAAGAAACCAGCCAAAGCCCACCAAAACCAAGATGGCAACGAGAGTGACCTCTGGTCCTCCTCACTGCTACACTCCCACCAGTGCCATGACAGTTTACAAATGTCATGGCAACATCAAGAAGTTACCCTATAGGGTCTAAAAAGGGGAGGCATAAATAATCCACCCCTGGTTTAGCGTATCATCAAGAAATAACCATAAAAATGGGCAACCAGCAGCCCTCATGGCTGCTCTGCCTATGGAGTAGCCGTTCTTTTATTCCTTTACTTTCCTAATAAACTTGCTTTCACTTTACTCTATGGACTCACCCCACAATCTTTCTTAAGTGAGATCCAAGAACCATCTCTTGGGGTCTGGATCAGGACCCCTTTCCTGTAACACTATGAGCTAGAACTACAGGTGTGAGCCACCCTGCCTAACCTTAAATATCTTTTCACAATTTTGGATATTTGAACCATATGACTTTTTACCTGTTCAAAAAGTAAATAAAATTTAAAAATTAAACAGTGAATTCAGTTGTTCGTATCTAGCCAGATGAACTCATCAAGAGCAAAGGAAGGAAAGGACCAAGGCAGGGAAGAGAAGAGGACTCAGCAAAGGGCTTGAGGAGCAGCTATGTAGGTGGCGTGTTGGATGAGCTAGACTCCACAGGATGCAAGCAGAAACACTTTGCTCTTTCTCACAACTCCCTGTTCGAGCTTCCCTGTCTCATATCTTTCCCTGGAGAGAGTACTGGGCTGGTCCCATTGCTTTGTTATAAACTCTTAAGGAATCAAAAGTCATCCAGTAACTTTTAGATAATAAAAGATTCCGTGCAGGCTACTAATCACATTACAGACTTCCTTCCTTTGAAAGAAAACACCTTCCTTCTTTTGACTTGGGTTTGACCCAGTCTAGTAAACCTAGAGTGGGGAAGAGGAATAGATCAGGGTCTCCCCCACCACCACCACCACTCTTATTGAGTCCACCTCCTTCCCCACTGTGCAGCTGTGGTTTCTAGCCACACCATAGTTGGACAGGCTTAGAAGGAGGAGTAAGGGAAAAGGGGGCCCAGGCCTCTCACCCTTTTGGCTACTGAAAATGTCCTCCCCAAACCTCTGGGCTTCTGAAGGTCTCTCCCTCCTCTGGGGCAACATTAGCACTCTAGGAGGTCCTGAAGACCCCCCCAAGCAGGCTCCTCCATTGCCCCATGTGTCATTGAGATGGCAGCTCTTCCAAAGCCAGCCCTCTCCTGCTCTGCTTGGTTACTAAACTCAACAGCAGCTCCAGCTCCAGCCCAGGCCTTTAAACTTTTTGCAGGTGGCTGAAACATAAGCTGCCTTTATGCTTTATACTGCAGCAATCACAAGTCAATCTCTACAAATGGCTCTTAGGAAACACCTTTAGCTCAAATTGAATGAGAAAACACCCCTTCCCCACCCTGAGAAGGTTAGGAAAAAATTCAACTATTTCCCAAGGAAATTCTTTTGCCTAATCCTTTAATGTCAACCTCTTAAAAAGTGTTATGAGGCTGGGCATGGGTGGTTCATGCTTGTAATCTCATCACTTTCAGAGGCTGAGGCAGGAGGATCCCTTGAGCCCAGGAGTTTGAGACCTGCCTGGGCAACATAGTGAGAGCTCATCCTTACAAAAATTACAATAAAAAAAAAAAAATAGCCAGCTGTGATGGTGTGTGCTTTTAGTCCCAGCTACTCAGAAGGCTGAGACAGGAAGATCGCTTGATCCTGGGAAGTTGTGGCTGTAGTGGGCTATGATCATGCCACTGCACCCCAGTATGGGCAACAGAGAAAGACCCTGTCTCAAAAAATAAATTAATTAAATACAGTTGAATTAAATTTAAAAAGTGTTATGGACTGAATTGGGTCCCATCAAAGTTGATAGGTTAATTCCCAATATGGTTGTATTTGGAGACAAGGCCTTTAAGGAAGAAATTAAGGTTAAATTGTCTCATAACTATGGAGCCCTAATCCATATGCACACATGCGCAGAGAAAATGTCCAAGTGAGGGCACTGATAAAACGTGGCCATGTGCAAACCAAGGAGAGAGGCCTCAGTAGAAACCAACCCAACCAGCATCTTGAGGTTGGGCTTCCAGCCTTCAGAACTGCAAAAAGTGGTCATGTGCAAGACAGGAAGAGAGGCTTCAGTAGAAACCAACCAAACCAGCATCTTGAGGTTGGGCTTTCAGCCTTCAGAACTACAAAAAAATAAACAAATTTCTGCTGATGAAGCCACCAGGTCTGTGGTATCTTGGTGTAGCAGCCCAAGCACACTGAGCCATAGAGAAGAACAATGGGATAGTGGCAGCAGAGCTGATGCCATCTTAGCTTGAGGGTGGTCTAGCATGTACTTCTAGGAGGAAAACTTGGCATCTACTGTATTATTCTTCAGCTTTATGGCCTAAAATTGAGGCAAAAGAGTGCCCTTTTGATATCCTGTTGCACTCTACATAAGAGGCAGGAGACAAAGGACAATGGGAACAAAATAGTCTGAGAAGAGAACCAAGAGAGAGGCATGTGCCTGAGAGATCAAGGGACACCTCCAATCAAGGGCAGGTGGTTAGTCTCTAGTAATGTTCAATGCCACAGAGGGCCAAGTAGGATGAAGACTGAGAAAGGGACACTGTGGGGCTGATAACTGGAGTGAGGGGATGGGGGTGTGATATATTTTGGCTGTGTCCCTGTCCCCGCCCAAATTTTTTTTATTTTTTTTATTTTTGAGACAGCATCTGGCTCTGTTGCCCAGGCTAGAGTGCAGTGGTACGATTTCGGCTCACTGCACCCTCTGCCTCCTGGGTTCAAGCAATTCTCCTGCCTCAGCCTCCCAAGTAGCTGGGATAACAGGTGCACACCACCATACTCAGCTAATTTTTGTATTTTTAGTAGAGACAGCGTTTCATCATGTTGGCCAAGCTGGTCTCAAACTCCTGACCTCAGGTGATCTGCCCACCTCAGCCTCCCAAAGTGCTGGGATTACAGGTGTGAGCCACCACACCTGGCGCAAATCTCATCTTGAATTGTAGCTCCCGTAATTCCCACGTGTCATGGGAGGGACCCAGTGGGAGGTAATTGGATCATGGGGGTGGGTCTTTCTCGTGCTGTTCTCAAAACAGTGAATAAGTCTCATGAGATCTGATGATCCGATAAAGGGGAGTTCCCCTGCACATGGCCTCTCCTTCTTTGCCTGCCACCATGTAAGACGTGGCTTTGCTCCTCCTTGCCTTCTGCCGTGATTGTGAGGCCTCCCCAGCCATGTGGAACTATGAGTCCATTAAAGCTATTTCCTTTATAAATTACCTAGTCTCTCGGGTATGTCTTTATTAGCAGCATGAGAACAAACTAATACAGAGTAGCAAGGTGGCAAAAACCATGTTCTTGTCCTGACAGCAGCACCAGAATTTTTATAAAAGGGACTTAGCAGTAGCAACTTGGTTTGAAGGGGACTGAAGGCTTTCAGATGGGTTATGCATTGGAGAAATTAAGGTTAAATTGTCCAGTGTAACCCACCTAACCCACGTTAGGTGGGTGGGCCATGTGTTGGAGGAACCCCCAAGACCCATTACCATGTTCAATAGTTTGGTACAAGTCCTCCCAAGACTGAGCATACAGTTGTATGTGTAGCTATGATTTACCATGGAGAAAGAATACAACACACAATCTTCTGAAGGATCCAGAGTGTGGGGCAAAATCTAGAGGAAACCAGGCTCAAGATTTCAGAATCCTCTCCCAGTGGCATCCACAGGACATGCTTCACTCCCCTAACAACGAGTAGCGGCAATAGATGTGAAATGCTGCTCACCAGGAAAGTTCATTTGAGAATGAATGTCCAAGGTTTTCATTGGGAGCTGGTCATGCAGGCACTCTCTGCCTGGCATGTACTCAAATTCAAGACTCTCAAACAGGGGCAGGAGCAGTGGATCACACGTACGTATAACCCCAGCACTTTGGGAGGCTGAGGCTGCAGGATTGCTTGAGGCCAACAGATTGAGGCTGCAGTGAACTCTGATTGTGTCACTGCACTCCAGCCTGGGCACCAGAGTGAGACTTTACCACTTAAAAATAAATAAATAAGACTCCCAAAAGGAAAAAGGGTGCTTAGCATAAACCATATTGTTTGAACAAACAGTTTGGCCTTGATGAACCACTCTTAAAAGTTTTAGGAATGGTGGGACCCCTCCAAAACTCCAATTCTCCAGAAACCAGCTAAGGGCCAACCTTGCAAATGTGCCATCCTAAGGATATCTTGCTAGGCCAACACTTCTGCACACACCCCCACTCTCACTCTCAGTTCCTGAGTCATTCAGCCAAGGCCACAAAAATTTATAGAAATAAACATTTCGACCTAGAGCAGGAATAGATGCATGGCTTCTCGTGGTTCAGAGGCCCTAATATAGATCTTGCAGCTGCTGGTGACACAAGGTAGGGTCCTTCCAGATCTGGGATGTTTAACTCTGTGCAGTGCAAGGGTGCTGCTGTTATTCTGAAAGAACTAGCACAGTCTCGTCATTCTCTTGCTTCTGTTCATGGAATTTTACATTCAGCAGGCTCTCCTAGTTCCTGAACTACCTTATCCTCACACAGCTGGTCAAAGTAAAACAAAGGTCTGGACAACCCAGAGAGGTTCATTGCCTTCAGCAGTCCAGAACCCCCAGGAAGCCCATTTCCCAGGGGAGCAGAACAACAAGCACAAAGTTTGTATATGTATTACATAATGCAGAACAATAAAAATAGAAAAAAATGCTTTTATGCACACTTTACATTAGAATGAAAAATATCAGTTAACCATAGCAGAGTAAGAAAATCAAGCCAGGCATGGTGGCTCATGCCTATAATCCCAATAAGTTGTGAGGCTGAGCTGGGAAGATTGCTTGAGGCCAGGAGTTTGAAACCAGCTTGGACAACATAGCCAGACCTCATCTTTACAAAAAATAAAAAAAACTTGGCCAGGCATGATGTCACTATGCTTTGGTCCCAGCCACTCTGGAGGTCGAGGCAGAAGGATCGCTTGAGCCCAGGAGTTTCAGGCTGCAGTTGTCCGGTCTAGACAACAGAGTGAGACCCTGTCTCTCAAATAAAAAAGAGGTAAAGGGGTTGTATTAGTTCGTTTTCATGCTGCTGATAAAGACACACATGAGACTGGGCAATTTACAAAAGAAAGAAGTTTAATTGGACTTACAGTTCCACATGGCTGGGGAGGCCTCACAATCATGGCGGAAGGCAAAGGAGGAGCAAGTTACATGGATGTTGGCAGGCAAAGGAGAGGGCTTGTGTAGAGGAACACCTCTTTTTAAAACCATCAGATCTTGTGAGACTTCTTCACTATTACAAGAACAGCATAGGAAAGTCCCCCCACCCCCACCATGATTCAATTACCTCCCACCGGGTCCCTCCCACAACACGCGGGAATTCAAGATGAGATTTGGGTGGGGACACAACCAAACCACATCAGGTTGAATATGAGAGTTGGGGTAGGCTGATTGCACTTCCTAGTGCTGCTATTGCCCCCTCTCTCCCCTCTCCTCCAAATAGCAGAACAGGAGGAGCAAATCAGATTGGGTTGGCTCTCAGGATGTGCTCAAAGTTTGTGCTCAGAGCTGAAGCCCATTTCTGGTCATGTTTCTCATCTATGTGGTAGGTTCATCCAGAGCCGGCCTCCTCATAGTAGGCCAAGCCACCTCACCCCTGTCTTCTTTTCTGCATGGGGAGATGGGGGATGAGCAAGGCAGATACAAAGGGGGACTTTATTTCCCATTCCAACTTCTCCTATACACACACCTCTCTCAGGGATCCATATGGAAGAGAAATTATCCAGGCAAGAGAGAAACAGGCCTCTCAATTGCATCAAACCTCCCCTTCTATCTACTCCGACGGTTGCAGGGTATTTTTTAACCTTCAGAGAATAATTTCCGCTTAAAACTTTTTTTTTTTTTTTTTTTTTTTTTTTTTTGAGGCAGAGTGTTGCTCTGTCACCCAGGCTAGAATGCAGTGATACAATCACAGCTCATTGCAGGCTCGAACTCCTGGGTTCAAGTGAACCTCCTGCTTCAGGTTCCTGAGTAGCCAGGACTACAGGGGTGCGCCACCATGCCTGGCTAATTTTTTATTTATTTAGTTATTCGAAGAGATGGGGTCTCACTATGTTCCCCAGGCCGATCTCCACCTCCTGGCCTCAAGCAATCCTCCCACCTCAGCCTCCCAAAGCAATGGGATTAGAGGCGTGAGCCACTGCACCCAGCTACAGCCTAAAACTTCTGATCTGAAATATGTTAGGCATTTTGAGAATATGGATGCAATGACTGCAGAATAATCTTGACTTCAGGATTAAGAGGCAAGGAGATACCAATTTCTGATGTGTTTTTGCTCAACTTCTCACGGAAGTCTCCATGCAACTAGAAAAAGACACAAAGTCACAGCGGTCCTAGAAGCTGAAGATAGTCATCCATTTGAATGAATCTGGGGAAACGTACACTCACCATGGCTCCAGTGAAGCGGATGGAGAAATAAAGCTGGTGGTCTCTGCAGGCACTACTAGAAAGCACCTGCCAGGAAAGGGTAGGAAGAGTCGTGAACAGCATGTGCTGCCTGCTCCAAGCTGGGAGACCCAGGTCTGCAAAATCCAGGCACCCAGACAACCAGCTCCTGACTATGTGTGCTTGGATTACTAGGAAGTCTGGCATCTTGTCCCCCTTCCCTTTTATCCATTTCCTCTCCCTTCCTGGTGCCTCTGTTTTGATCTTGAATTGCAGGAACAACCCCAGCATATTACATGGGAAGAAGTTTCAGCACCTGCAAGTAATGCAATGAGTGAGAGCCACAGGCAGCTCCCTCCACAGGCTCTCCTGTTTTCTTCCTTTTCTTTTTTTGGAGACAGGGTCTCTTTCTGTTGCCCAGGCTGGAGTGCAGTGACACAATCACAGCTGACTGCAGCTTCCAATTCCAAGGCTAAGGCAATTCTCCTGCCTCAGCCTCCTAAGTAGCTGGGACTACAGGCACACAACACCATGCCTGATTCATTTTTTAATTTTTTCGTAGAGAGACCAGGTGTGGTGGCTCACACCTGTAATCCCAACACTTTGGGAGGCAGAGGTGGGTGGATCACCTGAGGTCAGGAGTTTGATACCAGCCTGGCCAACATGGTGAAACCCTGTCTCTACTAAAAATACAAAAATTAGCTGGGTGTGGTGGCAGTTGCCTGTAATCCTGCTACTCGGGAGGCTAAGGCAGAAGAATCACTCGAACCTGGGAGGCAGAGGTTGCAGTGAGCTGAGATCGTGCCATTGCACTCCAGCCTGGGCAACAGCGAGACTCCCTCTCAAAAAAAAAAAAAAAAAAAAGGATTCAGAACTAAGGCCAGGTGCAGGAGCTCACCCCTATAATCCCAGCACTTTGGGAGGCTGAGGCAGGAGAATTGCTTGAGCCCAGGAGTTTGAGACCAGCCTGGGCAACCCAGCAAAACCCTGTCTCTATAAGAAATACAAAAATAAGCTGGGCATGGGGGTACATGCCGACAGTCACAGGTACTCAGAAAGCTGAGGTGGAAGCCTCAGGCTCCAGTTTCCTTCTTTTTTTGGAGACAAGGTCTCTTTTTCTTGCCCAGGCCGGAGTGCAGTGGCACAATCATAGCTCACTGCAGCTGCAGCTTCCAATTCCGAGGCTAAGGCAATTCTCCTGCCTCAACCTCCTGAGTAGCTGAGACTACAGGCACACACCACCATGCCTAATTCATTTTTTAATTTTTTTGTAGAGAGGCTGGGTGTGGTGGCTCATGCCTGTAATCCCAACACTTTGGGAGGCAGAGGCAGGTGGATCACCTGAGGTCAGGAGTTTGAGACCAGCATGGCCAACATGGTGAAACCCCGTCTCTACTAAAAATACAAAAATTAGCTGGGTGTTGGCAGGTGCCTGTAATCTCAGCTACTCAGGAGGCTGAGGCAGAAGTATCACTTGAACCCAGGAGGCAGAGGTTGCAGTGAGCCGAGATCACGCCATTGTACTCCAGCCTGGGCAACAGAGCGAGACTCCCTCTTAAAAAAAAAAAAAAAAAAAAAAAAAAAAAGGATTGAAAACTAAGGCCAGGTGCGGTAGCTCACACCTATAATCCCAGCACTCTGGGAGGCTGAGAATTGCATGAGCCCAGGAGTCTGAGACCAGTCTGGGCAACCTAGCAAAATCCTATCTCTACAAGAAATACAAAAATCTAGCAAAACCCTGTCTCTACAAGAAATATAAACATTAGCTGGGCACGGTGGCACGTGCCTATAGTCACAGGTACTCAGAAAGCTGAGGTGGCAAAATCACCTGAGCCCAGGGAAGTCAAGGCTGCAGTGAGCCAAGATTGTGCTGCTACACTCTAGCCTGGACAACAGAGTGAAACTGTCTCAAAAAAATAAATAAATAAAAATGAAAACTAGTGGGGAAACGTAAGGTTTAATCCAGCAGAGAAGGGAAGCACTGCCCTTTAATGTACAAAAACAAAATTAACTCCTCCAAATTATTCACTATCAGAGACAGAAGAAAGGTTAAGAAACACCTGCTTTGTGTTAGATATGGCCAATGAAAGCCTTCCACAAAGAAGATTTGTCCACAAATAGACATACGAAGATGAAAAGACAAGAGGCTGAAACAGGAACGGAAGGAGGCTGAGAGTCGTGGCTACCTGTAATTTCAGCACTTTGGGAGATCGAGGTGAGAGGCTGGGAGTTTGAGACCAGCCTGGACAACATAGCAAGACCCCATCTCTACAAAACAAATAAAAAATTAGCTGGGTGTGGTGGTGAGTGCCTGTAGTCCCAGCTACTTGGGAGGCTGAGGCAAGAGGATTGCTTGAGCCCAGGACTTAGAGACTGCACTGAGCTATGATCACACCACTGCACCGCAGTCAGAGTAACGGAGCAAAACCTTGTCTCAATAAGATAAAATAGAAAAGAAAATGAGCCTGGCTTCAGTGAGGAGAACAAACAAGAACAATGACAATGCACCAGCAAAGTCAAAGCCTACCTGGGACGCGCTGGCAGGGAACTGCAACTTCTAACTCATGTCAATAAATATTTACCCAAACCCATGACGTGGCAGCCATCGTGCTCGGCCTTGGGGATACTGCAGTGAACAGGGGGCATGTGGGCACTGCCCTCTAGGAAATTAAGAGTGCAGCTGCAAACAGAGACAACCAAGGACTCACAAGGGTGTGTGTGTTAAAAACGGGAAAGTGCTGCAGAAGGAAAATGCAGGGAAATTGGATATTGTCTGGGACAGTGGTCTCCATGATGTGAGCAAAGTAAGAGATGCTCATAAGCATCTAACACAGTGTGGGCACAGATTTCAGAGGCTTCATTCATTCATATTGCTTCTTCTTCTTCTTCTTTTTTTTTTTTTTTTGAGACAGAGTCTTGCTCAGTCACCCAGGCTGGAGTGCAGTGGCATGATCTTGGCTCACTGCAACCTCCGCCTCCCAGGTTCAAGCGATTCCCCTGCCTCAACCTCCCAAGTAGCTGGGAGTACAGGTGTATGCCATCGCACCCGGCTAATTTTTGTATTTTAGTAGAGACCAGGTTTCACCCTGTTGGCCAGGCAGGACTTGAACTCTTGAGCTCAAGTGATCCACCCGCCTCGGCCTCCAAAAATGCTGGGATTACAGGCGTGAGCCACCACACCCAGCCCATATCTCTTCTTAATCATCCTTTTCAATTTGTTTTTTGGGTATGCATTATAAGGGCCGCCATGTGTGAGTAGAGCAGCACCTGCATGTGACATGATAAAGAAATAACAGGGAAGGGGTAGGACACAGGACCTGGGAAGGGCAGAAAGAGAAGCCATTGTGTAATGGAAAAGTTGAAATCTGCATGATATGAACTTTTTACTTATACACTTAGACTTCATATACTCCTCTGTTATGTTACTTAAAATAGCATATTAGTATATTAATTTTATAGAGGTAAATATAAGTGCTTTCTGAAAAATATAATTTCCTTCCTTTTCCTCCCTCCCTTCCCTCCTTCCTTGTCTGCCTCCCCTTCTTCCTCCCTTCTTTCCTTTTTCCCTCTTCTTTCCTTCCTTTCTTCTCTGCCTCCTTCCTTCCTTTCCTCCCTGCCTTTTTCCCTCCCTTCCTCCTTCCTTTTTTCCTTCCTTCCTTCTCTTTCTTTCGACAGGGTCTCACTGTGTTGCCCAGGCTGGAGTGCAGTGCCGTGCCATGATTATAGCTCTCTGCAGCCACCTCAACATTTTCGGCCCAAGCAATCCTCCCACTTCAGCCTCCCAAGTAGCTAGAACTACAGGTGCACACCACCATGCCCAGCTACTTTTATTTTTTTGTAGATACAGGGTCTTGCTATGTTACTCAGGCTGCTCTAGAACTTCCAGGTTCAAGCAATCCTCCCACCTTGGCCTCCTAAAGTGCTGGGATTATCGGTGTGAGCCACCGCACCCAGCCAGAAAATATGATATCATATTACCTGGTGGGTGGGGGGAGAACAATTCCAGAAGCATAATAAATAGCAACAGCCACAGCACAGATAATCACATCAATAACCTACAGCCCCAACCTAGTCTAGACAGGGAAAATAAAAAAGAGGTAAAATGATGAGAGAAAGATAATACATGAAACACAGAAATTGGAGACTTGAACTTTACAAGAGAGAAAGACAAAAGGATCCGAGAATACTAGAAGGTATAGTAATGAGACATTTTTTTTGGAGCTAAGAAAGGGAAGACTTTCATGTGCTATCAATCACTAGCAGATCAAATAAGCAAATATTAATAACATCACTCACTGTGATGAACTATAGGGCAGGCACATTGTTAAGCTATTTTACTTATGATAGCAATAAGGTAGGATTTATTTATTTAGAGATGAAATTTCACTCTTGTTGCCCAGTCTGGAGTGCAGTGGCACCATCTTGGCTCACTGCAACCCCTGCCTCCCAGGTTCAAGCGATTCTCCTGCCTCAGCCTCCTGAGTAGCTGGGATTACAGGCATGCGCCACCACGCCCGGCTATTTTTTGTGTTTTTAGTAGGGATGGGGTTTCACCACGCTGGTCAGGCTGGTCTCGAACTCCTGACCTCAGGTGATCCACCTGCCTCGGTCTGCCAAAGTGCTGGGATTACAGGTGTGAGCACCCGGGCCAAGTCTATTTCTTTTTTTTTTTTTTGAGATGCAGTCTCACTCTGTCACCCAGGATAGAGTGCAGTGGTGCAATCTCGGCTCACTGCAACCTCTGCCTCCCAAGTTCGAGTGATTCTCCTGCCTCAGGCTCGTGAGTAGCTGGGACTAGGGGCTCACACTACCACTCCTGGCTATACTTTTTTTTTTTTGTATGTTTAGTGGAGACGGGGTTTCACCATGTTGGTCAGGCTGGTCTTGAACTCCTGACCACAAATGATCCTCCTGCCTCGGCCTCCCAAAGTGCTGGGGTTTCAGGCGTGAGGCCCCTCGCCCGGCCGAAGGTAGGTATTAATTGATGTCCCTGTTTTAATAAGGCATAAGGGAGGTTCAGATATTAGGTGACCTCTGTAAGATTATGCCACTAATTGTAATAAAATTCAGTTTTGAACCCTGATTTACCTTCACTCTAAAACATTCTTTCCATTATGCCATGTTGTCTTTCAAGATGAAAATTTCAGTAGTACAATTGCAATTACTAGATTATTAACCATACACACAGAAAATAACAGATAATATACAGAATGCTGTAGGAAAAAAAGGCTGTACCTCTTAAAACATTCATGAAACATTTATAAAAACAGGATTATATGGTAGATCGCAAAAAATCAACTAATTTTTCAAAGCTGAAATAAGCAGACCTCATTCTCCTACTCAAACCCAAAGAAACTAGGATTTAATATTAATAGTAAACATTGAAGCAGAGCCCTAGATCACTCCGAAATGGAAAACACTCTCCTGATCAATGAAGAATACAAATGCAAGATAGTATCTTTTAAAGAAAATGACAGTGAGAAAATTACATAACTCAAATATGTAAGTATTAATCAAACTTGTTTTCAGATGTAATTCATAACATTAAAATAATTTCATTATTTTGGGCTGGGTTTGGTGGCTCACGCCTGTAATCCCAGCACTTTGGGAGGCCAAGGTGGGAAGTTCATTTGAGGTCAGGAGTTTGAGACCAGCCGGGCTAACATGGTGAAACCTCATTTCTACTACAAAAGTACAAAAATTAGCCAAGCATGGTATAATCCCAGCTACTTGGGAGGCTGAGACAGGAGAATCGCATGAACCCAGGAGGTGGAGGTTGCAGCGAGCCACGGTTGTGCCACTACTGCATTCCAGCCTGGGTGACAGAGCAAGACTCCACCACAATAAATAAATAAATAAATAAATAAATAAATAAATAAATAAATAAATATTTTGTTATTTGGAAAGGAAAAAATAAAACATTTTTAAAACTTTAGAAAAGTTAGACTTAAAGGTAATAGGGGTAATGATATAATTAGGGTGATGGTAGAATTAGTTAATTGGGAAATTCACAAATAGATATGATATGCATTGTATCAAAAAGAGAGTTATTTGAGAAAACTATAAAATATATGAATGATTGACAAATCGAATCCAGAAAGAAGAAAATATAATTACAACTGAGAAAAGCTATGCAGCCACAAATACAGAAGAGATAAAAATTATGAAATACTGTACTTTGTATAACCAAAAGCTAATCTATTTCAAATTTTTTGTGAAACTATTGACTTTATTAAAAAAGATTATTACAGATTTAAGAAAATGCAGAAAATCAACAAAATCAGATTTCTAAAACTGATAACCTATTTTTAAAAAATACCTGAAAAGCTTCTCAAATTAGGAAAAATTATATCTGAGTTTTTTCCTGTTGTTGAGAAATAGACACTCCTCATGTTATATTAACTGTTCCAGGATGAAGAAAAAGTGGAAAAGCTAATATAACTCTCATACAAAAATACACAAAAGAAAACCAACCAACACATCTCACATGCAAAAACGCTAAAGCTGGAACTGGAAAATCTAATTTAAAATATGCTCCAAACATAGCTGACCACAGCCAAGTACAGATCATTCCAGAACTTGAGTACAATTTAATACTAGAAAAATCAATCCATGTATGAAATCAAATCAATAGACACAATAAAAAGTGTGGTGGTCTC
The DNA here is from genome assembly GCF_000001405.40 of Homo sapiens. NCBI lineage: Eukaryota > Metazoa > Chordata > Mammalia > Primates > Hominidae > Homo > Homo sapiens. Next base: position 72,051,812 of record NC_000007.14, read on the forward strand.
TATGGAAGCTGCAAACAGTGCTGGGGAAAATACTAGATTCCTTCAGGACTTTTTAGAACAAGGACAAGAATAATCCTTTCTCGACAAAGTAAGAGTGATCTATCTCAAGGCAGAAGCATATTCTCCTACACCAGAGGAATTTCCATTAACATAAGCAATGCCCCAAGGATGCTTGTTATCATTTTTATTCAATGTTGTTTTCTGTGTTCTGGCCAATATTATGACTTGAGATACAAGTGAGAAAGATGACTAAAGGAATTCATGAGACAAGATGATCACTATTCAGGAGATGGTATGATTGTCTATCTAGAAAAAAAGAAATGACTCCATCGTAATTCTGGGAATTTACTAACAGTGGCTGGGTCCTGGACAAACATTTAAAAAATCAATCGTTTCCTTGTGTGGCAGCAATAACCATTTAGAAAATGGAGTAAATGCGGAGTTAAGGGGCTGTGAATATATAACAGCAAGAACTCCTGATCTGCCGTCCCGACAAGTCGCCTCCGGAGTGGACACCGGCCAGGGAAGGCAGGTCTCTGGAGGGAAGGTAGAGAGAAGATACGGAGGATCTGCCCCTTCCCCAGGAAGCTCCCCGAGAAAGGGCCACAACTGTTTACTCCAGCAGGCTCTGGGGGGATTCAGGCTTGGGGGTGATGGTCTTGACCTCACTGACTACTGACCACCCGAAGAAAATCTGCTCTATAGCCCGTGTCTCCTGCTCCTGGGTGGGATGTACCCTAAAGAGAGGGGGCTTCCTCCTTGACCTCAGGAAGGAGGCACACTTGTTTCTGGTCAGGTGAACATGAAAACCACCGGGCTTCCCCTAACCTGTTGGTGTGCCTTTGCCCTGACTTGGCAGAGAAGGCGGATGGAAATCTACAGCCAGGCAGAGAAATGACAACTCACTTCAGTCTCAGAAATGACAACTCACCCCGTCTCAGTGACCAGAGACAGGGTGACTCAATGAGCCTTTGAAGCACTTGGTTCCCACTGACTACAACTAAAGAAAGAAGACTTAGGTAAGAACTTAGAGGGTGGCCAGGTGTGGTGGCTCACGCCTGTAATGCCAGCACTTTGGGAGGCCAAGGCCAGGTGTGGTGGCTCACGCCTGTAATCCCAGCACTTTGAGAGGCCAAGGCCAGGTGCGGTGGCTCACGCCTGTAATCCAAGCACTTTGGGAGGCCAAGGAGGGAGGATCACCTGAGGACAGGAGTTCAAGACCAGCCTGGCCAATATGGTGAAACCCAGTCTCTACTAAAAATACAAAAATTGGCCAGACGTGGTGACGGGAGCCTGTAATCCCAGCTACTCGGGAGGCTGAAGCAGGAGAATCGCTTGAGCCCAGGAGGTGGAGTTTGCAGTGAGCCATGATCTCACCACTGCACTCCAGCCTGGGTGACAGAGCGAGACTCTGTCTCAAAAAACAAACAAACAAAGGAATATGTGCTCCCAAAGAGTGGAATCAGAGTACACCAAAGACTCCCAGAAAGTAAAAAGCATGATTTTCAAATATGCAGATTCATAGACACTCTGAAATTACCGGCTGGTAGGTGATAGGAACTGAGACAGTAGCCTGGAACCACTGCACAGAACAACAACTCAGAGCACATACCCAGTAATGGGAGTGCTGGGTTGAATGGCAGTTCTGTTTTTAGCTCTTTGAGGAATCGCCACACTGCCTTTCGCAAGGGCTGAACTGATTTACACTCCCACCAACATATATGAGTGTTCCCTTTACTCCCCAACCTTACCAGCATGTGTCATTTTTTTTTTAAGATCTATGTAGCAACTTTGGTTTTCTTTCGCAATCTTTATCAAAGTTTATCTATTTTTTTTATTTTATTTTTCCATAAGTTACTGGGGTACAGGTGGTATTTGATTACGAGTAAGCTTTTTAGAGATTTGTGAGAACATGGTGTACCCATCACCCAGCAGTATACACTGCACCATATTTGTTGTCTTTTATCCCTCACCCCCCTCCCACCCTTCCCCCCAGGTCCCCAAAGTCCATCGTATCATTCTTATGCCATCGCGTCCTCATAGCTTAGCTCTTACGTATCGGTGAGAACATACGATGCTTAGTCTTCCATTCCTGAGTTACTTCACTTAGAATAATAGTCTCTAATCTCATCCAGGTCATTGCAAATGCTGTTAATTCATTCCTTTTTTTGGCTGAGTAGTATTCCATCGTATATATAGATATATACCACAATTTCTTTATCCACTCATTGATTGATGGGCATTTGGGTTGGTGCCATGATTTTGCTATTGCGAATTGTGCTGCTATAAACACGCATGTGCAAGTACCTTTTTTGTATAATGACTTCTTTTCCTCTGGGTAGATACCCAGCAGTGGGATTGCTGGATTGAATGGTAGTTCTACATTTAGTTCTTTAAGGAATCTCCACACTGTTTTCCGTAGCGGCTGTACTAGTTTACATTCCCACCAGCAGTGTAGTTATTTTTGACTTTTTCATAGTAGCCATTCTTACTGGTGTAAGATGATATCTCATTGTGGTTTTGATTTACATTTTTCTAATGGTCAGTGATACTGAGCTTTTTCTGTATGCTTGTTGGCTGCATATATGTACATATATATATATATACGTGTATATATACACGTATATATATATATACATATATATACATATATATACATATATACATACATATATATATACATATATACATATATATACATATATATACATATATACATACATATATATATACATATATATATATATATAATGGAATACTATGCAGCCATGAAAAAGAATGAGATCATGTCTTTTGCAGGAACATGAATGGAGCTGGAAGCTGTTATCCTTAGCAAACTAATGCAGGAATAGAAAACCAAATACTGCATGTTCTTACTTAGAAGTGGGAGCTAAATGATGAGAACACATGGATGCGAAGAGGGGAACAACAGATACTGGGGCCTACTTGAAGGTGAAGGAGGGACAGTACCCCAAATAATTATTGGGTACTAGGCTTAGTACATGGGTGACAAAATAATCCGTATGACAAACCCCTGTGATAGGAGTTTCCCTATTATAACAAACCTGCACATGTGCTCTGGAAACTAAAATAAAAACAAAACAAAACAAAACAAAACACACAGAGCTAGAGACTGGGAGGTAAAAGCTGAGAGACCTGGAGACTAAGATCCCTGAGGTCTAACCTGATGAGGACAGGAATTCCAAAGAAAGAACAAAAGAACGGATGGAAGAGAAATGCTGTTCATGATCGCTGACATCCACAGAGCATTTTTTATCTGCCAGGCATCATAGTACATGAGTTAACTCATTTAATCCTCACACCACACTAACGAGGTAGATATTATTACTATTTCATGTCCTAAATCAGGAAGTGGAAATCAGAAGAGCTTATGCTCAATTTGCATGGGCCAGACCTGGGGCTGGGTGGGGCAGGGTGAGGCGGGGGTTCTGAATTTGGCAGTCTAACTCCAGAGTCCATCATTTTAACCAAGCTGGTAAAGATTAACAGAGGCTGATTAAACAAATAATAGAAAAAGTAACCCCAATGCAAATAAAGACATAAATAGCAAAGAAATTAAAACTTAGAAAAGTTAAACATAAATATGGTAATAGGGGTAATGATAGAATTAGGGGAAAGGCAGAATTAGTTAACTGGGAAATACACAAATAGATATGGTAATCATCGTTGCAAAAAAAAGAGGATTCTTTGAGAAAACTATAAAACATATGAATAATTAACAAATCTAACCCAGAAAGATTCAAATAAAATTGCAACAGACAAAAACTATGTAGCAACAAATACAGAGGAGATAAAAATTATGAAATACTGTACTTTATATAGCTGAAAGCAAATACATTTTAAAACTTTTGTGAAATGAGTAATTTTATTGAAAAATTACTAGTTTATGACATTTAGCACCAAGCTGAGTGGCTCACATCTGTAATGCTAACGCTCTGGGGGGCTGAGGAGTGAGGATTGCTTGAGGCTAGAAGTTTGAAACCAGCCTAGGCAACATAGCAAGACCTCATTTCCACAAATAACAAAAAAATAAAAAAAATTAGCCAGTCTTGGTGGCACACACCCATAGTCCCAACTACTCAGGAGGCTGAGGCAGGAGGATTGCTTGAGCTCAGCAGCTGAGGCTGCAGTGAGCTATGATCGCACCACTGTAATCCAGCTGGGGCAACAGAGCAAGATCCTGTCTCAATTAAAAAATAAAAGACATTTAGGACCCATATGAAGAAACCTATACAACTTTAGTGATATATTTTTAAAGCCTTTAAAAGAAAACATAAAAGAATACCATGCTTCCTGGTAGAAGGATTACTCTAACAATTTTATACTTCTTAAATGAATGGATATGTTTAATGCAATTTCAGGATAAATCCCTATGGAATTTTTTTGGAAATGTCCCAGTGAATTGGTCATTTGGAAGAATGAGCAGGAAAGAAAACCTCTAAAAGGAATTAAGGACAGTAATGCTATATCTAGTAATAAAATCTATTATAAAACCACAATAAAAAAGTACTGATGAAGGTTAAGTAGGAGATAAACAAAACAGGGCAATTCAGAAATAAGCCCTAGTAAATAAAGATAATAAACATAAAAAATCGAATGGAAAAAAGGAGGCTTAGTTAACAAATGGTGCTGAAAAGACAGGTAAAGAACTTGAAAGGAAAAATCGATTTTATTCCTCACTTGGCATTTTACTCTAGAACATGAATTAGAGGATAAAAAATTAGAGAAATATATAGGTAAAATGAAGAAAATCCTATCTAAGCTTAAAATCAATAAAGGAATAACAAAAAAATAGAGATTCACAGACTTGCTAACATACTCTGCATGTTAAAAACATCAGGGACTAAATTAAATATTTAGCAATAATCTAGGAAAACTCTATGCAATGAATATGGCAAAAGAATAGCATTCTTCAAATACGAAGAAATTCATTAAAAGATGAATACTAAAAGATAAAAACAGATAATCCACAAAAGACAAACACAAATATTAAACATGTAGAAAATGTTCAACTTCAATAATATGAAAATAAATGCAAATTAAAGCAATAGTGAGCTAGCATTTTCCACATCCCCAGTATGCAATGTTATTTCATTTTTGTTGTTGTTGTTGTTTTGTTTGTTTTAAAAACAAGGTCTCACTCTGTTGCTTAGGCCGGAGTGCAGCGGCATGATCATAGATCATTACAGCCTCCAATTTCTGGCCTCAAGTGCCCCTCCTGCCTCAGCCTCCCCAGTAGCTAGGATTACAAGCACATGCCACCAAGCCCACCTGTTTTTTAAAAAAAAAAAGTTTGTAGAGATGGGGTCTCACCATGTTGCCCAGACTAGTCTTGAACGCCCGGCCTGAAGTAATCCTCCCAGTTTGGCCTCCCAAAATGCTGGAATTACAAGCTTGAGCCATGAAGCCTGGCCAGATTTTAAGTGAAAAGACAGAGTACACAGTTTGCTGAGTCTTCTCACTAATACTGATGGTAACAGACATGAGCATAGACTTTCTGGATACTAATTTGGCAATGGCATTTAGATAAAAAGTTCCTTTTTAAATGTTCTTTTTTTTTTTTTTTTTTTTTGATTCAGTAATTCCTTTTCTGGAATCTGTCCCAATGAAGTGTTCAGAAATTTGGTCATAGATTTCTGCATCATGCTGTTTATCATAACATTATTTGTAACAGTGAGAAATGGAAAAGAATAAGGAATATAAATAGGAAATGAAAAATCAACCCATCGCCCAGAAGTAACATACGTGTATTTTTTCTTCATTTTCTTCTAAGCAAATAAACAAAATAATTAAAATTATGTTTTCCAGTCCTTTTTACTTGATATTGTATTGTGAAGATTACATGTTATTAAAACTCTTTACAATAATGAGTGTAGAAGACTTATTGGGAAAAAAAAACCTCTTCATAATAAAATTAGTTGTATGACATCTTACAGAAAGCCATAGATTTCTCCATTGATCCCCTATTTTGGTGTGGTCTTATCGTTTCTGTATTGGCATGAAATATGTTTGTAATGGAACAGGAAGTTGTTTCTCTTTTTCAAGTCTTCAAGCGTCTACATGAAAGCGTTCTTGAGGGGTAATGGTTCTGGCAAGCGAATACTGCAGCTGAATGCTGATAATTTCCTCTGTGGAACACGTAGCACAGTTTTCTAAGTCGTGCAGAAGTTAAAATGTCACTTGGCACCAGCCCATATTATCCAGAATGTTATACAACCACCATCCGGATCATTTCACGCAAAATTAGAATTGTATAGAAAATTGCTCTTCTGGGGCCCCACCACTATACCACATATATTAAATAATCACGCCACGTTAAACACCTACACGTGCTACCAAGTCTTATCCAGATGAGACCCTGGATGATCGTAAGTGCAATTGTTTCACCTCCAGAAATTAACTTGCTTGAGTAAAAAGTGGGAGTAAATATCTCTTAGTGGCTGCTGGGGGTTGCTACAAGCTGCAACAAGCTGGAATCTTTTTTTTTTTTTTTTTTTTTTTTTGAGACGGAGTCTCGCACTGTTGCCCAGGCTGGAGTGCAGTGGCGCCATCTCGGCTCACTGCAACCTCCACCTCCCGGGTTCAAGAGATTCTCCTGCCTCAGCCTCCCAAGTAGCTGGGATTACAGGTGCCCACCACCACACTCAGCTATTTTTTTGTATTTTTAGTAGAGATGGGGTTTCACCATGTTGGTCAGGCTGATCTCAAACTCCTGACCTCAGGTGATCTGCCTGCCTCGGCCTCCCAAAGTGCTGGGATTACAGGCACAAGCGACCATGCCTGGTCAACAAGCTGGAATCTTTAGAGAACACCCAAGAGTGTCTGTCCACACCCTGGGCAGAGGGCCAAGGGGGCAGGACTTTGGAAGATGGTAAGCTCTGAACTGAAATAGTGGAGAAGAATAACTTCACAAAGCTCTCTATGAAAAATACGCCTTTGCCCCATATAGATCATAGACACTGGGGATGCTGAGTTGCAATGCAGTGCAAAAGGACAGTGACGTGCAAAAGAAGCCATGGTATTCTGCATTAAAAAAACAAAAGTCGAAAACGAAGAACGCTGTCTGGCTTTAAAACCCAGCTGTCAACAGGAGGAAGTGTAATCATTTTGACATGTTTCCGTTTCGTTGAAGATTCAAGGTTTTAAACTTGGACTTAAACCTAAATGTTATGCTTCCTGGATTGTGAACATCCAATTTCATTTATATTTTTAAACTAAAACTTTAGAAATGGATTAAGCAGTTGAAAACTTCTGGGATTCACAAGAGATGTACAGAATATATTCCTTTTAAATCGTCAGTTTCAGAAACCTTTATCAAGGAAAATTAACAAACCACTCTTAGGAATGTCATTCCATCTATGGTCTTCAAAATCTGTCTCCATCTTTCCAAGATCTAGACCTCCTAAAAGTAGGTCAGAGGGATTACTTTTTCCTGCCACTTACCTGGTCTTCATTAGCAATGGTATGATAGGGATGGTATATTAAAGGAATGCTCAAATGACAACAGTAGGGATGAAGATTTCTTCAATAACCCATGTCAAGAAAATATGGGCAGATTGAAGCAAACCCTGACAATCCCTCATACTTAGGAACTCCCAACCCTCATTCTTGCCTTGGCAAAAGTTTTCTGAAAAAAAAAGCCAGTAAGTCAATACTTCAGGCTAAATTTAAAGGAAACTACTTGGAAATTACCTTGCTCTGAAATCTTGTTAGAAGCATAATATTTCCAAAAAGAAATTGAACTATAATAGGTTTCAGAGCTTAGCTTTCAAGGTTGCAAATGACCGTCAATTGTGAACTCAGGGTACCCACAGCAAAAGACTCATGACAGCTGATCTCCCTATATTTTGGTGAATCCTTACAGCATTCACTCAGTATTTTATAATCCCAGTCCTCCTGTAATTTCCCATAACTTAGTTATAGTGACCTCATTTATGATGAAACATTCAATTAACCACTTAGGTTGAAAAAAAACTGTGAAAAATTTCTGAGAGGTTCTGATGATGGGTAGAGGAAGCAACACTCTACCCTGCTTCTTTCCACTGCTGGCAGCTGTGGAACATGCAGAGAACGCATGGAACAGCTATTTGGGGATTCTGAGAAGTAAGTTGTAGTAGCAGGTGATTTGGAGAAGACCTGAATTTAAAGTACCACCAAACCAGCAAAGAGTTTGCTACAGTTTTTCCTCGAGTACCCCCAGCTAGATGCAATGCTAAAGACCCCGGGCAGTGGGCATTGGTGTGGGTGGTGAGAGCTCCAGGAAGCCTCTAGTTTTGGCTTGAGGGGTAGGAAAAGGGTCTCTAACATTCAGAGAGAGTGGGGGAAATACTTCCTGTCTTTTCATTTCACCATTTCTTCATGCCTCAACCCATGGTAACCTGCAGGTGCTTACATGCTCTGAAGGAGAACCTTTCCTTCTGATCAGTGGAACCATTGTCTCGAGTAGGAACAAATGCCTGATGCCTTTTTCTCTTTCTCTTCTCTTGTAGCTTGGATCAGGAAGCTGATACAGCCAAGGAAAGTATGCATAAGAGTAGGACAAATAAAGCCTCAGCTTGCTGGACATAGGAATGAAAAATAGAGTCCTAAATAAATGGTAGTACCAAGGAGGTCTTGGAGAGTGAAGAGGTTGGCAAAGCTACCCCGCCATTTTGTGTATGAAATCCTGGGCTCACCTGTAAGTTGTTCATGCCTGTCTAACCCTAAACAGTCTGCCCTAGACTCTGAAAACTGGAAAACATGTGAGATGGTTTGGATATTTGTCCCCTTCAAATCTCATGTTGGAATGTGAGCCCCAATGTTGAACTTGGGGCCTGTGGGAGATGTTGGATCATGGTGATAGATCCTTCATAAATGGCTTGGTGCTCTCCCCACCGTGATGCATGGTAGTGAGTTCACGCAAGATCTGGCTGTTTAGAAGAGTCTGGGATCTCCCCCGTCTCTCATGCTTTGTGACACACCAGCTCTACTTCCCTTCTGCCATGACTGAAAGCTTCCTGAGGCCTCACCAGAAGCTGAGCAGATGTGGGTGTCACGCTTCTTGTATAGCCTACAGAACTGTGAGCCAAATAAACCTGTTTTCTTTATAAATTACTCAGTTTCAGGTATTTCTCCATACCAAGGCAAACTCCTCCATAGCAACAACTAACTCAATGGGACAAAATACTACACAGCTCCCAGAATGGCCAACGGGTGGAGCACGAGCAGAACAGATCTGAATAGTGTTGCAAAGCCTTGGAAAACTGAACAGACCACAATCCAAAGAAAGCTGGTCAGAATTTTCAGCCTACACCCAACCAACTCAATCTGCCTGCTCAAACAAAAATATCAACATTCTCTGGAGGATTTAAAGAAGAGCCGGGATCTCATAACGTAATATTCAAAATGTCCAGACGATAATACAAAATTAATCAGCATATGAAGAAGCAGGAAAATTTGACCTGTATAAGAAAACACAATCACCAGACGCTACAGACACAGTTGTTGGAATTATCTGAAAAAGATGTTAATGAAACCATTAACACTGTGTTCTTATTTATATCACTTATTTCTTTGTTGAGAGGTTTTTATCTTTTTCTATCTTTCCACTCCTCTCATTTGCAAATCCTCTCGAGAGGAATGGGAAAATAGAAAGTCTAGACAAAGAAATAAATGATATAAACAAGACTACAATGAAAATTTCAGAACTAAAAAAAAAAAAACAGTAACAGCAAAGAAGCTCTATAGAGGGGCTCAATGTAGAAATGGAGGTGATAGAAGAGCTAGTGAATTTGAAGATAGGTCAATAAAAAATGTGAGTCTTTCTCCTCTTCTTCTATGATTAATGTTCCTACTATCAGAGGCATAAAAGGAGATGAGAAAGGCTGCAGAGAAGAAAAAATATTTAAAGAAATAATAGCCAAAAACTTTCTAAATTTCTCAATAGAAATAAAACGGCCTGGGCGACAGAGCAAGACTCTGTCTCAAAAAAAAAAAAAAAAAAAAAAGAAATAAACCAACAGATTCACCAAGCCCCTAAAGCCCCAAATGGGATGAACCTAAAATAATACATCCTCAAACATATCACAATCAAATTGCTGAAGAATAAAGACAAAGAAAAACATCTTACAATCAGACAGAAATAAATGACGCATTACCAACAGAAAGCAATGATTCCAATGACTATAGATTTCTCATCATAAAACACTGAGACCAGAAGGAAGTGGAACAACATTGTTAAAGAGCCAAGAGATAAAAAACTGTCAACCCAGAATTCTACATCCAGTGGAAACATCCTTCAGGAATGCAGTCAAAATGAAGACATTTTCCAATGAAGAAAAGTAAAGAAATTCATTGTCAGCACACCTGCTCTAAAAAAAATTTTAAAGGATGTTCTCCAGAAAGAAATAAAATGATACCAGGGCTGGGCACAGTGGCTCACGCCTGTGATCCCAGCACTTTGGCCAAGGTGGGTGGATCACTTGAGGTTAGGAGTTTGAGACCAGTCTGGCCAACATGGTGAAGCCTCATCTCTACTAAAAAATACGAAAATTAGCTGGATGTGGTGGTGTATGCCTGTAGTCCCAGCTACTTGGGAGGCTGAGGCAGGAGAATCTCTTGAACCAGGGAAGTGGAGGTTGCAGTGAGCCAAGATCATGCCACTGCACTCAAGCCTGGACGACAGAGTGAGACTCTATCTCAAAAAAAAAAAAAAAAAAAGAAAAAAAATAAATAAATAAAATGATACCAGAAGGGAACTTAGAACATAAGAAATGCCAAATATATGGGTAAATATAAGATTATTCTTACCCTGTTTGGTTCTTTAAAAATGTTCTATGGTTGAAAACAAAAATTATAACATTGTCTCATGTGGTTTTCAATGTAGGTTGATATAACATCTAAACCTTTAACTAGAATGACAAAGGAAATGGATTGATTCTTCAGATAATACAAAACTCACCAACGAAGAAAGACACATCCTAAATAGTCCTATTAAAGAAATTGCATTCACAGTTTAAAACTTTCCAAAAAAGAAATCTTGAGGCCCAGATGGCTTCCTTGGCAAATTCTACCAAAACATTTAAAGAATTTTTTTCTTTATGGATAAATAATGCCAATTTTACACAATCTCTTCCAGAAAATAAAAGAGGAAGGAACACATCTCAGTTTATTTGATAAGGTTAACATTGTCCTGATACCAAAACCAAAGACATTACAAGAAAAAACAAACAAAAAAACACCTAGAGTCTAATACCTCTCATGAACTTAGACACAAAGACATAAGGTTTTCTTTGGTGTCAAAACCTGATCAAAAAAAAGGATCAAGCTGTTCTTGAGCTGTATCTTGAATGTGCTGACCTGTACATGTATATGAATTTACACGTGTTAAAATTCACAGAACGGTACACCCTCAAATGTCAATTGTATGTTAATTCAAAATTTAAATTTTAAATCTAAAAATGTTTTAGGGCCATAACTCTCAGATTGCATTAAGAAGCCAGTTTCAACATCTGCAAAGCCATACAATAATCTTTCAAAATGGTATGACATGCAATGCCATAAGTCTCTTGGGAAAGTTTTCCTCTCTCTTAAAAGGGGACAGCCCTGGCTTTGCATATTGTCCTGTGAAGATGCAATATATAGCAGCCATCCTGTATCCACAGGGAGAAGCCAAGAGAACTGCAGAGTTGCTGAGCTAGATAGAGGCCTGGCATCTTGAGTGGCTGCATTCACCAGCCAAGAGCTCATCTTATCTCCAGACTTGCCATGAGAGCCAACAAAACCAAATCATTCCATGTACTGGCAGCTGAAAAAAGCAAAACTTGGATAGTATAACTGAATATCTATTTGAATTACTTTATACAGGTTGAGTATCCCTAATCCTAAAATCTGAAATCAGAAATGCTAAACAATCTGAAACATTTTGAGTGACAACCTGACGTGGAAAGGAAATGCTCATTGGGGCATTTCAGATTTTGGATTTTGGGATTGTGGATGCCCAATCAGTAAGTATAATACAAATATTCTCAAATCCACACCCCCACCCCCAAAATAAAATCCAAAATCCAAACACTTCTGGTCCCAGGAATTTCAGATAAGGAATACTCAACCTGCATAGCTTTTATGGATGAATTGGACATATGCCTTCTTGTAATAGCAAATTTAAAAACTTCTTTTTCTGGCCAGGCACGGTGGCTCATGCCTGTAATCCCAGCACTTTGGGAGGCCAAGGCAGGCAGATCACCTGAGGTTAGGAGTTCGAGACCAGCCTGTCCAACATGGTGAAACCCCGTCTCTACGTCTCTACTACAAATACAAAAATTAGCTGGTCATGGTGGTACACTCCTGTAATCCCAGCTACTCAGGAGGCTGAGGCAGGAGAATCACTTGAACCCAGGAGGCAGAGGTTGCAGTGAGCTGAGATCGTGCCACTGCACTCCAGCCTGGGTGACAGAGTGAGACTCCATCTCAAAAAAAAAAAAAATAATTAATTAAAAATAAGTAAAAATAAAAATGAAAACTCGTTTTTCTCTATGAAGATTCTATGACCCCCTCAAGGTGCAAGTGAACTTTCTGAGGAGAAAATTACTCAAAATCAATTAAGGTAAGGCAAAACTAATCACTTTTGGCAGGTGCTCTTTGTCAGCCAGATGGACAATTCTAAACAGCTCTATTAGATTGGGTAACTGATCCAGTTAGGTGGGGAAGGGTTTTGTAGCCAGCAAATCCTGACAAGCTATCCTGATATAACCCCAGTAAAAATCATATATTTTGCAACAACTATTATTTTAACATAGACAGGGATGGTTGTTAAATCCTGACATAGAATCTTCTAACTCAAGGTCATCTCTTTCATGATCCATGATGCAAGACTCCTAGCCTTCCAGATTTCTGATTTTGGATTTTTTGATTAGGGATGCACAACCAGTAAGTATAATACATATATTCCAAAATCCATCCCCCCTCAAAAATCCATAATACTTCTGGTCCCAGGCATTTCAGATAAGGGACACTCAACTTGCATAGCTTTTATGGATGTATTGGTGCTTGCTCAGGCATTTAAGCTGATCCTAGGCTGATCTTTTTAAAAAAAAAAAATCTGAGCTCTGTTATTATGTGGCTCTAGGACCACTTCTGTGCAGAAACATAGCTGCAGTGCACTTGGGCACAAACAGACATCAGGCTATTTGTAAAATATATTAATATTCTGAAATAGTGATATACATGTAAAATATATTTATATGTTAATATATGTAAAATATATTTATATGTTAATATTAATATATGTAAAATATATTTATGTTAATATATGTAAAATATATTTATATTTTAAAATATTAATATTAAAATATTAATATTTTAATGACCTTTATCACCTAGACATTTGAAATCCAACAAAACATGGGCTACCTTTAAATCAACAATGCATCATGGCCAGCAATCTCAACTATTAGTTGTACTGTTTGTTCATACTACAGCCCAATCTGTTGACTGCTGCAAGTTTTAGTAGCCACATAACTCTACTTTCCATCAAACTCTTGCCTTCACAGCAGTGGCCTCCCCGCCCCCCTGCCCCTGCCCCAGCTGGTCCTTGTTATAGTCTTGAGAGCCACCCCAGAAACAGACTCATTCTTCTTTTGCATGACAACCCTTCAAATACCAAGTGGCAACCTAAACTGCTTAAAGACAACTACCATATCTTCACCTATTCTTCTCTATAAAGCAAGCATCCCCAATCCCATCTCGGATTCATTACAGTATGTATTCTGGAGTCCCATTGAGATCCCGGTTCTTGCCTCCAAATGTCCTCTGTGGGATCTCAAGGTGAGGAAAGCAGGACCGAACCCCACGCTTCATCTGTGTGGAAGTCAGGAGTTCAAGACCAGCCTGGCCAATGTGGTGAAACCCCATCTCCACTAAAAATACAAAAAATTAGCCAGGCGTGGAGGCGGGTGCCTGTAATCCCAGCTACTCAGGAGGCTGAGGCAGGAGAATCACTTGAACCTGGGAGGCAGAGGTTGCAGTGAGCCAAGATCACACCATTGCACTCCAGCCTGGGCAACAAGAGCAAAACTCCATCTCAAAAAAAGAAAAGAAAAGAAAAAAAGAAACAGCAAGGATAGGAGGATAATTACTTATTTTGATATGATGCAATACCTCTAACAGTGCAGCCTCCAAGTAAAATTCGCATTATTGATAGTCCCATCATTCTGTGGATCCACATCCAAGCTCAAGTCTGTCACCTGCACCTGTGCTGGAAACTGGTCCTGCTCTTGTCACACTTTTCTTCTCTTGTTTTTGTATAGTTGATTGTTTGGATGCAAATGCAGGACCTTACAATTGTTTCTGCTAAATCTCATCGTGTTGGATTCGGCCTAATTGTCTCAGCCTGTCAAGACCTTTTTGGATCTTAATTCCATCAGGCACTGGCTTCAGGGAAGCACTGCTAAAACTTTTCAACACAATAAAGTGGGGGACAGAGCCCTGGGGCACGTTACTGGGAGTCTTCCTTTGGGCATAATTATTCACCCAGTCCTACTTCTACCTAATTGCAGTAGCATCCAGCTCATATTTTTCTATCTTAACCACACACATACCAAATTCGTCAATGTAAACTTGTCAAATGCTTTGGTGAAATCCAGATTCACTCTGTCTAAGGCACTCATTTTCCTTTTTTTCAGTACTTTTTTTTTTTGATAAAAGTGAATGTTTCCAGGAACCAACTGTCCCTTTCTGCTTACTGCTTTACAACCAAATGCAACCGTACCTGCTTCGATCTGCCTTTGTAGACAGCTACTATATGTATGACTCTTTTTTAAGAGACAGGGTCTCTTTCTGTCAATCAGGCTGGAGTACAGTGGCGCCATCACGGCTCACTGCAGCCTTGAACTCCTTGGCTCAAGTAATCCTCCTGCCTCAGCCTCTGAGTAGCTGAGACTGCAGGCATGCACCACCAGGCCCAGCTATTTTATTTTATTTTTTTTTTTTGAGACAGAGTCTCACTCTGTTGCCCAAGCTAGAATACAGTGGCACGACCTTGGCTCACTGCAACTTCTGCCTCCTGGGCTCAAGATATTCTCTCGCCTCAGCCTCCCCAGCAGCTGGGATTACAGGCACGTGCCACCATGCCCAGCTAATTTTTTTTTTTTTGTATTTTAGTAGAGATGGGGTTTTACCATGTTGCCCAGGGTGGTTTTGAACTCCTGAGCTCAGGCAATCCACCCACCTCGGCCTCCCAAAGTGCTGGGATTACAGGTGTGAGCCACCACGCCCAGCTGGAACTATAATTCTTAAGTACTTACTCCCCAAGTAGGATGGGTCTGAAATCAAAGGAAAGGCTTCTTCCATGTTTTGGTCAAGTGACGCAGAGATGGGAAAATAGAGGCAGAAATTTAGGTAGAGCCTGACATCTACAGAGCCAAAATAGGTTTCTCCATACCTTTTCTTAGACACAAGGTCTCTCTCTGTCACCCAGGCTGGAGTGCAGTGGTGTGATCATGGCTCACTGCAGCCTCCACCTTCCAGGCTCAAGCTATCCTCCTGCATCAGCCTCCAGAGCAACTGGGACTACAGATGCTATATTACCATGCCCAGCCAATTTTTTCTATTATTATTTTTAATACAGACGAGGTTTTGCTATGTTGCCCAGGCTGGTCTCAAACTCCTGGCCTCAAATGATCCTCCTGCCTCAGCCTCCGGAAGTGTTGGAATTACAGGCATGAGCAACCACTCTCAGCCACTCCATAATTTTTCTATGACTCTCTCAAGCCTCCAGAGCACTCTGGAAAGCAGTATCTTATAAAGAAAAATTTAAAAAAATCAGCTATCTCTCAATAAAAAGTTATAGGGGAATCTGTCAATAAGTTACAACCAATCGCTATGCTAAGGAGGAGTCCAGTGAGCTGACTGCTGATCCACCGAATGGCATGCCTCTCTCATGTACCTGGGCAGCGGCACTTGGTATGCTTGGGCCCCAGGTCCAGCAAGGGCTGACCTCAGACCACCTTCTGCTGTCCTCTTCATCTGCATTTGGTGGCAGATACAGACCAGGAAGGAGTCACAGGCAAGGAAAGTCAGCTGATTCTACACGGCCTTGCAACTTTGCAGAATGTTTTAATTTTTCAAAGTTATTCCCTCTGTATCTGCTTCTGTGTGCTTTGTATCTTAGTCATTATTTACAAGTCTGGCTTGGCTACCAGATAATGAGGTAAACTAAACTAATTCAGCAATCTCATTATCACCAACCAATTTGTGCCCACGTGTTAATGCATAAATATCATCCTCAATTAAAGCTTAAATAGTCAATCTTGGCTAAAATGAACAACGATGGGGCAGGGTGAGGGGAGAGCAATTTCCCTACTTTTTAAATGCAAGCACCTCCACCAGCAAAAGATTTTAAAATATACATGACATTCATTTATTCGCAAATTATATACATACACTATTTACTCATCAAATATTAACAGAGATCTATTCTTAATTTTAGATGAGAAATAGATACGAGAAGGTTCTAATATTTTCTTTTTATACCCCAATGGATTTTTCCCACAACCCTTTAACTACACGCACACCACTTTGAATCCCAGTGGTATCAACCATGATGAAGTTAAACAAATCCTGGATTGTAATCATGGCTTATTGACCTAAACCAAGTCATTCCTCCTCTTTGGGCCTCCTGTTTTGTTTGTTTGTTTGAGACGGAGTCTTACTCTGTTACCCAAGCTGGAGTGCAGTGGCGAGATCTCAGCTCACTGCAACCTCCACTTCATGGGTTCAAGCAATTCTCCTGTCTCAGCCTCTCAAGTAGCTAGGATAACAGACGCCCGCCACCATGCCCAGCTAATTTTTAAATTATTTTTAGCAGACATGGGGTTTCACCAGGCTAGCGAGGCTGGTCTCGAACTCCTGGCCTCAAGTGATCTGCCTGCCTCGGCCTCCCAAAGTGCTGGGATTACAGGCATGAGCCACCGCACTGGGCCGGGCCTCATTTTGCATATTTTTTGTTGGATTAATAATACTCACTTAGCTACCTGACACAAGATGATTAAAGAAAAAATCTCCCAAATGGTTAAACCATCACATAGATGTAAAATAATGCCATTTTTATTATTGTGATTATCTTATTGATTGAGGACGGTGGAAAAACTGGAGGAAATAGGTACACTGAAAACACTTGGAAGTAGATATAGACTGATTCTAAGTTGCAGGAGAGTTCAGAACTGCTTTTGAGTACAATGAAAATTGCTTTCCCATCAAGAACAATTTGGATGGCCATCCAGAGGAGCAGATGCCAGTGCACACAGAGAGGGCAAGTGACACTGCAAAGTGGCTGGAGACGTCCGTGCGGAATCGCAGACTTCAGGAGAACCACTGCAACTGTCAGAACTCTGACCTCAGGATGAGATGTCACAGCCAGGTAATGGGTCCCCGCTGCTCAGGCAGACACCAACCTAATGGGACACTGGCCTTGGTGGATGGGTGTAATGAGGTGACATCTTGGACTAGTTTCCTGAGGCAGTTGTAGCCAAGTATCACCCACCTGGTGGCTTTAAAAAAACAAAACATGACCTAAATGAATGATCTCACAGTTCTGGAGGCCAGAAGTCTGAAATCAGTATCACTGGGGCCAAATCTAAAGCACTCCCTCTGGAGGCTCTAGGGAGCATAAATTCTTTGCCTCTTCCAGCTTGTGGTGTCTCCAGTATCCTTTGGTTTCTGGCTACACCACTCCAATCTCTGCTCCATCTTCACAAGGCCTTCTTTTCTCTGTGTGTCAAATCTCCCTGTGCCTCCCTTGCAGAGGGATACAGGATGGCAATTAGAACCCACCCTGATTATCCAGGATAATCTCCCCCCAAATCCTTAACTTAAAAAGGATTGCAAAGACCTCTTTTCCAAATAAGGTAACATTTACAAGTTCAAAGAGGGAGAGCTTGATATCTTTGGGAGGCCATTTTTCAGCCTACCATACCCCTACCCAATCTCCCTCTATCTTGAGATACTAGGATTCTATGGTTTATGCATAAGCAACAGTATTTGGTACGAATAAAGTAAAGTGTTACATAAGTGGCATAATGAGTGCAAAAGCAGTCAGAAAAGGGAGGGAGAGCCCAACTATGACCTCTTGGGGATGTCCTGAGGTCCTCACCAGGAGTGTCCCTTCCCAAGAACAACATCTGTCCCCAAACTCTATGGGGCACAGAAGAGAGAGATTCCCAGAGCCTGACAGTCTCCAGGCAACTCCCTCTAGCCTTGATCCATCCTATTCTCTATTCTACCTAATATTTTCTAATTGCTTTAGGAAAAATCCTTGTCACTGCAAAGAAAACAGCCTCTCTGTCAAAACTAGTTTGGTCAGTCAACTATAACAACACATATGAAAAGGGAGGGCAGAGGAAGGTGAAATGCCTTTGGGAATGCAGAATCATTATGGCATTCCCATCTTTCTCTCTCCCAAAACGTAAAAACTTGCACTAAAAGAAAAGTTGCACTAGGTCCTCGCTTTTACATTGCTTCCTCAGGAGCAAGGCAGAATATATGAGGTATGTCCTGAGTCAGAGAATGTGTCCAACTGCTGCAGGTCCATGAGGCTCTGCCTGGCCCAGCATTCTGTTGTTTACGGAAACCTCAGAGACTCAGCTAGGTTCTCCTTCCTGATGGCAACCTCAAATATTAAATATATTCCACCTGCTCTTCATAATTATTGGTGATTCATGAATCTGCTTGGGCCCTTTTAGAATTTATTTATTTCTCCCACTTCGTTCTTCTTCAAGGGATATGAAGAGTTCCCTGACTTTATTGTGGCTTTATGAATTAGGATTTAATTTTGTATCCAAAACTTCTCATTCAAGGCAAAAGGGACCACAAGGTATTAATTTCCAAATCTGACATATGATTCTGGGCGAATGCTCTGTACTTACAACATTATAGATTTTAATCTCGTCCCCCTGTTAGACTTTGCCACTTCAGTCTGAAGGGACCAAACTTTGCAGTTTTTATAAGGTCTCCTCCCCTGTCTATAATTCAATTTCTTAAGTCCTATTGGACATTTGGTTCATGAGGCCTGCTGTGAAATAACATAGAAGAGCTTCCAATGCAAAGGCTTAATTGAGTTCACCCAGAAAGTCAAAACAAAACTGGATGGAGAAGATGGCAAAGCAGAGAGCACTAGGAATCTGTTTCCCCACCTGGACAACAATCATGCTGGCAGAATTTGTCCTGTGTGACTATTTTGAAATTCCAGGCTATTGAAGGCTTGCAACTTCCAGGGAAAGGCTTGGTTGGTAAATTGCAGTTAATTTCCATCAATTTCAGCTCTTAGCACAGTAGCCGCTACCCATCCCCTACTCCCAATCCCATGGCAGGGAGATGTGCACATGTTCCTGGAGCAGCTTGCATGCAGCCAGCAGGAATCAGGTTGGGCAAAAAAGCACCCTGTCCTCCAAATATAGGGGTTCCGTGCTCTGACCAGAGAGGTGCAGACAAAGAGGCAGGGGCCACTGTTGCTACACCTCTGCCCATTGTATAAGCTCCACCCCACCCCCAACCCTGCCCTGCAGCTGAAATGATTTCCAGAGGATTTAGAGGCAGCACTATTTTCCCCCGTTTCATTTTTCTCTTTCCATCTTTTGGAAGTCAGACATCAAAGACTAAGATATTTAAAAGCAATCACACATACAGGAGAAATAAGAAAAAAAAATCATGCATATCCATGAAAAGGTGCAGGCTCAGAAAAGACCTGAGAAGACCTTACATTTACACCTCAAACTGATCGTTGGCCCAAAGACAGCCTATGACAATTAAAAAACAAACAAAAACAACAACAAATGCTGGAGAATGGGGAGAATTCAATTTCCAGAGGTACTCCATTATTAGCTTCAAATGTTTAGTTTTCTAACAAAACGTCACAAGACATACAAAGAAACAGGAAAGTATGGTCCATTCAAAGGAAAAAATAATAAATCAACAAAAACTGTCTTTCAAAAAGACCTACTGGTGGAATTAATAGACAAATACTTTAAAACAACCGTCTTAAACATGCTCAAAGAAGGAAGACATAGAGAAAGTCAAGAAAACAATGTTATAAAGAAGATGGGTGATTTGAGCAGGCAGAAGGAAAAAAAGATCAGTGAACTTGAAGCTAGCTTAAAGGAAATTATCACTTCTTCAGAGCAGAAGGAAAAAAAGACTGAAGAAAAGCAAACAGAACATAAAGTATGTGTGAGACATCATCAAGTGGACCAACATATACATTATGGAAACCTGAGAAAGAGAAAAGGGTAGGGGAATATCTGAAGATATAGTGGCTGGAAACTCCCCCAATCTGATGAAAGATATTAATATCAACATCCAAGAAGCTCAATGAACTTCATCTAAGATGAACTCAAAGAGACCCACATCAAGACATACTATAGTCAAACTTTCAAAAGACAAAGAGAAAATCTTGAAAGTGGTGAGAGAGAAGCATATTTCCACACAAATTCCCCAACATGAGTATGAGCAGATTTCTCACCAAAAACTTTAGAGGCCAGAAGGCAGTGGGCTGATATAGCCAATGTGCTATAAGAAAAAAAGCCTGTCAACCAAGAATCCAATATCCAGCAAAACTGTCCTTCAAAAGTGAGGGAGAAATTAAGACATTCCTAAACAAAAGCTGAGGCAGTTTGTTATCACTAGACTTGCCCTGCAACAGATACTAAAGGGAGTCCTTCAGGGTGAAATTTAAGGACACTAGACAGTAACTTGAAGCGATATGAAGAAATAAAGATCACAAAAAAATGGTGCAATTATGTGGGCAATTATAAAATCTAGTATTATTGTAACATTGGTTTGTAACTCTACATTTTGTTTTCTACACAATTTAAGAGGTTAATAATTTTTTAAAAGAAATTATCAATTTATAGTTTTGCCCATATAATGTATAAAGAGGTAATTTTGTGACATCAACATGTAAAAGTGGGGATGAAGTTATAAAGCAGCATTTTTTATATGCTATTGGAGTTAAGCTGGTATAAATCCAAATTAGAATGTATAACTTTAGTATGTTAAATATAATCCCCATGGTAACTACAAAGAAAATAGACATAAAATATATACAAAAGAGAAATGAGAAAATAATTTAAATATTTCACTACAAAAAGATCACTACACACAAAAGAAGACAGCAATTCAGGAAATGATGGACAAAAAGCTTTAAGACACATGGGAAACAAATAGGTGAATGACAGAAGTAATTACCTACTTATCAGTCAATCTAAAAAAGGAAGGAAATTCTGACATGTGCTACAATATGGGAGAAACTTGAGGATTTTATGATAAGTGAAATAAGCCACTCATAAAAAGACAAATATTGCATGATTCCATTTATATGAGATACTTACAGAGTAGTCAAATGCATAGAGACAGAAAGTGTCTATGGTTGACAGGAACTGGGGGGAAGGGAGAATGGGGTTATTGCTTAATGAGTACAGTTTCAATTTTCCAAGAAGAAAAACGTTATGAAGATGGACAGTAGTGATGCTTATTAAACAATATTTACTTGCTTATTTCCACTGAACTATATACTTCGAAATGGTTACAATGGTAAAATTTATATTATGTTTATTTTACACAATAAACAAATGGAAAACAAAAACAGTTGTAGTGCCTCCAGTAAGATCTGCTTTCCTTTTGCTTTTCTGTGGCTTCAAAAACCTACAATTTCAGACTACAAGTGTGGTGATTAAACACCAGCCTGGAGAAAAAGGGGAGGGGAATAATAAAAGTGTTTATCTGTGTGGAATTAGGGCTGCATTTAGTCCTTTCTTTCTTTCTTTCTCTCTGTCTTTTTCCTTCCTGTCTTCCTTCTCCCCTCCCCTCCCCTCCCTTCTCCTCTCCTCTCCTCTCCTTTCCTTCCTTTTCGGGACAGGATCTCATTCTGTCACCCAGGCTGGAGTGCAGCAGCACAAACATGGCTCACTGCAGTTTCAACTTTCTGGACTCAAGTGATCCTGTCACCTCAACCTCCTGAGTAGCTGGGACTACCTGTGTATGCCACCATGACTGGCTAATTTTTTAATTGTTTTCTAGAAATGAGGTCTTACCATGTTGTCCAGGTCAGTCTTGAATTCCCCAGCTCAAGCAATCCTCCTGCCTTGGCCTCACAGAGTGTTGGGATTGCAGGGAAAAGCCACCATGCCTGGCCTGGTCCCTCTTTCAATAAATATTTGATCAGCACCTATTAGGTGCAAGGAGTCGGATAAGAACTGGGGAGAATCAAGTGTCAGGTCTCTGCCCTGAAGAAACTAACCATCGTATAGCAGGTTAAAACATGAACAAAACTACTGTATTAGTCTTTCTAGATCAGACAGTCAAAACCAGCCTTCGGTTGATTAATTGAGAAAGCGAACCAGTGAGGAGATATAAAAGATCATGTTTTGGGTTCAGAGAAGAAAAATATCATATTGGACCCATGAACGAAAATGTTTCCAGAGAGAAGACACAGTCTGATATAGGTCTCAGAGGAAACACAGTGCCCTAGTCATAGCGGCAGGACCTCTCAGGGCCACCTCAATGACTCTTTGTGACCAGTTCCCCTCTGCCATTAACAGATGAGCAAATATACCTTGTTTTTTTGAGACAGGGTCTCGCTCTGTCAACCAGGCTAGAGTACAGTGGTGCAATCTTGGCTCACTGCAACCTCTGCCTCCCACGTTCAAGCGATTCTCCTGCCTCAGCCTCCTGAGTAGCTGGGATTACAGGCACCCACCACCACTCCAGACTAATTTTTGTATTTTTAGTAGAGATGGGGTTTTGCCGTGTTGGCCAGGCTGGTCTCGAACTCCTGACCTCAGATGATCCGCCCACCTTGGCCTCCCAAAGTGTTGGGATTACAGGCTTAAGCCACTGCACCTGGCCCCAAATCTACCCCTTTTACAGGAAACCTGGCATCAGATTCAGTGCCCTGACAACCTACTTGCCAAGCCCACAAACATTCACTTACTCCACTAATCAACAAATACTCATGAGATGTCTACCATGTGTAGGACATTTAGGCTGGGAACCTGGGGAACCAAACATAAATCGGAGTAGATCACACTTCGAAGAAGTTAATAGTCTCATGAGATAAGATCTATAAATAAACAGAAGTCAAAAACTTATTAATTAAATGGTATGAAAACAAAGAATGGAAGCATTACTTCTAGCCACATTGGAGACCCAGGAGAGCTGATGGTGTCATTCCAGTCCAAAAGTCTCAGGAGGGCTGAGGCCCAAGAAAAGCCAAGATTTCAGCTTGAGTCCAAAGTCAAGAAAAGACTGAGGTCCCAGCTGAAGCAGTCAGGCAGGAGGAGCTCTCTCTAAGTCAGGGGACGGTCAGCCCTTTGTTCAGTTCAGAACTTCAACTGGTAAGATGAGGCCCACCCACTAGTGGGAAGATAATCTGCTTTACACAGTCTACCTATTTAACTGTTAATCTCATCCTAAAGCACCCTCACAGCAACATCTAGAATAATGTTTGACCAAATATCTGGGAACCCGGTGGCCCAGTCAAGTTGACACATAAGATTAACCACCTCAAGCAGGAATAAAGACAATCAGGCTGAAAGTTAAAATGCATAGGCTGGAACATCTCACCTTTTAGTTCAGCTGAAACAAAGTCTCTATCTTTAGAGAATTTTGGAACTTACCTAGTTTACTGTAGTTTTCTGTCTACCGGTTGAACCTGTGCCTTACTCTACAGCCTACCCTGAAGGGTGACGGCCACAGAGAAAGTGCTCAGTAAACACTTTGTGGGAAATTAATGCTCCTCTTCCAGCCTGTGTTGACCAGCTTTGTCCCTGTCTTGGCCTGGGTGACAATGCTCAAGCCCAACCCTGGCCCTGCTCAGCTCCATCCCTGCACCAGCGTATTCAGATTCCCTGTGACACTGGTGGCTTCTCACTGTCAAGTTTGCTCCTTTTGTCTGATAGCTGCATCTGGCCCCCTGCCCTATCTTCAAAGCCCTCAGGCCATGGGAGGTTAGGTTTCAACAAATAGAGACATCTGGGTGTCAGGGGAAGCTAAACAGCAGAGAGAACAAATGTGCTGGGGAGGAAGGGTAAAAGTTCTCAAGGATCTGAGAGTGGATGTCTCTCTGGGGCACAGGGCATAGGCACTCATGGGCATGGGGGAGAGGGGGTGTCAGGAGGAGAGGAAGGATAAAGCCCAGGACAGATGAGGCCAATTCATTTATTCCATAAATACTTCTTGAGCACCTATGAAATGCCAAGCTCTGTCCTAGGCTAATAGAGAAGCAAGCTCAGTGAAAATCTTCAGGGGTGCAAAGCTCACAGTGGCCAAGGACCTCATTTCAAAATGTGAAACTGCAACAGCCAAAAAGAGCTAATGCATGCTGGACTTAATACCTAGATCATGGGTTGATAGGTACAGCAAACCACCATGGCACACGTTCACCTAGGTAACAAACCTGCACATCCTGCACATGTACCCCGGAACTTAAAAAATTAAAAATTAAAAAAAAAAAGCAGGCCAGGTGCGGTGGCTCACTCCTGTAATCTCAGCACTTTGGGAGGCCGAGGCGAGCAGATCACTTGAGGTCGGGAGTTCGAGACCAGCCTGACCAACATGGAGAAACCCCGTCTCTACTAAAAATACAAAATTAGCCAGGTGTGGTGGCGCATGCCTGTAATCCCAGCTACTTGGGAGGCTGAGGCAGGAGAATCGCTTGAACCCGAGAGGCGGAGGTTACAGTCAGCCGAGATCACGCCACTGCACTCTGGCCTGGGGAACAAGAGTGAAACTCCGTCTAGAAAAAAAAAAGCAAAAAAAAAAAAAAAAAAAAAAAAAAAAAAAAAAAAGCAAAGACATGCCCTCCTGCTGTCTGTCCAGTTGACACCCACTTCTCCAGAATGAAAACAGTAGTGGGCAGCCACTCCTCAGAGACTATCTCCTATCCTTTGGAAAATTCTTTTGCAAATCTAAAACCAATTCCAGGTTGGGTGAAGGGAACTTTGAGAAGGTTACTGGATTGGGCCAGGATACTAGACCAGCAAGGAACAGAAACAAGTTGAAAACACATCGTTCTAAGTGTCTCCAGTATCCTTTCTCTCTCTTTTATTTATTTGTTTTGTTTTTTATTTTTTATTTTTTTTGAGACAGAGTCTTGCTCTGTCACCCTGGCTGGAGTGCAGTGGTACCTCTTTCTCTGCCTCTTGCTACAGCAAAACCAAGAATCAAAACCAAGGGAGAAGTATTTCTTTGATACACAAATTTCTTTCCTTTGGATAAATACCTAGTAGTAGTGGCATTGGTGGGTGGTATGGTAGTTCTGACCGTTACACCTTCTATGCATGTAACAAAACATCACCAGGACTCCATACGTATTTGCAAATATTATGTATCCATAAAAAATAAAATTGGAATTCACAGTTCTGAAATCAAACAGGAGGACACTAGCTGGGGCAAAGAAGGAATATTTATTTTATTTTATTTTATTTATTTTGAGACGGAGTCTCGCTCTGTCGCCCAGGCTGGAGTGCAGTGGCACAATCTTGGCTCACTTGAATCTCTGCCTCCTGGGTTCAAGCGATTCTCCTGCCTCAGCCTCCTGAGTAGCTGGGATTACAGGCGTACACCATCACGCCCAGCTAATTTTTGTATTTTTAGTAGAGACAGGGTTTCTCCATGTTAGCCAGGCTGGTCTCGAACTTCTGACCTCAAGTGATCTGCCCGCCTCGGCCTCCCAAAGTGCTAAGATTACAGGCATGAGCCACTGTGCCCAGCTCTTTTCTCTCTTTTTTATTCTCTTCCTTTTCCCAACCCCTGTCTCTCTTCAAAGGAGTCTTGTTTTCCCTGGACAAAATCTATAGGAATGTGTGTATATGTGTTTGCAAACCAGGATCTCACACAGATAGGTGTGTGTCCAAGGGGACAAATGACACTGGTGAAATAAGACCACACCCATTGTGCTTGCATTTGATCATCGTGCTCCCAGGGACAAGAGAGGCAGTCAGCAAACCAAAGCCATCACTTTGCAGACTATTTTCCAGCAAGATGCTTTCCTTCCTTTCTATGCCAGGTACCTGATAATTGTCACTTACAGACTGTTGGAAACATCGAGGCTCCTCCTGCCCCCTGAAATTCTCCTCACCTGTCAAACGCTGAGAGAGGAGCACAAGGCTTCTAGACAGTTTCCAAAATGAAGTTGTGCTAGGCCCACAGGTCTATGTCTGGAAGGTACAGTTGCCATAGCAATCCCGGCTAATGACTAGGTATGTAAATGAGGGAAGAATCTATTCATCATTTGCCAGTTGTTCCAAGTGCTTGCCCTTTTGGAAGCTTAGGGGAGCGAGGAGTGGTGTGTTAGAAAAGCATATGTTTGGTAAAATTTTTGAATAAATGTTTGCTTTCAGAGCTCCCCATGAGAAATGATTATTTTGGGTGGTATCCTCATAGAGTGGTTTACTCTGCAGCTACCCCGAGAAGGGAATGAGGATTAACCAAAAACACATACGACGATCCCACCTGTACTCTGGGTCCCTCTGGGAAAACTGCAGCCATCACTTTTATCACAAGCAGTGGGTTTTTGGTCCTCTTGGGTAGTTGGGAGTCTTAAGTAAGGCCTCAGAGACTCGCAAGCTGTCCCTGGCAGCAGATGAGCAGTATCTGACTTCTCCTCCCCTGATTCCTAATTAAAATGCCCATGAAAATCCATAAACAGACAAAAACTGGCAACAGTAACTGATACTGGAGACAACCAAACACTGAAGCCCAGATTCCCAGATTGTCGAGCAACTCTACTGCCCAGGAGAGGAACCGAGAAGGGCCCCTCCGCCTTCTGAGTAAGAACACTGTCAGGGAGGGTCGGGCGCAGTGGCTTGTGCCTGTAATCTCTGCACTTTGGGAGGTCACCAAGGCGGGCAGACCACCTGAGGTCAGGAGATGAAGACCAGCCTGGCCAACATGGTGAAACCCCACCTCTACTAAAAATACAAAAATTAGTTGGGCGTGGTGGCAGGCACCTGTAATCCCAGCTACTTGGGAGGCTGAGGCAGGAGAATCGCCTGAACCTGGGAGATGGAGGTTGCCGTGATCACGCCATTGAACTACAGCCTGGGTGATAGAGTGAGATTCCGTCTCAAAAAACAAAACAAACAAACAAACAAAAAACAGCCAGGGAGACAAAGATGAGAAAGGAAGCTGCCCGTCTGTACTGGAAGTCAGTCCTGTTGAGCACTTGCTTTACTCGGCTGCTGCAGTTTCGCATTTTGAAATGAGGTCCTTACGAAATGCCAGGCTCTATTCTAGGCTAATAGAGAACCAAGCTCAGTGAATTCTTCAAGGATGCAAAGCTCACAATGGCTGAGGACCTTCAAGGATGCAAAGCCGAGTAAAGCAAAGACATCATTGTTCAGATCATACTGGGAGACCTCGGGCAATCGACTTAATTTCTCTGTGCTTCCGTGTTCTCATCTGGAAATGAGAACAATAAAAGAACCTACTTCCTAGGGTTACTGTGTGGATAACATCGAGTTAAGATATGTAAGAGGAGTCTATTCCCACTAGAATATAAACTCCATATAAAACCAAGGTGTTAATTTGACCAGGTCTTCCTGACCTGCTTGCTTTTGGCCACTTGCTTTTTATTATTTTTGTTACTTTTCCTTTTGCCACGTAGCTCACGGCCACACAGCTATTAAGTTGGTACGAGAGTAATTGGTGTTTGCCATTTTGAAAGTAATGGCAAAAACCGCAATTACTCTCGCACCAACCTAATAAATGCTGAAACTTAATGAAGGTTAAGTGAAGACTGGCTACTGTACAGGTCATTCCTACATTTCTGGGTCACCATGGTCGTAGTCGCTTCTGTTGTTTTTTAGGAACTTGGGCCAGCTCCTGACCAGTTCAGACTCACTGAAACCACTGGCCCTTCAACTAGGCCTGTGCAAATGCCCAAGAGGTTGCCTTTTTCCTTTTTTTTTTTTTTTTTTTTTTTTTTGGAGACAAGGCCTCACTCCGTCGCCCAGGCTGGAGTGCTGTGGCGTGATCTCGGCTCACTGCAGCCTCCACCTCCTGGGTTCAAATGATTCTCCTGCCTCAGCCTCCCGAGTAGCTGGGATTACAGGCATCTGCCACGATGCCCAGCTAATTTTTGTATTTTTAGTAGAGATGGGGTTTTGCCATGTTGGCCAGGCTGGTCTCGAACTCCTAACCTCAGGTGTTCTGCTCGCCTCGGCCTCCCGAAGTGCTGGGATTACAGGCGTAAGCCACCGCACCTGGCCCAAGAGGTTGCCTTTTGACATCAGTGGGTGAAAAACCCCACCTTCAGATCATACTAATGCCACGTTTACTGTAAACATGTCCTATGAAATGCCATGAACCCAACTACACCTGTGCAGAACGAACCTGTTACTTCATTTTTTTCCCCACCACTAATCACTTTTCCCTATGCCTTAAAACCACCCCACTTGCCTAACTCACAAATAATCCTTTAGCCTTATCTTTGGGGAAGTGGATTTGGCAGCTGTTCTCCTGCCTCCTCACTCCGTGCCCTTGCAAATAAATCTTTTCTCTTTTGCAAAACCCGTGTCACAGGGATTGATTTACTGCGTGCAGGCAGAACAGACCCGGACCTGGCAGGTAACACACAGAGGGAGGGATTTTGTTTGTTTCATTTGTGGATCTATGCCAAGTGCCTGGGATGGCACATAGAGGGTGTTCAACTAATGTCTGTGGAATGAACAAGCTGGTTGTTAATTGTGAATGTGGGGTGTAGAGGGTAGAAGCAGGATAAGACAGTCCCTAGTGTACTGTGCCCTGGGGTATTTGACAGAAAAGGAAAGCTGTCAGCACAAGAATGAGGAAGTGCCTGCTGAACAAGGTGTGCTAGGAGGGGTGGGTTTCCACACAGACTCCAGGCAGGAAGGCACCACGCACCCTGTATGCTCTGATAGGTCAGAGAACTGGGCAGAGGTACCTGGAATGGGAAAGACGCCTGCTAAGATCAGCAAACCACTCTTTTACTAGCCCAGGGGAAGCTGATGGCTGTTCTCAACAGGTTTGAGATCGTGTTAGTGTGCGTATTACAGAGAAAGGATACTGGAGACACTTAGGTGCATTTTCAGCTTGTCCCTGTTTGTTGCTGGTCTAGTATCCGGGCCCAATCCAGTGACCTTCTTAAAGCTCCCTTCGCCTAATCTGGAATTGGTTTCAGATTTGCAAATGAGAACTTTCCGAGGGATAGCTGAGGACAATGCACCCACGCTCACTTTTCGCAATTGATCATGTCAGGCCTGGACATTTGTTCCTCATTTAAGGACTGATGTACAGCAGTGAGAGCATTCTATCTGCAGGGTGTGTGAAGGATTTTGCTATGGAAAAAACCATCTTCAGAAACAGCATACTCTTGACACAAACTGTACCACAGAAACCAAAAGAAACATAGTAGAAAGGGTCTAGGTTATGTTAGCAGAAACTTCTAGAAAACATGAACTGTGAAAGACAAGCCAAAAGAAACTAGGGGAAATTCAATTACGGTTAGAATTGCAGGAAGTCACAAGACCCTATCTCCCTCACCCCAACAATGAGAACAGTTGGCATAAGATGCAAAATCATAGGGTGTGTGTGTGTGTGTGTTTGTTTTTGGTGTGTGTGTTTTTTTTCTTTGAGACAGAATCTTGCTCTGTTGCCCAAATGCAATCATAGCTCACTACAGCCTCCAACTCCTGGGATCAAGCAATCCTCCCTCCTCAACCTCCTGAGTAGCTGGGACTACAGGTGTGCACCACCATGCCGAGCTAGTTTTTATCTTTTTGTAGAGACGAGGTCTCACCAGGTTGCCCAGGCTGGTTTCAAATTCCTAGGCTCACGTGATCCTCCTGTCTCAGCCTCCTAAAGTGCTGGGATTACAGGTATGAGCCCTGCTAAGAAACCTACTGAGAACAGCCATTAGCTCCTCCCTGGACTAGCCAGAACTCATCCAGATGGCTTCTTAATTGGAGCGGGCATCTCTCCTACCCCAGATACCTCTGCTGAGCCTGATTTATCTTTCTAATCCATCAAAGAGCTAAGAAATAAAGAAATCTAAAAAAGATAAATTCTGCAAAGTGATGAGTCCTTCCTAGCAGAGAAGAGGCTCCCAGAGGTTTTCATTCATGGTAGACATGGGCTTCAAGAGGAGGCTGCCTAACCTGGAACAAACCTTTTTTTTTCTTTTGAGACAGAGTCTTGCTCTGTTGCCCAGGCTGGAGTGCAGTGGTGCAGTCTCGGCTCACTGCAACCTCTGCCTCCTGGGTTCAAGCGATTCTCCAGCCTCAGCCTCCCGAGTAGCTGGGATTACAGGCATGTGCCACCGGGCCGGCTAATTTTTGTATTTTTAGTAGAGACAGGGTTTCACCACGTTGGTCAGGCTTATCTCGAACTCCTGACCTCAGGTGATCTGCCCACCTCACCCTCCCAAAGTGTTGGGATTACAGGTGTGAGCCACCTCGCTCCGCCGGAACAAACTTTTAACAGCTGCTGTGACAGAGTCACATTCCAAAATGCCGCAGCGGAACAGCATGCTGTACCCACCACTACTTTAGTCCTTAGACCTTAACTGGGTGCAGGCAGTTAGTACGGTGAAGGTTGGATAGGGCAGGAGAGCTGAGGGAAATCCCTCTGAGACCCTCCCTCCATGGCTGAGGTCCCTCCTGCACCTGCTCTTTGAGGACTAGAAACAGAATGGAAGGAGACCTCCTGAAAACCCAGAAAACCATGGTGGAACTGGACAGAAAAAGACAGTGAGCAAAATGTCAGCATGGTTCAGAAAGCTTGGCAGCTCCACTATAAAGCATAAAGACATCTGCAGAGTTTTCTCATTGCTCGCATCACAAGCTCTGCAAAACAGAAAGTCCTGATGTTACCCTCGAAATCTTTGAAGTTGCTGTGAACCAACTTCAACTAAAGCTGTAACAGAACTCCTATCCAACTCAACTACGGATTACATTGCGTGAAAGCCTGACTCCAGTGCCTGGCAGGAGGGTTCTGCCATTCTTTGGTGCGTAGATTTTATTTATTTTAGACTTGCAGGGTTTTCTTACATGCAGTATCTGGCATTCAATCAGGAATTATGAGAAGATGCAAGAAAGCAGGCCAGGTGTGGTGGCTCATGCCTGTAATCCCAGCACTTTGGGAGGCTGAGGAGGGCAGTCACCTGAGGTCAGGAGTTCGAGACCAGCCTGGCCAACT
Source organism: Homo sapiens (assembly GCF_000001405.40). Classification (NCBI taxonomy): domain Eukaryota; kingdom Metazoa; phylum Chordata; class Mammalia; order Primates; family Hominidae; genus Homo; species Homo sapiens. Next base: position 72,083,018 of record NC_000007.14, read on the forward strand.
TGGCGAAACCCTGTCTCTATTAAAAATACAAAAATTAGCCAGGTGTGGTGGCGGGCGCCTGTAATCCCAGCTACTCGGGAGACTGAGGTGGGAGAATCGCTTGAGCCTGGGAGGCGGAGGATGCAGTGAGCCGAGATCGCACCACTGCACTCCAGCCTGAGAAACAGACAGAGACTCTGTCTCAAAAAAAGATGCAAGAAAGTGTGACTGATATGCAAGAGAAAATTTCACAGAAGCAGACTTAAAAGATGGTCCAGATGTTGTAAGGATCAGAATTTAAAATAAGTATGATAAATGTGCCAAAGATCTCATGGTGAAATACAAAATGTGAACAAATTGGGGGTTTGAGCAGAGATATGGAAATTATTTAAAAAGAAATAGTGAGACCCCCATCTCTACAAAAATTGTGTTTAAAAATCAGCCAGGTGAGGTGGCATGTGCCTGTAATCCTAGTGCTTTGTAAGGCCGAGACAGGAGGATCACTTGAGCCCAGGAGCTTGAGGCTGCATCGAGCTATGATCATGCCACTGCACTTCAGCCTGGGTGGCTGAGCAAGACCTCATCTATAAAAAAAATAAAAATAAAAATAAATGAAAATGCAAGGAATAAAAAATACATATAGGCCAGGCACAGTGGCTCACACCTGTAATCCCAGCACTTTGGGAGGCCGAGGCAGGCAGTTCACGAGGTTAAGAGATCGAGACCATCCTGGCCAACATGGTGAAACCCCCTCTCTACTAAAAATACAAAAATTAGCTGGGCATGGTGGCATATGCCTGTAGTCCCAGCTACTTGGGAGGCTGAGGCAGGAGAATCGCTTGAACCATATCTAAGTACAGCACAGACTGCCAAAAACTTGCAAAAAAAACCTTAAAGACAGTCAATGGGAAAGACATACTACATAACAATCGCTGGGTGTGGTGGCTCACGCCTGTAATCCCAGTACTTTGAGAGACCAAGGTGGGTGGATCACTTAAGGTCTGGAGCTCAAGACCAGCCTGGCTAACATAGTGAAACCCTGTCTCTACTAAAAATACAAAAATTAGCTGGGCATGGTGGTGTGCACCTGTAGTCCCAGCTACTCAGGAGGCTGAGGCAGGAGAATCGCTTGAACCTGGGAGGCAGAGGTTGCAGTGAGCCAAGATCACGCCATTGCACTCCAGCCTGGGTAACAGAGTAAGACTCCATCTCAAAAAGCAAAACAAAACAAAACAAAACAGATTACACTTAGAATAACTAAAACTTTGTACAGGGGAAACCAAACCTCAACTTCTACCACACTCCACATATGAAAACTAATTTCTAATGGCTCACAGACCTAAAAGTAAAAGCTAAAACCATAAATCTTCCAGCAGAAAATGTAGTAAAATTTTTTTTTTTTTTTTCTGGCATGCAGTGGGCTGATCTTGGCTCACACTGCAACCTGCGCCTCCCGGGTTCAAGCAATTCTCCTGCCTCGGCCTCCCAAGTAGCTGGGATTACAGGCACCCACCACCATGCCCAGCTCATTTTTTTGTATTTTTAGTAGAGATGGGGTTTCACCATGTTGGCCAGGCTGGTCTCAAACTTCTGACCTCATGTGATCCACCCGCCTCGGCCTCCCAATGTGCTGGGATTACGATACTTTTGTAACATTGATGCAGGCAGAGATTTTTTTCAACAGGAACCAAAGAGTACTGAACATGAAAGAAAAAAGTGATAAACTGGATTTAATCAAAGTTTCAAATGTCTGCTCATCAAAAGATACTACAGTAGTTCCCCCTCACCTGTGGATTCACTTTCTGCGGCTTCAGTTACCCCTTGGTTAACTGGTCAACTGCGGTTGGAAAATATTAAATGGAAAATTCCAGATATAAACAATTCATAAGTCTTCAACTGCACACTGTTCTGAGTAGCGTGATAAAATCTCATGCCATCCCACTCCAACTTGCCAGAGACGTGAATCACTCCTTTGTCCAGCATATCCAAGCTGTCTATACTACCTGCCCGTTAGTCACTGCTGCCATCTACTTTTGACATTGTCATGGCTCCATGATGACCAGGATCACCGAAGCACATGATCCTCTTTCTGACTTACGGTCAGAAGGTCAATAGCAGCCAAACGCTATGTCATTATGCCCACGCCATTCACCTCCATCTCATCACAAAGGCACTTTATCATCTGACATTATCACAAGAAGAACATGGCAGCTCAAGCCTGTGATCCCAGCATTTTGGGAGGCTGAGGTGCAAGGATTGCTTGAGACCAGGAGTTTCAGACCAGCCTGGGCAACACTGCAAGACCCCATCTCTACAAATTTTTTAAAAATATTTTAAAAAGGGGAGTACAGTATAATAAGATATGTTGACAGAAAGGGAAATCACATTCACATCCTTTTTTTACAGTATATTGTTAAGATTGTTCTATTTTATCATTAGTTATTGTAATCTCTTACTGCACCTGATCTATAAATTTAACTTTATTATAACTATTTATGTATAGGAAAAAGCATAGTATATACAGGGTTTGGTATTATGCACAGTTTAAGGCATCTAATGAAGCTCATAGGGCATATGCCCCTTGGATAAGGAGGGGTTATTATATTAAGACATGAAATGTAAGCCACAGAGTGGGAAAAATTATTTGTCAAGGGACTACTTGGGGTAATAGAAATGTTTTATACTTTGTATTGGAATAAGTGTTTTACTGCTGTTTATAATTGTCAAAATTCATCAAACTGAACTCAAGAGCTTTACATTTTACGGTATTTGAATTATGTCTCACTTAAAAAGTAAAAAATCAGGTGGTACAGGCTGAGATGAAAAAGAGGCTGAAGAAAACAAAGAAAAAATACAACAAACTAGAATAACTCCTAGCAGAATTAAAATCCACAATGCAAATCTTCCCTCCAAAAATTGACCTAACACCACTATTAATCAAGACAGTGATATAATTCTCTGGGTAAAAATAGATGTATAAGGAAAATCATCTGAAAGTCAGGTTACGAAAAAAGAGATAAAAAAATATATAAAGTTAGAGATCTCAAAGATGATATATTTACAGAATTAAAGAACATTAAAATATAAAAGAATGGCAAGTATACATTTATGTTAATACATATGAAATCCAAAAGAAATCAGTGATTTCTGAAATGAATAGATCATTGGATCCACTAAAGAAAATGATCACTTGTGTACATTAATGAACGTGACATAAACTAAATATTGTTAAAGAACTGTCCTAAACTGTTTTAAGTTTCATGTGATTTCACAGAAATATGTGTTCAAATACTCGAAAATGGTTATTATGTAATCTCTTCCAGTGCAAAAAAGATGGAAAAGTCCCAAATACCCTATACATTTCGCCTAACCCTGGTATTAAAAACCTGAAAATGGAAAGAAAATGAAATGGATCAATTATTGTAGTTGTTATTATTATTATTATTGTTATTATTAGAGAGGAGTCTTGCTCTGTTGCCCAGGCTGGAGTGCAATGGCATGATCTTGGCTCACAGCAACCTCTGCCTCTGGAGTTCAAGCGATTCTCCCACCTCTGCCTCCCAAGTAGCTGGGACTACCGGCCCGTGCCACCATGCCTGGCTACATTGTATTTTTTTGGTAGAGATGAGGTTTCAGCATGTTGGTCAGGCTTGTCTCAAACTCCTGACCTCAAGTGATCCACCTGCCTCAGCCTCCCAAAGTGCTGGGATTTTTACACAGGCGTGAGCCACTGCACCTGGCCCAATTATTTTTATGGATATATTTGCAAAACCTAAATTAAAAAATAAAAAAATAGTCAAACTTAACAGGATATAGAGAGAGAAGCTCAGCTAAAGAGAAGTAATCCATGAACTGTAGCAGTTTTTCAATTATCGTAAATTCAATTAAATAAGGGTCAAATAATAAAAGTCAAATAATGAAAAGACCTGACTTCATCATGAAGTCAAATAATAAAAATTACATGATTATCTCAATAGACGTCAAAAAGTTACTCAAAGTTGTTACTGACTTAAAAAGAAAAAAAGGGTAAACTACAAGTAAGATATTACCCTAACCATAATAAATAATGTCCATCTCAGACAACAATCGATGTAATTTTCAAGTTTAAACTCAGAACTCTGGGGAACAGTACTATTAAAGTCAGAAACAAAAGAGCGTCTGAAATAACAATTACTATTGTTTTGATCTAAATGTTTCACCCACTGAAATAGGCCAGAAATGAAAAATAAGAAGTACCTCTCATAGCACAGACCCAGAACCTCAGGGAGCATTTTGTTACTACAAGAAATGCCTTTGGGAGGCCAAGGCGGGTGGATCACGAGGTCAGGGGTTTGAGACCAGCCTGGCCAACATGGTGAAACCCTGTCTCTACTAAACGTACAAAAATTAGCCGGGCACGCTGGTGTGCTCCTATAATCCCAGCTACTTGGGAGGCTGAGGCAGCCACCACCAATCAATCGTCTGACTCAGCAACTGCCCAGCTCTAAAACAGATCCACCAAAGAGTGTTAGAAAAGTATCTAGTTTATGTCCTCGACAACTAACTAAAAGATGTCACATCAGCCAGATTAGAAAAGCGACAAGAGATAATTCCACAGAGAGGAGAAAGCATTGTTACAAAAATGAAATCCAGTGATCAGTAGACTACTCACTGGAAAACCTCCAAGTAGTGAAGCAGGAAATATATGTATGAGAATATAAAAGGCTGAGGAAAAACATAGAGAAAGAACAGCTATGAGGGGTATTGGAAGGCCATAGCCCAGGATCTAAGCTGTGGATAAGGCTAGTAAGAGAGATTGAAATATGTGGAGCAAAAGCAAAAAACAAAAAAGGGTTGAACAAATGTTTTCCAGAAAGAAAACTCGGTCTAAAAATTGAGAGTGTACGCTGGGCGTGATGGTGCACGCCTGTAATCCCAGCACTTTGGGAAGCAGAGACAGGAGGATCACTTGAAACCAGGAGTTTGGAAACAGCCTGGAAAACACAGTAAGACCCCGCCTCTACCAAAAAGAAATTGAAAAAATTTGCCAGGTGTGGTTGCACGCGTCTGTAGTCCCAGCTACTCTAGAGGCTGAGGCAGGAAGATCGCTTGAGCCCAGGAGTTTGAGGTTACAGTGAGCTTTGATTGCACCACTGCGCTCCAGCCTGGGACACAGAGTCAGACCCTGTCTCTAAAAACTGAGAGTGTGAATCATATTCCAAGGAACCACAACAACAACATAACACCAGGCACCACCACTACTAGAACACACAGATGAATATGAACTGGTGACATTTTCAAACTTCCTGGATAATGATTACATCCTAAGCCAAATTAGATTATTCACAAGGAAGGAAAAGCAGGTTATCACAAACTTAACAATATTAAACCCTAACAATAATGAAGGAGCACTCGTAGACCTTCAAAAGAAAAGGGTTATGGGCCGGGCGCAGTGGCTCACACCTGTAATCCCAGCACTTAGAGAGGCCCAGGCAGGTGGATCACCTGAGGTCAGGAGTTGGAGACCAGCCTGGCCAACATGTTGAAACCCCATCTGTACTAAGAATACAAAAATTAGCCAGGCATGGTGACGCGTGCCTGTAATCCGACCTACTCGGGAGGCTGAGGCACAAGAATCACTTGAACCCAGGAGGTGGAGTTTGCAGTGAACCAAGATCATACCACTGCACTCCAGCCTGGGAGACAGAGTGAGACTCCATCTCAAGAAAAAAAAAAAAAAAAAGAAAGAAGAAAGAAGAAGGAAGGAAGGGAAGGAAGGAAGAGAAGGAAGAGAAGTAAGAGAAGGAAGGGAAGGAAGGAAGGAGGTTACGGCCCAAGAATTTTTTATCTAACCCATTTGTTTATGTGTGTTAAGATATTCTCAGATCTGTATGAATATGTGTGAAAGATATTCTCAGATTTAATACTAAGAGGATTAATGCTTGAAGTAGACTTCCTGAAAAATAAAATGAAATTTGGGAAACTTTATGTCAGAACAAATATATATTAATTAAAAATAAGAAACAGAAAACGAGTTAAGTATAGCTGAGAGTAAGCACTAAAGACAGATATAGAGACAAGATAAGTGTTTCTAATATTATTATAAAACTGATATTTTTTAAATTGAAAATAATAAAAGTTGTAAAAAATGGGAGGAACATATTTATAACCACCTTACATTAAAATTAACAAAGAACAGAAAAGAGAAAGAGATAACATTTAATTTCTTATCTTCCATAAAAAAGGTATTAATCATTTGTAACTGATATTAGCTGTTAGAGATAATCTCACAAAAAATTTTACGGCCATCACTAAAGAGGGTAAAAGTAAGATATCTACCTTCCACACAGTTGGGTGGATAATATAAAAAAGAAAAACACAACCGTAGTCACAAAATAATAACTTCATACTAGGTACACAGGAGAACCCCCACAAAACAAAATGACGGAATTAAGACTCAGCCTTAATGTGAAATAAATATAAAAGGCTAAGTGTACCAATAAAAGGGCTCTCAGAATAATTAAAAATGACAACATAATCACACATATTGGGTAAAAGTTTCACCCCTAACAAAATCACAGAAAAAGGTAGGGCATCGTGTACCGTATTCCTGGAAGGAAAAGAAACTGAATAATTGTGAACGGTCCCAGTGACCACTGCGCATAAAGATAAATGTTATGCAAACACAAGCAAAAAGGTTATGTGGCAAAAATCAACAGGACTCAAAAGCATTTAAAGAACATTTGCACTGATAAAAGGTGAAATCCACTATGAGGACAGAGCATTGAAAATTAAAATACAAACTGTTGGAAGTAAATCCAGGAAGTAACATAACATCAATACATCACAATAATTTATCTTGGACAAAACAACCAAAAATAGGGCTACAAGGCACATGGGTAATGTGAAGATAACTTCTATGCACATACAAAAAGCCTTGTAGCATAGAGCCAGTACCTTCATGAAAGTTCATCTTATTCTTGGTTACAGAGAAAAATCTTAGCAAATATCAGGTTATACTTACTTTGCATAATGCAATGAAAATAGAAAATTGGCTCACGCCTGTAATCCCAGCACTTTGGGAGGCCAAGGTGGGCAGATCGCTGGAGGTCAGGAGTTCGAGACTAGCCCGGCCAACATGGTGAAACCCCATGTCTACTAAAAAAAAGTACAAAAATTAGCCAGACCTGGTGGCGCATGCCTGTAGTCCCAGCCACTTGGGAGGCTGAGGCAGGAGAATTGCTTGAACCTGGGAGGCAGAGATTGCAGTGAGCTGAGATCGCGCCACTGCACTCCAGCCTGGGTGACAGAGCTCCATCCGAAAAAGAAAGGAGAAAAGTAAAATGTAAACTAGAAACTTAAAAATCCCAGTGACTCGGAAATTAAATTGTAAGATGGTTTTCTATAAAATTTATGAAGTAGCAGAGGGAATTTTAAAAATACAATAAAATATTATAATGAAAACATCAAAACCGTCTATTAAAATTTGAGAGATATTACTGAGACTTTTCTCAGTGTCCAATTTCCCATCCTAGTTGCCTTAATTATTAAATAATAAAGAATTTAAATAAGTAATCTATTGAAGTAGCTAGAAATGGTAACAAATACACAACAAAAACCCACAAAAACATCAATTCCCTTATCTGCACTTTCGTGTTTACAACAGCATTATTCACAATAGCTAAGATATGAAATCTATCCAAGTGTCCATCAATGGATGAATGGATTTTTTAAAATGTGGCACATTTACACAGTGGAATATTAGCCATAAAAGGAAGGAAATCCTTTTACTTGCAACCACATGGGTTGAACTGGAAGACACTATGTTAAGTGAAACAAGCCAAGTGCAGAAAGACAAATATCTCATGTTCTCACTGATCTATGGTAGCTTAAAAAAAATATTGAACTCGTGGAGAAAGAGAGTAGAACGATGATTATAGGGGCAAGGATGGGTAGTGGGTGTGGGGTAAGAAGAGATGGCTAATGGGTATAAAAATACAGTTATTGAGAAGGAATGAGACCTAGTGTTCAGGAGCACAATAGGGTGATTATTATTAACAGTAATTTACTGGCAGGGCGCGGTGGCTCATGCCTGTAATCCCAGCATTTTGGGAGGCAGAGGGTGGGCGGATCACCTGAGGTTTGGAATTTGAGGCCAGACTGGCCAACATGGTGAGACTCCCTTTCTACTAAAAATACAAAAAAAATTAGCCAGGCCTGGTGGTGCACACCTGTAATCCTAGCTACTTGGGAGGCTGAGGCAGGAGAATCGCTGGAACTGGTAGGCAAAGGTAGCAGTGAGTCAAGATCTCACCATTGCACTCCAGTCTGGGTGACAGAGTGAGACTCCGTCTCAAACAGACAAACAAACAAACACCCCAGTAATTTATTGTATATTTCAAAATAACTAAAAGAGTGCAACTGCTATGTTCCTAACACAAAGAAATTGTGAGCACTTTAGGCGATGGATACCTCAATCACCCTGATTTGATCATCACACATCATATGCTTGTATCAAAATATCACATGTACCCCATAAATATGTATAACTTATATCCATAAAAAATAAAAATTAAAAACTAGAAAAATTAATTCCCTATAATTAAGGGAAATGAGGAATGAAAATAGAATGGTAAAATATTCCCTTATTGCTGGTCTGTATAGGTAGGGTTGCAAACTCTAAAGCCTATAGAGACCAAGCCAGTCCATCAGTAGGCAGGCATAGAACACTAATGAACAGTGGAGACTGTGGCAGATGCCGTACCCAGAGGGGATGGCCACTCAACTCCACCAAATTATTGCAATGAAGGAATGCAGGTCTAGTCTTGCCAAATTCTCCAATATTTTAACAGGAGAAATGTATATTTTTAATGTGAGATTTTCTGCTTTATAAAATGGTGTACGGCCAAATATAACATGGCTATGAGCTGTATTTGGCTGGTAGGCTGCAAGTATGCAACTTCTGATTTAGACTATTGACTTCAGCTTGAACCAATTTCAATAATTTACATTTTTCCAGAAAAATTTCCATTTCATGTAGATATTCAAGTGCATTAATATGAAACTGTATCAAGTATTCTTTTTAAAAATCTCCCATATTTACTTTTCATATCTAGTTTATTTTAGTGGTAATGCTTTCCTTCTTAATTAAATATGCTATCTTTGTGAATTTGTTGCTTTTCTTTTCCACAGAATCAGTGCTTGGATCTGTTCATGAGATTGAAAGGTTTTTGGTTTTTAATTTTTAAATTTCCAAGTGGGTGGGATTCTTATTCAAACTTTTGTTATTAATTTCTCGTTTATTGTATTGTAGTCAAAGAATGTGCCTATATTACTTGTTCTTTACGATTTAATTAGGTTGTCTTTGTAGCCTAATACATAGTCATGTTTTATTTAATGTTCCAGAATCACTTAAAAAGTAAGCTGTTCTCTTTTTAAGGGTACAAAATTTATAACACACACACACACCCACACACACATATATACACACATTCCGTGTCATTCAAATTCTGTTACTTTGCTTTATCCACTTGATCAAATGGAAAGGAATGTGTAGAGTCTCCCATAATAATTGTGTTTCGCCCTTCTTCATGGTACTTCTAAGAACTTGCCCTGCAATAAAACTTTTGCAATGAATATTGTATTCTAGTAAAAAAAAAAAAAAAAAAAAAAAAAGGAGAAGCCTAAAATTCTAAAGTTATCATTAGTGTTGTTCACCAAGTATTTCTACTTTGTTCCCTTCTGGGCATATAGTTGGGTTGTACTCCTCAACACCCTTTGATAATAATCATGGCCATGTGACTTGCTTTAGCCAGTGAAATGTGAATAGAAGTGACAAAACCCTTAAGAATCACTGTGTGATTCCCCGGGTCTCTTTCCCCTGCCTTAGCTAACATGGAAGGAGAGACGGGCTGGAGTCTCTTTCTGCCACAACTCTTGAGTGAGGATGTCACAGAGAAAAGACCCAACCAACTCGCGATGACACACAGTCTGAGTGACAGCTTTAATTTTGTGGTTTTAAGCCACTGCTATTTGGGGGTATATTTATTGCTGCAGCATAACTTAGCCTATCCTTACTGAAACAGCTCTGAAAACAAAGTACGCAGCCTGCAAAGGGGAAAAAAATGGGTAACCAATCAATATATTTAAAAAATTCTTCCTCTCACATACTAGTTAAAGCAAAATGAATTGCCACTTTTCACCATCATGTTACTTATGATTTTTAAAAATTATAATACTTAATATTGGTCAAAATGTTCTAAGACAGGCATTCTCATACATTCCTTTTGGTAAACCCTGCCTAAGAAAATGTTACTTAGCATGAAGAATTTTAGCAATTTCCTATATTTCACATAGAATCTCACTTCTAGGAATCCAGCACGGTTTCTGCATTGAAGATGGCACCGTACACTCGTACCAGGGAGAAAACAAACTTCCCAAGTGGGATTCTGAGATTGGTTTGCTTGCCTCTAACCTTAAATGAAGTGCTGACCTCCTTGCCCACTGAAAAGGGGATACTAGTATCTACTGCATGCATTAGCATTATGATTAATTAACTGTCATCTGTGGTTTCTTGGGATACAATAATTATTTAAAGTAAGGCTTTGGAAGACCTAAGTGGCTCCAAGGTTTGACCTTTATGGTAACGATGATGACTACCAGGACTGCCAGCTGGGATGGCTGCTTCTGAACACCCTTGTAAGAACAAACAAGCTCAGACCTTTAAACTCTCAGCTCAAGTCACAGAGAACTAGATTGCTTCTGCGGTGGTTCTAAAATAATCACTTATTTCTTATAACCCTGCAGGGAAGATGCCAAATTTAACTGTGTGCTCTGTAGAATTATCAGTTGAAATCACAGACTCATCAAATCTCTTATGTGAAATTTCAGGTCCTGATGGAAAAGGAGTGGGACCTGAGATTCAGAACAGGAATTTTTAGGTGGATTTAGAAAACTGATTCCCAAAGTCTCCCTTACGTCCTCTCTTACAGCTCAGACAAGATCAACTTGAAGACCATGAAGGCCTGTAATAAACACAACTAAGGCAGTTGCCTTGATAGGGGATGCCTATTTCTTCAAGGTCTACCCCTACCAGGTTTGTCTCTAAGCCCATGGCTAGAATCAGATTGGCATATCCCAAGAGGAAACATTCTAGGTCTGATGTGAATGAACAGAGAATTGCAATCAGCTTACATCTGGGGAATAGGTGTAACAATGGACTCTAGGTGTTAAATCAAAGAAGATACACTGTAATATTGGATGAGGCTGCTCTTATTGAAATAGGTGCACATACCAGAATTTTTTTTTTAACTCTTGTTGCCCAGGTGGGAGTGCAATGGCACAATCTCAGCTCACTGCAACCTCTGCCTCCTGGGTTCAAGTGATTCTCCTGCCGCCACCTCCCGAGTAGCTGGGAATACAGGCGCACACCACAACACCCAGCTAATTCTGTATTTTTAGTAGAGATGAGGTTTTTCCCTGTTGGTCAGGCTGGTCTCGAACTCCTGACCTCAGGTGATCTGCCTGCCTCAGCCTCCCAAAGTGCTGGGATTACAGGCGTGAGCCACCATGCCTGGCCCAGAATTTTTTTTTAATATATTGGCTTGAATAGCTAGAAGGGACTCAAATAGTCTAGTTAGTCATTGGCTGAAACTTGAATTCAACACGGTCAGTGTTAATAAGATGGAGATGGCATACCTTCCTGGGCATACTGTAGAAGACAGACTTGCTTAGGGAGATAGGAATGTTGGAGAGGAACTGCCATGATCATCCACTACCATTCCATGTCCCAAGCAAGTCTGAAGAATTCTCCCTTCACCAAAACAATGAGAAACCTAAAGACTGTCTTCAATTCACATCCTCTGCTCTCATACAAGGATATTTTGGGGAGTGGCTAGGGTCTTTCGCCCAACCAAAGGTAACCTCATGAGAACCCCATGTTTCTAGAGACTATTTTGGAAAGCAATTGGAAGCCAAAACATTCACATATAGGTTTGAAATACCAAGGTATTTATGACTCAGGGGCGTGTGTGTGTGTTTTTCAGAGTTTCAATGTCCTGTTGTCACCCTCAGTGACCTATATCCACTAAAATTGCAAAAAGAATACTATATCTAAAAGCTATCTGGTTAAGATCTTAGAGTCATATGGCTCTTACTAGTGGCATGACCTGTGCAAGTTTCTAGAAACCTCGGTACTTCATTTTTCTCATCCACAAAATGAGAATCATAATAGTTAGCACCTATGGCTTTTGTGAGGACTAAGTAAGTTAATAAATAAAGTGCTTAGAACAGTCTTTGGCCCATGATGAAAACTCTGCATGCATTAGCTAGTATTATTGTTATCCAGGGTTATTATTGGGGTCCTGGTGAGCATTACACAAGTGTTATTTATCATTAATTACCCAGTTAAAACTTGCCACAGTAAAGATCAAAAGCACACAAGCCATAATTCACTAACACAGAGTGAAATACAAAAGAGTTTAATGCTAATTATGCTTATTCACAAATGCAGGCATTTGCAGAGACATTTTTCTTTAGTTGTTCTTCACCAACACTAGTGGCTTTGTGAATTATATCGTTTGTAAACTTACAAATCTCCAGGCACTGAGCTCCCTGCAGGAGACTAGGGAGGGGCTTCACTCCCTAGAGAGACTCTCAAAGAAGGAAACATAATTGGGTTTGCTTTCCATTTGTCAAAGTGTGCCTCAGACTAGGGTATCTCCAACTTCAATGTGTATATGAAACATCTGGGAATCTTGGTAAAAGGAAAATTCTGGGCCAAGCCTGGTAGCTCACGCCAGTAACCCAAGCACTTTGGGAGGCCAAGGTGGGAGACTGCTTGAGGCCAGGAGTTCTACACCAGCCTGGGCAACATAGCAAAACTTCATTGCTACAAATAATAAAAAATAAAAATTAGCCAGGCATGGTGACGACGCATGCCTGTAGTCCCAGCAACTCGGGAAGCTGAGGCAGGCGGATGGCTTGAGCCCAGGGGGCAAGGCTGCAGTGAGCTATGATGACACCACTGCATTCCAGCCTGGGCAACAGAGCGAGACCTTGTCTCTAAAAGATAGATAGATAGATAGATAGATAGATAGATAGATAGATAGATAGATAAAGATAGATAGATAGATAGAAGGAAAATTCTGATTCAGCAAGTCAGGGGTAGGGCCTGAGTTGGAGCATCTTAAACATGCTTCCAAGTGATGCTGACTCTGCCTGTCCCTGGACCACACATGGAGGAGAGAGGACACCAGGTCTCTGCACATGCAAGCACTTTGAGGGCCACCTGCATTCAGACAGGGGTGACTGAACCCCTAAGGACAGACTTTACTTCCTTCATCAGGTTTTCAAGGGAAAAACTCCTCATCATCTCACATGTATCTTCCACTCAGACCTTCTTGCTCCTGCAAATATCCACAAGCTCAATGACTTCTCTGTAGCCAAAGAGTTTTCTTTTAACCAAGGGTCCCCCCGCCCCCACCCAATTGTGTCAATGGACAGATTGCTGCACAATAACCTGATGTGATTGTTAAAGGATCAGGCTCATGGCCGGGCATGATGGCTCACACCTGTAATCCCAGCCCTTTGGGAGACCGAGGAGGGCCCCTGAGCTGCCAAGAACGCTTCCTGGTTCGACTGTTTCAGGAAAGCATTTGCAAAGCTAGCTGGATTCACTCCAGATGACCTAGTAGTGTGGTTGTGGAGAAACAGGAAAAGTTTTACACTGATGGTGGGACTGTAAACTAGTTCAACCATTGTGGAAGACAGTGTGGCGATTCCTCAAGGATCTAGAACCAGAAATACCATTTGACCCAGCAATCCCATTACTGGGTATATACCCAAAGGATTATAAATCATGCTGCTATAAAGACACATGCACACATATGTTTATTGTGGCACTATTCACAATAGCAAAGACCTGGAACCAACCCAAATGTCCATCAATGATAGACTGGATTAAGAACATGTGGCACACATACACCACGGAATACTATGCAGCCATAAAAAAGGATGAGTTCATATCCTTCGTAGGGACATGGATGAAGCTGGAAACCATCATTCTCAGCAAACTATCACAACGACAGAAAATCAAACACCGTATGTTCTCACTCATAGGTGGGAATTGAACAATGAGAACACCTGGACACAGGAAGGGGAATATCACACACCGGGGCCTGTCGTGGGGTGGGGGGAGAGGGGAGGGATAGCATTAGGAGATATACCTAATGTAAATGACGAATTAATAGGTGCAGCACACCAACATGGCACGTGTACACATACATAACAAACCTGCACGTTGTGCACATGTACCCTAGAACTTAAAGTGTAAAAAAAAGAACACTGAAAATGCAGAAATCAGTCAAATACATCCCTTAGGTCTTGAGGATATCAAGCCTTTATTCCCCAGTGAATGATGCAGGAAGCTCTGAGATCACCCAAACAGCTGCTGTGGGGACCACAGAGCTAAGGGGAACACACAGGGTGTAGCACAGCCCACAGTGACTTCAAGAAGCCATTCTTCTCAACCTGCTTCTATAATTCAGCTGTGGCTGGGTGTGGTGGCTCAAGCCTGTAATCCCAGCACTTTGGGAAGCGGAGGTGGGAGAATCACTTGAAGCCAGAAGTTCAAGACAGCCTGAGCAACAAAGTGAGACCCCCTATGTCTACCCAAAAAAAAAAAAAAAAATTAAACAGAATACAGCTTTGGAGACAATTTTTTGACTATTTTTTTTTCTTTTATATATATATTTTTTGAGACAGAGTCTCACTAGGACACCCAGGCTGGAGTGCAATGGCACAATCTCGGCTCACCGCAACCTCTGACTCCCAGGTTCAAGCAATTCTCCTGCCTCAACCTGCTGAGCAGCTGGGATTACAGGTGCCTGCCACCATGCCCAGCTAATTTTTGTATTTTTATTAGAGATGGGGTTTCACCATATTGGCCAGGCCGGTCTCAAACTCCTGACCTCAAGTGATCCACCCGCCTCGGCCTCACAAAGTGCTGGGATTACAGGCGTGAGCCACCACGCCCGGCCTTTAAGTGACTATTTTGTCAACGAATCCAAGGATGATACAGAACTAATACGATGCAGGGGATGGAAGTCGATTCCTGACATGCAAAGGACACCTTGGGAATTGGGCTTAAAGGTCTCAAGGAGCCTGGTGGAAAAGAGCTGCAGGCTTCCAGAATCAGGGCTGATGGAGGGATCCTGGCCCCCAAAAAAGGCATCCAGGAAAGGTGAATCTTGGTCCCCAACTGGTGCTTGGTAAAAGTCACTTTAGCTGCAGAGGCTGATGAAAGAGAAATGGAAGAGTGACCACAAGAGAACAAAGAACTGAGTTAAAGTTCCAAGAAATAACTTTTGCAGTGATGAGCCAAGGAGGAGACCCCAGGCACTGGGCAGAAGTTTGGGCTTTTTGTTTATTTAACTCTGAATAGTTCAGGCTGTGCCCAGTGGCTCACATCTGTAATCCCACCACTTAGCGAGGCTAAGGCTGGAGAATCCCTTGAGGCCAGGAACTTGAGACCAACCTGGGTAATAGAGTGAGACTTCATCTCTGCAAAGAATAATAAAAAAACTTAGCTGGGTGGGGTTGCACACACCTGTAGTCCCAGCCATTTGGGAGGCTGAGGTGGGAGGATAGCTTGAAACCAGGATTTTGAGGCTGCACTGATCAATGATTGCATACTACTGCACTCCAGCTTGGGTAACACAGTAAGACCCTGCCTCTATAAAAAATAAAATAAAATAAAATAACTCTGAGCAGTTCAGCCCATTTGGCGCGCACACACACACACACACACACACACACACACACACACAGCCAGTCCCACCACTGAGGGCAAACTGGCTCCAGGCCAGGTGAGCAATCCCAGACCCTCCTGCCTGCCTTCCATTCTGTCCCCTGGGAATGTCTGGATGGATCCGTGTCCAGGAAATCCAGGCGAGATCCCTAATCCAGGGAGATGACTGTTCCATGTGTAGCCGGCAAGGCACCCCCGCTCCCAGTGAGCCACCTAATGAAAACCTCATGTGTCAACTTGAGTTGCACAGACAAACCCAGGCGAATTCCAGCCGGGCCTCGTGCCGAAGGTATGACCTCACTGTCGGGCAAAGCGGCAGGGACCCCAGAGAAAGAAGACTGGTGTGTGGGCCAGACCTGCTTCTAATCACAGCCAGATGGGACGGATGGAGGCACCACTGCCATCCTGCCTGCCCAGATACTGGGGTGTACGGACCAGGAGGCATGGTCATCCTACAGCGAAGAATCCTAAGCTTTGCCCCAAACACTCCTTTTTTTTTTTTTTTTTTTTGGCATCATCCACATACTAGTTTGGTGTGATTACTTTTGCATCAACCTAATAAACATCACTGCCATTCCACATGTTCCACACCAAAGAGAAACTTAATTAGGTAGGCTCGAATCTCTGGAGGATTCCCAGTTACAGAAGCGAGGAAGGAAGGATATAATTAGAATCTTTTTTTTTTTTTTCTTAACAGAACAGCTCAAAAGGCCCCACTAAGGACAATTAAATGCAGTCATTCCATCCATAACCAGAACCTGGTACCTGAGAAGTTTACTCATTGGCAACGTGAAATTTGCAAAATACCTTCAAGACACGCACTTCAACCTCAGACTGGGCATTTTTCATTTAGCTCTTTTCACACTTAGGGACTGTATAAATTTTTGTGGCAGCAATACCCGTAGCCTACACTGATGCGTTATTTTCATGGATTTTGTACTAAATCTTTTGTAGGCAACAAAACAAAACTTCAAGGAAGCTGAGCTTCAAAAATAAATAAATGTGCTTTTACGTGATGGGTCACCGTGAAATAGTTGATGACTTGGGTTTTTGTTAAAGGAACAAATAGAAATTCGCTGCAAGATTTGCTCAGAAGTTCTGCTTTCAGCATTGGTAGCTGAGTATGATGAGTTGCAAATAAACTGGTGAAACTTGTAGTCTCTTAAACCGCATACCAGATGCCTGAGCCCTGATGAGCTCTTTGAACAATATCATCACATAAAGCCCCAAGGGACTCCAAGCTCTCATGAAATCAGGGAGGATTTGCAATAATCTAAAAATTTCCCCACAAGCTGGGGTCCAATGAGAGAATATACAAACAAGCATGAACTTGGGGCCGAAGACGCTTAAATCTTTTTTTTAATTTTTTTGAGTTTTTTTGTTTTTTTTTTAGAGATAAGGGTCTAGCTCTGTTACCCGGGCTGGAGTGCAGTGGTACAATCATAGCTTACTGCAGTCTTGAACTCCTAAGCTCCAGCAATCCTCCTCCATCAGTGTCAACAATCCTCCTGCCTCAGCCTCCCAAGTAGCTGGGATTACAGACGTGTACCACTATGCCCAGCTAATTTTTTCTGTTTTTGCAGAGATGGGTTCTCACTGTGTTGCCCAGACCGGTCTTAAATTCCTGGCCTTAAGCAGTCATCCTACCTTGGCCTCCCGAAGTGCTGGGATTACAAAATGTGGGCCACGGTACCCAGCAAGATCCTTAAATCTTATAGGAATAACTCTCCCACAATTATAAGAATAACTTCTGAGCCGGGCGCAGTGGCTCATGCCTGTAATCCCAGAACTTTGGGAGGCCGAGACAGGCAGATCACGAGGTCAGGAGATCAAGACCATCCTGGCTAACACAGTGAAACCCCATCTCTACTGAAAATACAAAGAAAACTAGCCGGGCGTGGTGGCGGGTGCCTGTAGTCCCAGCTACTTGGGAAGCTGAGGCAGGAGAATGGCGTGAACCTGGGAGGCGGAGCTTGCAGTGAGCCAAGATCGCGCCACTGCACTCCAGCCTGGGCAACAGAGCGAGACTCCGTCTCACAAAAAAAAAAAAAAAAAAAAGAATAACTTCTGGACATAACTAGGAATAACACTCTACAAGAAAAATGAGTCCAACCTATGTGTAAAGAAGTTGCTAATTGCTAATTCCATTCACATTTAGTCCATTTGACTAGGATTTTTGTTTGTTTTGTTTGTTTTTTGAGACGGAGTCTTGCTTTGTCACCCAGGCTGGAGTGCAGTGGCGTGATCTCAGCTTACTGCAACCTCTGCCTCCTGGGTTCAAGTGATTCTCGTGCCTTAGCCTCCCGAGTAGCTGAGATTACAGGCACATGGTACCATGCCTGGCTAATTGTTTTGTATTTTTAGTAGAGACAGGATTTCACTATGTTGGTGAGGCTGGTCTCAAACTCCTGACCTCAGATGATCCGCCTGCCTCGGCCTCCGATAACAGGTGCGATTGACTAGGTTTTATTACAAGAGTTGTGTGAGCAGAATCAAAGACCCAAAGCCTTCTTAGTTCCAGAAACAGACGTATAGATTAAGACTTTTCTTATTTCAAGGAGGAAACTTTTTTCCCTGCAAATGTATCTCTGAAATAATGATGGAAGTCACTGGAAGTGAGATCTTGCTGTAAAAGGTGTGCTTTGCTCCAGCTTTTCAGAAATATCTCTAAAATATAAAGCAACGTCAAATCAGGCCTACAAAGACATGGTGAGTCACCATCAATCAGAATTGGGAGAACAAGCTGAGAACCGCTCACACAACTGAATACCCTGGATAAAACATCTCTATCCTGAACCAGAAAATAAATGTCTACAGCTGCACTTGGCGGTTGGCCCTAGGGTCCATTCACCATATGGTCACCCTTATTATCATCCTCCCAACAAGTCCGGCAAGATAACAGGCTAAAACCACGCTCTTGCAACTGGCCTGCAGGCCAAGCAAACATCTCCTTATCATAACCTTGGTCTGTTCTTCCAAAGAGACTTCCTGCCCATCTCCTCTGTCCTTGCTTCTTGGTGTATATCTAATGCTCAACCTGGGCACGCCAAAAGCCCAGTCCTCTCGTGCCCGATGCCTAGAATTAAGCTGCTTTTCAGAGGGAAAGGGTATGTGTTAACAAAACAAAACAAAGAGGCCTCCTTCCTGGACCTTTATCTAAGGCAGGATCTAGCTGGTTTGGGATAAAACCTAGGGTTTTAGACTAGGGAAGAAACTTAAAGATTATCAAATGCAGTCATTTTTCAAAGCTTATTTTATTTTTAAGATGGAGTTTCACTCTTTGTCACCCAGGCTGGAGTACAATGGCACGATCTTGGCTCACCGCAACCTCCGCCTCCTGTGCCCAGTCCATTTTTCAAAGCTTTTTAAACATTACGAGGGCTGGGTGCAGTAGCTCATGCCTGTAATCCCAGCACTTTGGGAGGCTGAGGCAGGCGGATCACTTGAGCTCAGGAGTTCGAGACCAGCCTGGCCAACATGGTGAAACCCCATCTCTACTAAAAATACAAAAATTAGCCGGGCGTGGTGGCGCACGTCTGTAACCCCAGCTACTCAGGAGGCTGAGGCAGGAGAATAGCTTCAATCTGGGAGATGGAGGTTGCAGTGAGCCAAGATCATGCCACTGCACTGCAGCCTGGGCGTAAGACAGAGTGAGACTCTGTCGCAAATTTTAAAAACACTACAAAGTTGTATTTTTTCCAGTGAGGTTGTATGCAGAAACTCAGTAAATAGAAAATAGACATAAAACAAGCTGTTATGTCCATACAGTGGAATAGGAATATGGCCATCAAAAGAAATGAAGTCATGATAAATGCTACAACACAGGTGAACCTTGGAAACACTATAGTAAGTGCAAGAAGCTACTCACAAAGGAAGGCAAATTATATGATTCCATTAGTAGAAAATGTCCAGCAGAAGCAACTATAGAGACAGAAAATAGAGAAGTGCTTGTGTAGGGCTTGGGGAAATATGGGGATTGAGAGGTGATGGCTAAGAGGTACAAGGTTTTGTCTGGGTGTGGTGGCTCACATCTGTAATTCCAGCACTTTGGGAGGCCAAGGCAGGCGGATCACAAGGTCAAGAGATCGAGACCATCCTGCCCACCATGGTGAAACCCTGTCTGTACTAAAAATATGAAAATTAGCTGGGCATGGTGGTGGGCACCTGTAGGCCCAGCTACTTGGGAGGCTGAGGCAGGAGAATTGCTTAAACCCGGGAAGCGGAGGTTGCAGTGAGCAGAGATTGTGCCACTGCACTCCAGCCTGGTGACAGAGCGAGACTCCGTCAAAAAAAAAAAAAAAAAAAAAAAAAAAAGGAAGTGCAAGGTTTCTTTTTGGAGCAATGAAAATGTTCTAAAATCGACTGTGGTATGCGTTGCACAAATCTCTGAATCTAGCCTGGCCTGGCTGACCTGGCAGAACCCCTACATACTCCTCTCCTGGATATGCCCACCAATCACCTGGATATTGAGACCATCGATATCCTGGAAGACACCATCAATGAGTTTGAGGGTGGTATGAAGCTAGTCAGCTATGACTCTGGACTCATTCAGCAAGTGAGGTCCTGGCCAGGTGTGAGGTACAGCAGAGAGTGTCTAGGTGGTTGGGTGGAGCAGTCATGGCATATGAAGGGGCGTAGTACTTGCTTACTGAATTAAGAAAAGAGGCTCAGAGTGTAGACACAGGTGGCAAGGACCAGATCTTACGGCTCTACTTATGGGGCTACTTTGAAAGTGTTAAATGAAACACTTCATTTCTTCAGTAGCTACTTGGAGATGTTAACCAACTTGGGATTGTTGAGCCAAATGGGGCAGAGAGTTGGGTAGAAAACAGGGTGCTTTTGCTACTGGTCCCAGGATTCTTCAATCCAAAAACAGGATTCTACTAAGAAGGGCGTGGACTAGACAGGGGACTGCCACTGTCACTGGAGAATAAGCTGCAGGTCATTTCTCTGAAGCTTTGGAGAAGATGGAAATGGAGGGGGGGGGAAGGAGGCTGAGAGTGAAGCCTCTGAACAGATCTGGACAATGGGAACGTCCAGACAGAAGGAAGTGACAATGGGAATGACACAGTAGCTCCAGCTTAGAAGGCTCCAAAGCTTGCGGGTTATCGTGTCCTTGGGATAGACCATCCCAAAAAACTTAGAGGTAGTGAGGCAGTGTGCAGGATATGGGCTTGTGGGGTAGGGCAGGAAGATAATGCCATTTTCTTCCTTAGAATCCCCTTCCATCAGTCTGCTGGGCAAGAATGGGGACAGTGACTGGGCCAGGATTAAGTCTAGGATTTGTTTTCCAGGTTGCCTAGGAAATGTGTGTCTGTGGGAAGCAGAGAATCAATGAATGGCCTGGAGACACCCTGGCCCACAGGGAACACCTCAAGTCCAAGCTGGTAGATGAGAATCCCCAGCTCACCAGAAGAACATACAACACATGAGCCCTCTGGTCTTGGGTTAGGACCTCCGTCTGGAGACCAACAACTGCTACCCATTGACCAGTCTCTCAGACAACGTAGAAAAGTGGTTGCCTAGGGCTTGCAGGGACAGGGGGATTGGGAGGTGATGGCTAAGAGATGTGGAATTCCTTTTTGGAGTGATGAAGGTGTTCTTTTATTTTCCTTCAACTTTTATTTTAAGTTCTGGGGTCCATGTGCAGGATGTGCAGGTTTGTTAGATAGGTAAACATGTGCCATGGTGGTTTGCTGCACAGATCAACCCATCACCTTGGTATTAAGCCCAGCACCCATTAGCTATTCTTCCCAATGCTCTCCCTCCCCACCCCCAACAGGCCCCAGTGTGTTGTTCCCCACTATGTGTTTATGTGTTCTCATCATTTAACTCCCACTTATAAGTGAGAAAAAGCACAGGTATCTTGGAACCCAAAATAATACACAATTTAGGCCGGGCGCGCTGGCTCACACCCGTAATCCCAGCACTTTGGGAGGCCGAGGTGGGCAGATCACGAGATCAGGAGATTGAGACCATCCTGGCCAACATGGCGAAACTCCGTCTCTACTAAAAACACAAAAATTAGTCAGTTGTGGTGGTGCATGCCTCTAGTCCCAGCTACTCTGAAAGGCTAAGGCAAGAGAATCACTTGAACCGGGAGGCGGAGGCTGCAGTGAGTTGAGATCGCATCACTGTACTCCAGCCTGGGCGACAGAGAGAGACTCCGTCTCTAAAATAAATAATAAATAAAATACAATTAAAAAAATTAAATGAAAATAAGATAAAAATGTTAAAATAGACCTGTCATGAAAAAAAAAAAAGGTGAGAACATGTGGTGCTTGGCGTTCTGCTCCTGTGTTAGTTTGCCGAGGATAGTGGCTTCCAACTAAAATCCATTGTGGCGCTGGTTTTACAAATCTGTGACTCTCGTCTGGCTACACTGGGGCTACACCCCGGCACTGCTGCAGCACTGCTCCCCTGGCTCCTCCCCTGCCCCCGCACCTGCCTTAGCTGCACTCTTAACTACAGCGGGACAGTTACCTGTTTCATGTCCTCCTTCCACTTATATTTGTCCATGTCTGGACTTGACTGGCTGTTCCCTGCAGCCTCTTGCTGGTGAACTTTTCCTGAGTGTGATGTAGCCAGAGACACTGAGGGTTAGCCCAGGAGCCCAAGGCCAGGCTCTAGCCCATGGAGGAGCTTAGGATTCTTGTTTGAGGGGTTTTGGTGATGTTGGAGGAACATTCCCCAACTCACTGCCCCCATTCCTTTTTGCTTCTAGTCTGGAGCTCTGGACCAAGACCCTGGTCTTGGTCAATTTTTAAATAATTTCTCAACAATGTAACTTGTAGATCTGTGTGACATCTACAAAGCATCCAATAAAGAAAGAGGAAACAAACAAACAAAACCCTGCACATCCACTAAGCACCACTGAATTGTGCACTTTAAATGTGTGAATTTTAGAGTATGTGAATTCTATCTCAACAAAGCTGTTATTTAGAAGAGGAGGAGGAGGAAGAGGGGCAGGGAGAAGAGGAAGAAGAAGGAGGAGGAGGAGGAGGGGGGAGGGAGGGAGGGAGGAGGAGGAGGGGGAGGGAGAGGGGGATAGGGATGGGGATGAGGGAGGGGGAAGAGGGGGATGGGGAGGTGGGAGGGGACAAGAAGGGAAAAAACAAGATGCTGTAACTGTTCCACCAGCCAGGCCTCTTTCCTCACCCCATCCTATAGTGGCCCTGAAACCATCTCTACAGGCCCCTAGAACTCTATGGAAAGTTACTGAAAAAGCCTGTTCTAGTCCAAGTTTCTGCTTCTCAAATGTAAACCAAGTCTCTGGATTTAAAAGTGCAAGGCCCTGCATAAACCGAAGGTCTCACTGATGAGACCGGGGCATGTCTCAGGGGAGAAGCTGCTTGTCCGGGTCTTACCGTCCATGTCCAAGCGCTGCATGATGATGGCCAGCTCCACCTCGCTTGGCATGTACCCCAAAGAGCGCATGGCCATGCCCAGCTCCTGCTTGGAGATGAAGCCGTTCCCATCCCGGTCCAGAACCCGAAAGGCCTCTCGGATTTCTACAATGGAAAAGCAAAGAAAGTCCAGTGGTCACATGGCTGGCTTTATTGCACTGCAGTTATTGGTGATTGCCTACTGAGAACTCCTAACTGCTTTAAAAACAGTGATTTGTTAAAACTCTTTAATCAGATAAAAGGGAGGACAGAAGAAGAACAGAAGAAAAGAAACGAAGAAAAGAAAAAGGAAAGAGAAAAAAGGAAATGGAAGGGAGAGGAGGAGAAGGGAAAATGAGAGAGGAAGAAAAAGAAAAGGAAAGGGAGAAAGGGAGAGAGAAAAAGAGGAAGGTGGAAGGGAGAGTGGAAGAGAGGAATGAAGGGAGGAAAAAAGAGAAAGAAGAAAGGAAGGGAGGGAGGGGGAAAAGGGAAGGAGGGAGGGAGAAAGGAAGGAAGAAAGCAAGGGAGGGAGGAAGGGAGGGAGGGAGGAAGGGAGGGAGGGAGGAAGGGAGGGAGGAAGGAAGGGAGGGAGGAAGGAAGGGAGGGAGGAAGGAAGGGAGGGAGGAAGGAAGGGAGGGAGGAAGGAAGGGAGGGAGGAAGGAAGGGAGGGAGGGGAGGAGGAGGGAAGGAAGGAGGAAGGAAGGAAGGAAAAAAGGAAAGAAGAAAGAAAAAGGAAGGAAGGAGGGAAGAAAGGAACGCAGGCAGACAAGGAAAAAAAGAAAAAGAAATGAAGAAAGGGAGAAAGAGAGAAAGAAAGAAAGGAAAGAAAGAAAAATAGAAAGAAAGAAAGAGAAAAAAAGAAAAAGAAAGAAAGAAGGAGGAAGGGAGGGAGGAGGCAGCTCGACCTGAGCATCCTCCAACTCTGGAGGAGGCACACAATTAGATGGTGGTCCCAGCAGAGAATCATGTTAACCAAGGACACTTTCTGAGCAAAGATGAGGATTTGGTTTCAGCTGTGAGGAGAAAGCTGCCTCTTAACTGCAGTCCTCAGGAGGAAAGGAGAATGCAGCTCCCCTCTGCAGGCATATTTCAGATCCCTGCTGCTGTAGGAGCTGTGCAGAAAGCTCTTCCAGCCTCATAGGAGGAGAAGAGTTAAGTATCCGGCTGTTTTTGACTCATTCTCCTAATTTACAGGTGTTTTGTAGATATAAACAACCTCAGATCAATAAGAGCATCGTGAAAACTCAAAAGATGCCTTTAATCACTTTGCCCCTGGGCTAGCAGAGAACTTGACTCTGCGGTCAGCAAGGGCTGTTTCACTTGGCAGGCAATCTCTCCTCTTCCCCTAAACCAGAGTTGCTCTAAATTCCACCCAGAGTCCCCTTCTCCAGAGCCACTGCAGCTGTCAGTCCTGGATTGGATGTATAACACAAGGAATTGGAGGTCACAGTGTGAAGATGAAAGGTTCGTTAATTGTTTCTGAGCACACCAGACCTAGAGCAGCTTTGACTTTTCATCAATAAACCCAGTGCAAGCCCAGATATGTCAGCTGCCATTATTCACCATGCCACGCTAGTTGATAGAAAGTCAACTAGTATTGACTTTCTATTCCGTGAGAAGCACAGTATTAATAAATACGGAAAAATAAAAATGATCCACCAGGCATTGGGGTTCTCCCACTCAGCTCGACTCCACTCAGGATGGTAAGATGCATGCAGAAACCTTCTATCACTCTTCAAACGCATACAAGCCCCTCGGTTCTGACTCATTTACTTACTACCGCACTGAATATCTGACCATGCCCTGGCATGATCATTACCACAAACTTGGTGATTTAAGACAATAGAAATCTATTCTCTCACAGTCTGGAGGCCAAAATTCCAAAATCAGCATCATTAGATCACAATCATGATGTCAGCAGAGCTGTGCTCCCCGTGAAGGCTCTAAGGGAAAATCCATTTGTCTCTTCCAGCTGCCAGAGGCTGCCAGCATTCCTTGGCTTGCAGCCCCATCACTCCAATCTCCATCTTCTCCTCTTCTGTCTGTAATTCTCCCTCTGTCCTGCTCTTAAAGGACACTTCTGTTTGCATTAGGGACCACTCAGATAATCCAAGATAATCTCCCCATCTCAAGATTCTTAACTTCATCACATCTTCAAAGACTTTTCTGTAAGATAGCATTTATAAATCTCAGAGATTAGGATTTGATATCTTTGGGGGCTGGTTTTGAGATTGCTACACTATTGCATCCAGTGCTTCTGCCTAAAATATCTTCCCTTCTTCTTTTCCCTGCCCAAAATTATATCCATCCTTCAAGGTCAAGTGTGGATGCTAAAGTGACTCCATCTTGGATGCTAATCTGCCATGTTGACTTCTGACAAACTCTAATTCTGGGAATGCCTCCCAAATTTCTATGTTATCTACTGTTCCTTGTGTAAGACCTTGTTCTTACCATACACCCTGCCCTTAGGCAGACTCCTGCCTTTCCCTACAATCGTCTATACATTCCTTCCCTATGATATATAAGTCCTGGGTCTGGTAGGTGATGGCTGGGGGCATCCACCATCTTGTCTCACCATGCCGCAAGACACAGACATAGCCCAAGTCCCTATTAAATGTTTCTTTCTGACAAGCTAGATATATCAGCCTCTTTTTTCAGCCTCTCAGCTTCCTTGGACTTTGGGAGTAAGTTTGCATGGACTTGCCCATTGCAAAACACCAAACCAGGGGTCATGGATTCCGCAAAACTGTCTTTGCTCACCATAGCCAAGTTATCTCCCTTTCTGCTGACTGTTCACAGCAGGTCATTCATTCCTTTCTTGTGACATCCAGCATACTCCATCTAGAAATACTACCATTGGCTTCTTTTCTGAGCGGTAAGCACCTCCTACCCTTCTTTCATCTTAGTGTGTTCCCCGCCCACATTGTAGGAGGCGCTAGACAGATAGCTGTTCAAGGGATGATGAGTCTGAATGGGTAAGGATCATATATTAGTAGTAAATTCATTATCAATACTAATCCAGCATGCTGAATTCTTTCTGGGAAGAATTGTGGGCCCCAGCAGAGAGAAGACCACCCTGTGCACCAGGACCCTAGGCTCCCAGCCAGGCGTATTAGCTAATTAGGTCCACGGCCAAACCCTGGAGGCCTCAGTTTGTTCATGCGTAAAATGAGCTGTGCTGGCTGCATGGATCCCTCAGGTCCTCCAGCCCTTCTTTCTGTGCATCCGTGGACATCGTTGAAGTGTTTAAGTGAAGAACAGGAAGCCTGTGTTCTCTTACACACCCTATTAATCTGCTGTTCAACACCTCCTCCCCTTTCTTTCCATCAATGGTATAGAAACAAATTTTAGTCCAACCCAAATTCTGAATCAAGGCGTTTGTCTGCATTTTGAGCTTTTCCCATCAATGAAATATGCCCAAGGTTACCTAAAACAGCCATATGTTTTCCTACCAAGTCCCGACTGGCCTGGAAGGAGCGTGGAGCCACTACTCAGCTTGAGGTCATGGCACACTGTGCTCAAGGACACTGTGGTGGAGGACATGGCCTCATGTGGCCTGAGCTCAGATCCCCAATTGCCAAGGATGGGAGGACGCAGAGGCCAGGCCTCCCGACGTGAGAGTCAGCCCATGAGGCAGCCAGCGCCAAGCGCCAGCTCTGCTCTGCAAGCTGGTGCAGCCTTCCCCCTCAGCCTCAATTTCCCCATCTGAAAAAATGGGTTAGGTGTGATGTCCTTCCAGCCTCTATAGCAGGGTTTTACACTGGGGCCAGGACATACGATGCAACAGTAGGAAGTGTCAGAGGATGACAAGGTCTGCGGCTGCAGTTACTGGATAGCCAGTTGTAAGCTAAGTCTTGCTCTTAGTTCTCCGGAAGGCTCCTTCCCAAGGCATCATCTCCACTTCCCATTCCTTCTGACTCAATCCTGAACTCTCTGGGTTACTGATATGGCTGGACAGGGTGGGTCCCTTCCATTGACAGACCTTTGTTCCTGTGGTCTTCCTGTATGCCCTAGACCTTACAGGTAAGCATCAACCTACATCCTTACATTGGGCGACACCCCAGCGGGCCCTAGCTGGGGGTGTTTGAGAACATGGCCTGGAAATGAGGACCCGGACAGCTGAGCCTTTGGACCTCCGAGTTGCCCCACCTTTGGGGCTACTGGATTTAGCAAGTCAGACCATAGATGGAGGTCACTCCAGAACTTCCCTCCTCTAAAGGGACCTGCTCCTTCGAAGCCTTGAATGCCTGTGGCTTACTCTGTAGTCTGTAGCAAGGCTGGCCTCCTCCAACCAAGCCCAGGACAGCGCAGGCCACACATCAGCTCAGGGTTCTATTTTCTGTGGCATGCAGGTAAGTAGGACAAAGCTGTCCTTCTTTATTCTCTATTTGCATAGGGAGCTCCTGGCTCCCACGTAGAGAATTCGTGTGTGTGTCTATGTGAGTGTGTGTGTCTGTCTGTCTGCAGAAGCAGACAAACCTCACTAACTTTTTTTTTTTTTTTCAAAATAGCAGAAACAGGAAAAAAAATACAAAACTAGAAATCCATAATAGGCACCTCGGGAGAGTTAATGTTTCTAGGGTAAGGAAAGCCCAGGCAAACCGAGGCTTATTAGAAGGAAATGGGTCTTGCAGTCTGGGAAAGACATGTGATGTGTGCCTCATTTTATTTTTAATAGCAAAACAGGGTGTGAAAAATATGCCCGTAAAACCCACGGAGACATTGGAACAGGCAGGATCCCTCTGGCTCTAGGAGGACGGCTCCCAGCATTGAGTGGGCTTTGGCCACTTTCCCATCCTTGGGAACTAGGGACCACAGATCAAGTTTTCAAGAACAGGCAGTAATGTTGTGTGCTTTTCACCGAAACGTACTCCTTCTTTGGCCTAAAGTCTCTGGTGCGCCAGGGCTACGTGAGCACGCTGTATCTTTGGTCTTTAATTAAACTTTACTCCTCCATCTCATGCAACACGTGCACGTTAGACACTAGTATGCCAATTTTAACCACCTCCAAGATGTCTTTGTGGGCCACAGAAATGCTCTCTGCAATGGTGATAGGAACCTGTCCAACTGTCATTGTGTGGAGTATGAAAAGACACGTGGCAACACGCATCGTCTGAAAGGACTCCAGTCTCTGCAAGCATATGGAGTCGCCCAGAATCAAAGTTGGCGTTCCCACAGGGATCTGAGCCCCTCCTCCCTAAAGGGAAGCAGAGAGTCTTGAGCCAAGCAAGGACTTGGAAAGAAATAATCCTGTTATTCAGCCCAAGAGATTTACTTCTCATTATGCTGGTAACTTATTTTTTTTTTCTGAGATAGTCTTGCTCTGTTGCCCAGGCTGAAGTGCAGTGGCACCATGATAGCTCACTGCAGCCTTGAGCTCCTGGGCTCAAGAGATCCTCCTGCCTTGGCCTCTTGAGTACACACCACCATGCTCGACTAATTTTTTATTTTTCATTTTTTGTAGAAACAGGGTCTCGCCATGTTGCCCAGGCTGGTCTCAAACACCCAGCCTCAAGCAGTCCTTCTGCCTCAGCCTCCCAAAGTGCTGGGATTACAGGCATGAGCTGGTAACTCTTTTTTCTTTCTTTTTTTTTTTGTTGGAGATGGCGTCTCGCTCTGTCACCCAGGCTGGAGTGCAGTGGCATGAGCTCAGCTCACTGCAACCTCCGCCTCCCTGGTTCAAGCAATTTTCCTGCCTCAGCCTCATGAATAGCTGGGATTACAGGCGCCCACCATCACGACGGCTAATTTTTTGTATTTTTAGTAGAGACGGTGTTTCACTATGTCAGCCAGGCTGGTCTTGAACTCCTAACCTCAGGTGATCCACCCCCCTCTGCTTCCCAAAGTGCTAGGATAACAGGCATGAGCCACCGTGCCAGGCTCTCTTTTTTCTTAAAAAAAAGTCTGCATTGGGACCTAGTGCCCTCTGAGAATCAGGCCTCAGCTCCATGATGCTTCCTAATGACACAGCCAATTCCAGGCAGGAACAACAGCAAAAGCACAGCTATCGCAGGGAGGAGACTCATTTCTCAGGCATCAGATAAAGTCCAGACACCAGCCAGCATCGATATTAGTTGGCTGATGTTCTAGCTTTGAAGAATCAGGTGAAATTTACAGTACTAATTTGCCACCTCAAATTGGTAATGAAGAACAACAATTTCTCCTATCTCAGTATGTGTACGATGCAAAATCTGCTTATTCTTCACAGAAATATATCTTCAGGAAGAATGTGGGTCTTCATTGCATAAAGTGATGGCTTTATTAACAAAGAAGATGCGTTGTGAGGCTAGATGGCATTGAGACACTGCAAAACTGGAGAAAGATGCAGTTCAGCGAGGCTAGGCAAGGCAGTTATTTAAAAGCTATGGAAATGCACCGGAAAATGTAAGATACAAACCTAGAGTTATTTATGCAAAGGAAGAAATTGGGCAGGGACTGAGCCTATGACAAAGAGATTTAGAAAGGTTTTCACCTTCTCTAAGAAAGGCAAAAAATGAATATTTACAGATGATTAATAAGCCATTCATTCTGCAAAGAGTTGCTGTTTACTTATATGTCAGGGGCTGTGCCAGGATAGATAAGTAGCAAAAGAAACTTTCCAGGCTGCAATAAATCTGTATTACAGTTGAAGAGACAGAGAGGTGACCAGATGTTCATAAGCAAGAATGACAAGTGCTATAATACAAGTATACACAAAATCCCACGGAGGTCGAGATGTTGAAGGGACAACTCTGAGGAAGGGCTGTTGGGGTTACGCTTGAATCTTTTAAATCTCAAGTCTATCAAGAGAAGGGTAAACAGGCAGGGGTGGGAAAATGTGGCAAGACACGGGCATGTCTACAATTCTGGCTGCCCGGTGGGTGGAGAAACGAGAAACACTGAGAGATGAGAGTGGAGAATTGCACTAGGGCGATGCTATAGTTTGGATGTTTTTTCCCCAAAATCTCATGTTGAAATTTGATCTCCAGTGTTGGAGGTGGAGCCTAATGGGAGGCCTATGAGCCATGGGGCCAGATCCTGCATGAACAGATCAATACTCTCTCTGGGAGGAGGAGGAGGGGTTGCATGAGTCCTCAATTAGTTCCTGCAAGAGTTGGTTAAAAGAAAAGAACCTGGCACCTCCCTCTCTCTCTCTTGCTTCCTCTCTTACCATGGGATCTTTGCACACACTGGCTCCCCTTTGCCTTTCTCCACGGGTAGAAGCATCCTGAGGTCCTCACCAGCAGCCAAGCAATTGCTGGTGCCATGCTTCTTATACAGTCCGCAAACCATGAGCCAAATATATATTTTCTATATAAATTATCTAGCTTCAGGTTTTCCTTTATAGCAACACAAAACAGACTATGACAGGCAATATTGCAATGGGCCTTCACAGCCATCTGGGCTCTACCCCGCAGGCCAGGGGTTGGCAAAGGATGGCCTGTAGCCAAGCCTAGCTCACCACCTTCTTTCACAAATAAAGTTTTATTGGAACACAACCATGCACATTTGTTTCTATATGTCTCCACTGGTTGTCTATTTTCTCCTGTTTTTGTGCTATACCAGCAGAATGGAATAATTGTGACAGGAACTGTGGGGCCCACAAAGACTAAAATATTTATACTCCGGACTTTTCTTTTTAAAGTGTGTGACCCTTTCATGTAGGCCACAGGGAGCTCCCAGTGGTTTTAAAATATATATTTTTTAAGGGTGAGATTTTTAGACCAAGAGCTCAGGCATCAGGGTGGCTACAGCTGGAATGACAAGAGATAAGAGGCTGTCACAGAGTCTAAGGGGAAGATGAGGAACTCAGAGCTAAGCCAGCATGGTGGCAGAGGACACTGTGGAAAGAAGAGTTTGAGAGACTTTTCAGAGATAGAGTGGATGGTGCTCAAGGAGAGCTCAGATGTCAGAGTCTGGGAGAGGGATGATTTGAAAGACAATGCTGGAGGGCTGGGCACAGTGGCTCACACCTGTAATCCCAGCATTTTGGGAGGCTGAGGTGGGTGGAACACTTGAGGTCAGGAGTTTGAGTCCAGCTTGGTCAACATGGTAAAACCCAAGAAAGAAGTAAAGTAAAAGTAAAAATAAAAGTTGAAGGGAAGGGAAGGGAAGGGAAGGGAAGGGAAGGGAAGGGAAGGGAAGGGAAGGGAAGGGAAGGGAAGGCAACACTGTAGTTTACGTGATGGCATTAACAACAAACAATTCAGGAGGGACTGCAGGCTGTCTTGGAGGGAAGTGAGGTTTGGCCACACTGAGGATAGGTGTCTGAGTGATACCCTGGTGATTGCTTCTAGCGAGCAGCTGCAAATACTTGGCAAGAGTTTGGAGACAGGTGATGCTGAAAATATGACAAGAATGGAAAATGGGGATAAAATGATGATCGCTGCATAGAAAATGCTGGTTTAATCCCAGGGAGGGCTTTAGTGTGAATGAGTTCTGATTTAATTACAACCTATCAGTCTGCAAATAATGATCAACTGACTTCAGAAATTAGGAAACATAGAGGTGAAAGGGACAGAGCTACGAAGGCAGAGGGAAGTGTGCTAGAAAAAGGAGGCTGGGGCTAGGCATGGCGGCTCATGCCTGTAATCCCCACACTTTGGGAAGCCGAGGTGGGCAGATCACCTGAGGTCAGGAGTTCAAGACCAGCCTAGCCAACATGGCGAAACCCCGTCTCTACTAAAAATACAAAAATGTGCTGGGCGTAGTGGCACATGCCTGTAATCCCAGCTACTTGGGAGGCTGAGACAGGAGAA
The DNA here is from genome assembly GCF_000001405.40 of Homo sapiens. Lineage (NCBI taxonomy): Eukaryota > Metazoa > Chordata > Mammalia > Primates > Hominidae > Homo > Homo sapiens. The sequence continues at coordinate 72,114,907 of NC_000007.14, forward strand.
TCACTTGAACCTGGGAGGCAGGGGTTGCAGTGAGCCAAGATCATATCATTGCACTCCAGCCTGGGCAACAAGAGAAAAAGGAGGCTGGGCATGCAACAGGAGCTCAGAAGTGTTCCCATTTTTAGTAATGTGGGACATTATGGACATTACATTATATATGGACATTACATTATATATGGACATTATACTATATATATAGTATAATATATATAGTATAATATAAATATATAGTATAATGTCCATGTCCCACATTATTATATACTGTATAGTATATATTATACAATTATATATATTAATGTATAATATATAATATATACTATATATAATATACAGTGTATAATAATAACATGGGCCACAGGAACAAGCCACTTAGATGGAGGGGTGGATACACTGCTGCTTTGTATAACTCACTTTTTAGCACCATCATCTCCACCTGGATTTTTTTTTTTTTACTTTTTCATGGAAAGATCTATTTTATTTTTTAATATTTTTAATTAAGGTCAAAAATATAATTTACCATCTTTGCCACTGTTAAGTGTTCAGTTCAGTAATGATAAATACATTACACATATACATTCTTTTTTTTTTTTTTTTTTTTTTTTTGGAGACACAGTGACTGTCACCCAGGCTGGAGCACAGTGGTGCGATCTCGACTCACTGCAACCTCCATCTCCTGGGTCCAAGCAATTCTCATGCCTCAGTCTCCTAAGTAGCTGGGATCACAGGTATGTGCCACCAGACCTGGCTAATTTTTGTATTTTTAGTAGAGCCGGGTTTCGCCACGTTGGCCAGGCTGGTCTCAAACTCCTGGCCTTGTGATCTGCCCGCCTCAGCCTCCCAAAGTGCTAGGATTACAGGCGTGAGTCACCGTGCCCGGCCATATACATTCTTTTTTATTTCCATCCCCCACCTTCTCTCCCCTCCTTCCTTACCTCTGGTAACCAGCAACCTACTCTCTATTTTCATGAGATCCTCTTTTTTTAGCTCCCATATATGAATGATAACATGCAATATTTTTCTTTCTGTGCTTTACTTATTTCACTTAACATAATGACCTCCAGTTCCATCCATGGTCCTGCAAATGACAGGATCTCATTCATTTTTATGGCTGAATAACAGTCCATTGTGTATATGGACTACATCCTAGTTTTTATTTTTTCTGGGCACACTTTTAAAAAGGGATTGTGACTCCTTAGGTGATTTGCTATTTGAGGTGTGACTGCATCTATTTCAATAAATACTCATTGAACGTGCCTCTACTCCAGGCTCAGACTTGAAAAGAAGGCTCAAGTGAGACATGGCAGAGGCACGCCTGAGCCGAGCCCAGTCCTGAAGGCACTTCCTGCTTTTGTTTGTTGAAATGGAATCTTATTTCACAAAGCATTTTAGGCAGTTTCAAGGACTTAAATGAGACTAGCCTGGACAACATAGCAAGACCCTGTCCCTGTCTTTTTAAAAAAAGGCTTAAGATTTACCTAAGGGAAAAACATGCACAGGAGCTGGAGGAGAGAAAGATGAAATAGAAATCTCTGAGGAAGTATACAGGGAGGTGAGATTTAGAGGCTGAGAGAGGCTGAGGCTTGGAGGAAGCATGGCAGAGAGGCCCTTCAAAGAGGGCACAACAGGGTACGGAAGCAGGAGGGGACTGAGCTGGGGCTTTGGGCTTCTCCTGGATGGCGCCATGCAAAAGGGCACAGCTAGCACTAGCGGCCAGCCATACCTCCAAGTTAGCTGCAAGTATTAATCTGGAACTAGTCACTGCATCTGTGCTGTTAAGATGAGAATCTAGTGTCGAACAGGACTCCTGTAAATCAGTAAATTACCCAGCCCAGATTCACCTTGGCCAGCTACCACCCAGCTATTGACCAAAGGAGCCAAACTCTGTAAAATATTTAAAGAGGTTTATTCTGAGCCAATATGAATAACCATGGCTCAGGTACAGTCTCAAGAGGTCCTGAGAAAGTGCCCGAGGTAGTCAAGTTATAGTTTAATTTTATACATTTTAGGGAGATAGGAATTATAAGCGAAGACATAAATTAATACATGGAAGGTGAACATTAATTCAGCCAGATATCTTCAAGTGGAGGTGCTTACAGGTCGTAGGGGGATTAAAAGATTTTCTGAGGCTGAGTGCAGCAGCTCATGCCTGTAATTCCAGCACTTTGGGAGGCCAAGACAGGAGGATCATTTGAGACCAGGAATTCAAGACTAACCTGGGCAACATAGTGAGACCCCATCTCTACAAAAAATTAAAAACCAAATTAACCAGGTGTATTGGTGCACACCTGCAGTCCCAGCTACTAAGGAGGCTGAGATGGGAGGATTGCTTGAACCCAAGAGTTTGAAGCTAAAGTGAGCTATGATCATACCACACTTAAGAAGTCAGAAGAAAGGAATGCTTGAGTTAAAATAAGGGGACTGTCGAAGCCGAGGTTTTTGTTACGTAGATGAAGTCTCATAGATGGCAGCCCTCAGAGAGCATGTGATGCTATACCGGTCAGGCTGGATTTGGTATGTTATTACCTTAAGACACTGTTTGGTCAGTCTTATGGTCTGCATTTTAATCTTAATGCTGGTCAGTTATGCCTAAACTCTGAAAGGGAAGGGATATAACAAGGTGTGTGTGTGTGACCTCCCTTCCCATCATGGCCAGAATTCAGTTTTTCAGGGTGCTTGGGGGTCCCTTTGGCCCAAACTGGGGTCTGTTCAGTTGGCTGGGGGCCTAGGATTTTATTTTTGGTTTACATTGCTTAAGAATGAGTCACTGTTGGCCAGACACGGTGGCTCCCACCTGTAATCTCAGCACTTTGGGAGGCCAAGCTGGGCAGATCACTTGAGGTCAGGAGTTTGAGACCAGCCTGGCCAACATGGCGAAACTCCATCTTTACTAAAAATACAAAAATTAGCCAGGCCTGGTGGTGGGTGCCTGTAATCCCAGATACTCAGGAGGCTGAGGCAGGAGAATTGCTTGAACCCAGGAGGTGGAGGTTGCAGTGAGCCGAGATTGCGCCACTGTACTCCAGCCTGGGCGACAGTGCGAGACACCGTCTCAAAAAAAAAAAAGAAAAAAAAAAAAGAATCACTGTTGACCCTGGGAACAGACAGCAGGCAGTGTTGGGGAAAAAGGTGCACAGGCCCAGTGCTCAGGGCTGGTGGGCCATTGATAGGATGAACCTACTATGCATCTCAGATGTCCCTGCATGTCACATTCCTGGCCTTTCTCATTACCTCATAGCCAAAACCACATTTTTTAATTAAAACATGAATCTGACTCCTTCCCTAGCTATCATTCTTAAAGAAGGGCATTTTTGTAACTTATTAAGTGGTGAAATTATACCAACAAACACTATCTCAGGTTATGAAAAATAATAATTTCTTTCATGGTCAAAATCACATCTTTAATGGAAAAATTAAGTCAACTCCTTCCCTAGCTATCATACTGAAAGCAGAGCATTTTGGTAACTTTATGAGGTGGTGAAATTCTACTACTCAGGTCATGAAAAGTATTTCTTTCTTAAGCTAGAATGGCACAAGATAGTCAGAAAGCTAGAGGCATTTCTAAGGGTTTAAGAACTAGAGCATAAAGTTAATCTGTCCCCAAACGTTACACCTGGACAGATTAAGCTGAATCGATTTTAGCATGCCAGGTAGGTTAAAGCTAATGGAAAATTCCTCAACAGTGAAAGAACAAAGCAAATTAGAACAGAAACAAACAAAGAAAGCCCAGCCCGGCCAGAGATACTGAAAGCTCCAGGCAGGGCCAAAAGGAAAATGAGTGGATGAGATTTAAATATGTATGAGAGTGATAATCACTGGAGGGTCTCCATACAAAATGACAAATGACAAAATTCTCAGGGCTGACCCCTCTGGGAAGATGTCAAGTCAGAAGGAAGGGATCTCGCATTGCTGGAACACATCAGTTCCATTTGTCTGGAATGGTTCTAGACTCCACTGCTAGGTCATCAACAGCTGCAAGTCCAGAGGATCAACAAGGCAACTGCTCCTCCAAAAAAGCATGAAAAACTGTTCAGAATGGGTTTTAAAAATCAAAAGACAGATTTCAAGCAGTATCTACGTTGTGATCTTATTTTAGTAAAATAAAAATGATATATATTTTGGAAGACTGTAAGAATAGACATCAAAATATTAACAGTGAACTTTCTGTGTGGTGAGATTACAGCTGATGTTTATTTTCTTTGCTCATGGGTATTTTCAAAGTCTCTATTGTAAACTTGCTGTATTAGTCCATTTTCACGCTGCTTATAAAGACATACCCAAGACTGAGCAATTTACAAAAGAAAGAGGTTTAATTGACTTACAGTTCCACATGGCTGGGGAGGCCTCACAATCATGGTAGAAGGTGAAAGGCATGTCTTACATGGTGGCAGAAAAGAGAAGAGAGAGGACTTATGCAGGGAAACTCTCCATTTAAAAACTGTCAGATCTCATGAGGCATATTAACTATCATGAGAACAGCGCAGGAAAGACCTGACCCCATATGATTCATTAACCTCCCACCGGGTCCCTCCCATAACACATTGGAATTCAAGATGAGATTTGAGTGAGGACAAAACCAAACCATATCACTTGCATTATATGGTAAAAGAAAGGAAAAAAAAAAACCAGAGCTAACCCTACATAGGATATTGTATTAGTCTGTTTTTACACTGCTGATAAAGACATACCCAAGACTGGGTAATTTATAAAGAAAAAGGGGTTTAATGGACTCACAGATCCACATGGCTGGGGAGGCCTTACAGTCATGGTGGAAGGTGAAAGGCATGTCTTGCATGGTGGCGGCAGGCAAGAGAGAACTTGTGTAGGGAAACTCCCCTTTATAAAGCCATCAAATCTTGTGAGACTTGTTCACCACCACAAGAAGAGCATGGGAAAGACCCATCCCTATGATTCAAATACTTCTCACCAGGTCCCTCCCATGACATGTGGGAATTGTGGGAGCTAAAATTCAAGATGAGATTTGGGTGAGGACACAGCCAAATCATATGAGATATGCTACATTTTCCAGATTACATGTAGTTTTTTAAAAGTAATTTCAACTTTTACTTTAGATTCAGGGGGTACATGTGCACGTTCGTTCCATGGGTATATTGTGTGATGCTGAGGCTTGGGGCAAGAATGACGCTGTCACCCAGGTAGTGAGCATAGTGTCTAATAGGTAATTTTCCAGCCCTTGACCCCCAGTAGTCCCCAGTATCTATTGTTCCCATCTTTATCTCCAACACGTATTTTTCAATGAAAAATGTCCCCAAAATGTATATAGAAAAAAAAATTATCTATATTTCACTGGTCTGCAATAACCATTACTAACATATTAGCACATTTCATTCCATACTTTTTAATATGCAAATGTTCTTAATTCAACTAGGATCATGCTCTCTATATAGCTTTATATCATTTTTTTCACTTAACACACTCAATTTTCAATCTTCCATATTGGTAACTAGTCTGCAAAACAGCATTTTTGATGGTTGATCAGTATTCCATCCTATGGCCATAGCAAAATTGATTTCACCAAACTCCTATTGTGGGATATTTAGATAATTCCCAATTTTACATAATGTTGCAATGGAAATCTTTGTACACAAATTGTCATGCATTTTCATGGCCATTTCCTTAAGATGACTTCCTAGGAATACAATCACTGGGTCCAAGGGCAGAAACACTTTTCAGTCACTTAATACACATTGCCAAGTTGCCCTCAAAAAGGCAGTATCAATTACACCACCCTCTGCTTCCCATGAATTTCAGGCACAGAAATATAGTACCCTTGGAAACACACCTTTCATCCAACTATCTCTTAGGTTTTAGTTCTTGACGTTCAAGATCCAGAGGATTACAAGGCTACGCTTCAAGGAAAAGGAGGCAATTCAGATTATGTCTGAAAAAGGCCTGCAGGGTGATCGTGGGATGGTGAGTGAACCCCACATGCAGCACAGGGCCTGGCCCAAAGGAGGTCCCCAAGAAAGACACACGAGCATCTGAATCCAGGTGAGGGGACCAGGACTCAGTGAGGGGAAAAGGGCTCCCCTGAAAAGGGAGAAGGTGAGGTTTGAGTGGGGAGAAAGCTACTCTCCTAACTCAAGGACCAGGACTGTTTTGGGGGTGGAACGCTTTATATTATATACATATTATCTATTATATATCTATATTATAACTTATATATGAATTATATATTATATATAAAATCTATATCTATTATAATTTATATATGAATTATATATTATATATAAAATCTATATTATATATAATTATATATTATGTATTATATTATATATAATTCCATATTATGTATTATATAACTATATAATTAATATATTATAATACATATCTATTATATATCTATATTATATAATAATATATAAATTATATAATTTATAAATTAAGTGAATATATAAATTAAATAATATATAAATTATATTATATAATTATGCAATATGATATATAAATTACGTATTATATAATATAGATGTTATATAATATGTACTATGTATAATATAGATATCATGTTATATAATTATATATAGTATAGATATATATAATATAGATATATAATTATGTTATTTATAATATATAAAAATCAAAAATCAACACGGACATGAGTCCCTCAGCTTCCTCCTGGACTCTGAGCCAGGTCACTGTCTCTTTAGAGGAAATACAATATGATTTGCGTGTGTGCACATGTGTTCTGGAATAGTTGGCTTGCTCTTGTGATTCGCTTAGGATTACATTTCTGGGTAGACAGAATTATCTATCTACCCAGAAACATGTTTGATTATTACAGACATCAAATGTTTATTATAATAAAAATGTTTTGATTACTATAAAGGTTTTATCATAATGATTATTATAAATAAGCATATTATAATATGTGTTTTGATTATTGTAAACATGGTTGGTTATTATAAACCTGTTTATCATTATAATATCTATTATATAATTATATATTAATTATAAATTATATATAATATATATTTTATATATAAATATATATTATATTACATGTAATATATAATAGTTTGTTCTACAGAAAGATCGACCTTTTCCCATGTTCCAGCAAACTCCACAGCAGCAGGAGAGAAGCCTGGCACCCCCTCCACAAAATAGTCATTCGTCACACAGCCACAGGCATCTTCTCAGGGAAAATTAGACCAAATGCCTGCCGAAGACAGAAAGTAGGAACTGCATCATTTGGCCCATACGGCAATATTGGATGTGCCTCCAAGTGGCAAACTGAGTGGAATGTATCCGTGAACAACATGGCAATAATCAATACAGTTAATTTGTCATTAGATCACACTGTTCCTAAGCTGCAAACGTTAATATACGGAGATTAGAGACTCCTTGGCATCTGAGGAAACAAAATCATTTTGTGGATTTAGCATAGATATGCAGGCCAGAAGAACAAAATCCAAGTTCCAGAAAGAAACTAGAGAAAAAGTGAATGGAGAGAAGGGAGCAACTCTCTCAGGCATGGCACCACCTCCCCTGCCCCCAGGGTCTTGAGAATCCTTTCAAGAAGCTACATTTGGCTGGGCATGGTGGCTCACACCTGTAATCCCAGTGATTTGGGAGGCCAAGGTGTGAGGATGACTTGAGGCCAGGAGTTCGAGACTAACCTGGGCAACTATCTCTATGAGAAATTTAAAAAATTAGTCGGGCATGGTGGCACATGCCCGAAGTCCAAGCTACTGGGGAGACTGAGGTGGGGGGATCACTTGAGCCCAGAAGTTTGAGGCTGCAGTGAACTGTGATCACGCCGCTGCACTCCAGCCTGGATGACAGAGCAAGACACTGCCTCTAAGAAACAAGCAAACAAACAAAGCTAAGTTTATCTTCGGATCATTCAATTCAACTCAATTCAACAAACGTTTCTTAAGCACCTACTGTATGTCAGGCAGCATTCTAGGTGCTAAGACCAGGTCCCAGAAAACCAAGGTATAAATAGCAACAAGACATCTAAGCAGTACTAAAGAAAATAATTGTTCAATGATACTCGTGAAAGCACAATCAGGCAGCCTTTAAATCAGCACCACAGCAATAGCTATAGAGACCACGGCAATGGGATTTTGTTATGGGGGAGAGAGACTGGGCTCAACTCTGAATACTGCATAGCCAAGAGAGAATTCAGAGCCAGGGAGCGGACTGGGGGTCACAGCTATTTACCACTGTTGCAGTGACCCCGATAGAACAAGAGGACAGCGATGGTCACACATTCGCTTGACTTCTCACTCCTAATTCACTCATTTTGTAGTGTCTTAAACCAAGACAGCTCAGGTGCCTACAACAGGGTCCAAAGACTTCTAGCTGCCTGCTAGAAGTGAGCAGAAAACTTTTTCCTTGTGTAGCTCAGCCCATGAAACAAAAAATTCTTCTAAAGCCATCTGTCAATTAACTCATGGCACTGAGGTGTGGAACAAAATGATAAATGGTGGGAGTTGGAGGAACTGGTTCTAATCTAAACAAGAACTCCTCTTCTGTTGTGTGATTTTTTTCCCATTTTAACTCATATCAACCTTGTCCTTCCTGTCATCATGGGCAAGGGCACGCGTAAACACCGCGCCATGTCTTGTTTCTAATTTGCTTGCAAATACGAGAGGCCCTGGAATCGCTATCTGTAAAAAGTTAGCCAGAGAGAATGCGAGACAACTTGAGGGTAAATCGTGGAAAGGATTGAGACTGGCTCACGGAAGCTCAGGGGAAGCCCAGGGAACCGCTCCCCTCTGTAGCTCATCAAATCCCTGCACACCAGCACTCCCATTTGTTCTCTGCTGCATTATTTTTCAGTCCATTTGGCCTTCCTGATAATTGATAAAGAGCTGACTATGAAGGAAATTGTTCTCCACTGCAGGGTGCATAAATATCCCATTATCAATAGGAAGCAATTTACTTGCTTAAAATTGCCGACTCTCTCATTTTGTTTTAACACACTGTTTCTCTATCGAAATAAGTCTACACCTTTGAAAAGGCTATCTCCAAAGCCTCACACTGGCTCCAGCTTGAAAAATAAATCTGAAATCAGCTGAGGCAGAATGACCTCATCCCAGCCCTCTGATATCAAAAGGGCAGCTCAGAAAAGTGGAAAAATTGCTTTAGGAATTCTATCTACCAGAAATGTAATCCTAAGCAAGTTACAAGACAGTAGGCCAACTATTTCAGAACACACGTGCACACACACACCAATCATTCCGTATTTCCCCTAAAGAGACAGCGACCTGGCTCAGAGTCCAGGAGGAAGCTGAGCGGCTCATGTCCGTGTGGATTTGGGGATTCTGAAGGTAAATAGTGTGGTAAAGGTAACACTGCAATCTATTGGAGAAAACAGGAAGTACTCAATACATAGACTACAATGAACAGTTAAGAACTTGGAAAAAATTAAGTTACAACTGTGCATCACACCATAGACCCAAATTCACTTTTGGAAAATTAAAAAGCAGAGGGAATTAAAACAATAATAATTAGATGACACTTCGGGAGGCCAAGGTGGGAGAATCACTTTGAGGCCAGGAGTTTGAGACCAGCTTGGGTAACACAGCCAGAACCCGTTTCTATAAAGAATTTTAAAAATTAACTGGGCATACACCAGGCACATAACTGCGTGCCTGTAGTCCCAGCTACTTGGGAGGCTGAAGTGGGAGGATTGCTTAAGCCCAGAAGTTTGAGGCTGCAGTGAGGTATGACCCTACCACTGCACTCTAACCTGGGAGACAGAGCAAGAACCTTTCTCTAAATAGTAATAATAATATAATTAGATGACAAAAGATCTTTGTAAACAAGAATTGGAGGCAGATTGACATATCAAAAAAAAAAGAAACAAAGAAAAAAAAACATGAAGATAAAGACAACCTGAAGAAAAAAAACAAATGAACTGACCTACAGCAGGCAAGGAAATAGTCTTTGATATGTGAAAAGTTTTACCAGAATGTCCCACCAGAGCAATGCAAAAGACAAACAGATTTTCCCCAAAAGGAAAAACACAGATATGCAAAAATTACATAAAAAAAGAATTACAACTCATTATTTTTTTTTAACTCACAGTATTTTTTTACTATTAATTTTCTAGTTCAAGTGAATATCACCATAATATACCATGGTTTTTGTTTTGCTTTGTTATTTTGTTTTGAAACGGAGTCTCACTTTGTCACCTGGGCTGGCGTGCAATGGTGCAACCTTGGCTCACTGCAACCTCTGCCTCCCAGGTTCAAGCGATTCCTGTGCCTCAGCGTCCTAAATACCTGGGACTACTCCCAGCTAATCTGTGTATTTTTTTGGTAGAGATGGGGTTTCATCATGTTGGCCAGGCTGGTCTCAAACTCCTGGCCTCAAGTGATCCGCCTGCCTCAGCCTCCCAAAATGCTGGGATTACAGGCGTGAGCCACCACACCCGGCCCACCATGTTTTATCTATCAGATGCAAATGCAGCCAATAAATACTTGCTGATTGTCTCCTATGTGCCAGGCACTGTTCTAGGAGCAGGATATGGCAGTGAACAAAGCAAGGATCCCTGGCCTGCGTGCTTGCCATCCACTAGGGGAAGACAGACGATGGGCACTTTGTAAAGTAAATAACATGGTGTATAGAAAAGTGATAAATGCTACAGAAATTTTTTTTAAAAAAATGGAAGAGTAAAGTAGACAGCGGTACAGAATTATAGGATGGACTAAGGAACAGGTTACAGTGTTTTAAAATTTTATTTCAACAGTTTTTGGGGAACAGGTGGGTTTTGTTACATGGATAAGTTCTTTAGTGGTGATTTCTGAGATCTCTGGTGTACCTGTCACCCAAGCAGTGTACACTGTACTCAATATGTAGTCTTTTACCCCTGCCGCCCCCACCTTCCTGTCCTCCCCAAGTCCCAAGTCCACTGTATCATTCTTTTTTTTTTTTTTTTTTTTGAGACGGAGTCTTGCCCTGTCGCCCAGGCTAGAGTGCAGTGGCGTGATCTCAGCTCACTGCAAACCACCACCTCCCGGGTTCAAGCGATTCTCCTCCCTCAGCCTCCCAAGTAGGGATTATAGGCGCGTGCCACCACGCCCAGCTAATTTTTTGTATCTTTAGTAGAGATGAGGTTTCACCATGTTGACCAGGCTGGCCTCAAACTCCTGACCTCATGATCCGCCCACCTCGGCCTCCCAAAGTGCTGGGATTACAGGCGTGAGCCACCGCGCCCAGCTCACTGTATCATTCTTATGCCTCTGCATCCTCATAGCTTAGCTCCCACTTATAAGTGAGAACATACAATGTTTGGTTTTCCATTCCTGAGTTGCTTCACTTAGAATAATGGTCTCCAACTCCATAAAAGTTGCTTCAAAGGCCATTATTTCATTCCATTTTATGGCTATTATTCCATGGTGTATACATACCACATTTTCTTTATCCACTCATTGGTTGATGGGCTTTTAGGTTGGTTCCATAATTTTGCAATTTTGACTTCTGCTGCTAAAATTTCTTCCAGTTCCTGACTCCAGCAACTGGAAGAAAGATCCACAAGGCTTGTTGGCTGCTATAAACATGTGTGCGCATGTGTCTTTCTCATACAATGACTTCTTTTCCTTTGGGTAGGTACTTCTTTTCCTTTGGATAGACACCCAAAAGAAAAGTGGTGATTTCTGAGATTCTGGTGCACCTGTCAACTGAGCAATGTACACTGTACCCAGTTTGTAGTCTTTTACCCCTCACCCCTTTCCCCTACCTTTCTCCTGAATCCCCAAAGTCCATTATATCATGTTTATGCCTTTGCATCCTCATAGCTTAGCTCACACTTAGAAGTGAGAACATATGATATTTGGTTTTCCATTCCTGAGTTGCTTCACTTAGAATAATGGTCTCCAGCTCCATCCAATTTGCTGCAAAGGCCATTATTTCATTCTCTTTTATGGCTGGGAGGGTGGGAGGGGTTGAGGGATGAAAGACTATAATACATATTGGGTACAATGTACACTGCTTGGGTGACAGATGCACCAAGATCTCAGAAATCACCCATAAAGAATTAAATCACCACTAAAGAATGTATCCATGTAACCGAAAACCACCTGTTCCCCAATAACTATTGAAATAAATATATAAATAAAATTTTAAAAAATCGTAACCCGTTCCTTGGGCCTCCAAGGGTAAAAACCCAAAGGAGAGGAAGTAGTGTATTTAAGTGGTACCATTCCATCCAGCAATCATTCCATCCAGCAGATTGCTGGATGGAATGGTACCATTTAAATACAGAGGTTAGGGTATTGAGGGGACATCTGAGCAAAGACTTGAGGTAAGGGTGGTAGCCATGGGCTGTCTAGAGAAGAGTGTTCCAGACAGAGGAAACAGTCAGTGCTAAATCCCTAGGTAGATGTATGCCTGATGTGTTGGAGGAACAGCAAGGATACTGAGTCACTGGGTTGGGGTGGAGTGAGTCAGGCAGGGAGAGAAAAACAGGTGAGAAGACCCAAGAGGGAATGGGTGGGAAGGCAGATTATGCACATTTTGTGTTTTTACTGTGAATGAGGTGGGAGCTCTGGCAGGTTACAGAGCAGAGGAGTCACGGGATCTGACTTGTGTATTAAAAAGATGCCTCTGGCTACTGGACTATCCTGAGAGCAGAGAGAGGCTGCTTCTGAGGTCCAAAGGATGACAGCAGCGGAGGAGGGAAAAGTGGTCAACGTATATATGGGTTTTAAGGTACAGCCAGCAGGGTGTTCTGAAAACTGGGGTTTGGGATGAAAGAAAAGGAGGGACATCAGGAGGGCTCCAAGGTTTCTGACTCCAGCAACTGGAAGAAAAATCCAGAAGGTTTGTTTGATGATGTGCCTGGTATGGTGTAGGGTGATGGCAACATTTGCCGTGTGCTAGTGGGAGTGTAAATTGGTACAATTGAACAGTAACTAATAACAGCCTTCAAAAATACAGACCTTGTTTATTCAGAGCAAATCTTAAATGCACATTTTTGAGATAACTAGAGAAATTTAATTATGAGAAATATGCTGATTTAAGCTAGAGAGAGAGACTGATGTATTTTATAAATGAAATGATATGACATATGGGTTTTGCTTCACAATATTCCATGAAAAAAAATGGTGGGGGCAGGAGTGATCAATGAAATACAATCAGCAAAATGTTGAAAACTGTTGAAACTCAGTCTTTGGGTATGTTTGACAATATCAATAATAAAAATATTTCTTAAGTGTGCACACCCTGGACCCAGCAATTCCATTGTAGGAATTCATCCTAAAAAAGAAGAGATACATATTAAAAGATATTTATTACAGCCTCATTTGTAATAATGAAAATAGGAAAACACAAGCAATAGGCGATTAGCTAAATAAATAATATGAAGCCATTTAGCTGAAAAATAGTAGAAAGATTAGAAATTGGTCTGTATGCATGCAGAAATTTAGTATATAACGAGTGACACTTCAAATAATGGGGAAAGATGAATCCAAAAAATAACGTGGGGACAACTAAGTAGATACCTGGAAAAAAGTAAGAATGAAACTGCACTCCACAATTTATACCAAAATACATCCCAAAACAATCAAAGATTAAGTATATTAAAACAAACTCATAATTCCTATTACAAAAACATGAGAATTTTTAAATAATTTTAAGAGTGAATAAGGGAGGAAACACGAACCAAAAGCCATAAAATAAAAGACAGTAAGTTCTATATAAATCTTAAAACGGGCCAGGTGCAGTGGCTCATGCCTGTAATCCCAGCACTTTGAAAGGCTGAGGTGGGCGGATCACCTGAGGTCAGGAGTTCGAGACCAGCCTGCCCAACATGGCGAAGCCCCATCTCTACTAAAAATACAAAAAATTAGCCAGGTGTGGTGGCAGGCATCTATAATCCCAGCTACTCAGGAGGCTGAGGCAGGAGAATCACTTGAACCCAGGAGGCAGAGGTTTCAGTGAGCTGAGATCGGGCCGCTGCACTTCAGCCTGGGCAACAAGAGCAAAACTCTGTCTCAAGATAAATAAAACTTAAAACATTTGTCAGGGCAAAAATCAGGATAAGCTAAGTGAAAAATCAGAAACAAAGTAAACATGTTTGTAATTTATGTTACAAAAGAGGAGCTAATTTCCCTCACATTAAAAAATTTATATATATAGCATCAATAAGAACAAAGGCCAACAAGCCAAAATAAAAATGGTCAAAGAACAAGAGCAGACAGTTCCCAAGGCCAGAATTACATATGGCTTTTAAACATATAACACCAAGTTCAGCCCAACTCATAATCAGAGAAATGCAAATTAAAAGTACATTTGTATACTTATATTTCACCTAGAAGGCAGATAAAGATCAAATGGTTTGATAACACACAGTGTGGATAAGACTGTGTGAAAACAGGCCCTCTCAAACATTAGTGATGGGAGTGTGTGTTACTATAAATTCTTTGACGTGCAATTTGGCAATTTATACTGGTTATAAATGCATACTTTAACTCAATGATTCCACCTCTAGAAATGTATTATTCAAGCATACAAACACATAGAATAATATATGAACCAGGCTAGTGGCTGTAATATTGTGCGGTGTGTGTGTGCGTTATAGATAGACAGATAGATGAATTTTAAAGATCATATTTAATGATACTAAGGAATTATTGTTACACCTGTTAGGAGTGATATTGGTTCTGTGGGGTTTCTTAAGTCCTCATATTTTTGGAGATATATGCTAAAATAATTACAGACGAAATGATATAATGTCTGGGATTTGCTCTCAAATAATATAGGAAGAAGGAGGGTTGGTAGCTAGGAGTGTAAATAAAAATGCTTGGTTCAAGTTAAAGCTTAGTGATGGCCCCCTTAGCATTCATGACACTCAAATCTTCATAATAAAACCTCAACTATTAAAAAGCTCAGAATCAACTCAAATAGCCATTAATAGAAAAGTTAAATAAACTATGATACACCCAAACAATGGAAGAGTATTGCTATGGTTTGAATATGGTTCATGATTTGTCTCCTCCAAACCTCATGTTGAAATTTTATCCCCAGTGTGTCAATATTGGAAGGTGGGGCCTGGTGGGAGGGGTCTCGGTCACGAGGGCAGATCCTTCATGAATAGATTAATGCCCTCCCTCAGGGGTGAGTGAGTTCTTGCTTTATTAGTTCTCTCAACAGCTGGTTGTTAAAAAGAACCTGGCACCAACACTCCCCCACCCCCCACCAGGCTTCCTCTCTCACCATGTGATCTCTTTGCACACATCCGCTCCCCTTCTGCTTCTTGCCCTGATTTGACACAACCTGAGGCTCTCACCAGAGGCTGATGCCCAATTTTGAACTTTACAGCCACCAGAATCATGAGCCATATAAACCTGTTTTCTTTATAAGCTACCTAGTCTCAGGTATTTTGCTACAGCAACACAAAATGGACTAAGAGCTGTTAAAAGAGTAAGCTAAGCGGATTTTATATCCTGATGTGGAATGACCTGCAAGATGTATTGTTAAATGAAGAAGCCAGATGCAAACAGTGTGCATCAAATGTTTACCATTTACTTATGAAAAAAAGAAGAAAGACTAGACCAACGTGCTTGTTAGATGGGTCGGTGGTATAGTGGGGAGCGTAGCTGCCTTCCAATGTGCTTGTAAATATTAGGTTGGTGCAAAAGTAATTGTGGTTTTTGCCATTAAAAGTATGGACAAAACCGCAATTGCTTTTGCACCAACCTAACGTGTAGAGTATGTCTGGATAATACATAAGAAACAGATATTCCTGGGTTGCCTCTGCAGAGGGAAACCAGGTGATGGTGATAAGGAGGAGGAGGGACAGGTGTTATGAGGGACACTTTCAGTATATGCTTTTCTACCTGTTGAAATTTGTACCATTAATGCATTATCTATCCACACAAGTAAAATTTGTGATTGTAAAAGTACACACTAAATCATTAACAGTGGTTATTGCTGAAGGATGGGATTGTGGGTGATTTTTATTTTCCCAGTATTCCACAAAGCACATATTTTTCTTAGGTAATTTGAATAAACAGGTTATTTTTGAAGAGGCAAAAATCAGGAAATGACTTAATCAAAGAGCTTGTCTCAATCAGCAAACAGAAAGTAACCCACTAATTCCTAGTTACAGGACATTGCCACAGCCCTCTTCCTTTGACAATCACACCTCTTGGTGTACTAAGCACCCATGGGTCATCAAGGATGGCGTAGGTAAGGACATGATGCTGAGTGAGATCTGTTTCTGCCCTTAAAGCACTCGTGAAGGGGCAGAGTGGAGAGAGAGGCAGAAAAGCCAGCAGACCATTACAGCACGAGGAGATAAGTACTATAATATCCATAACTGAAGAAATCTGAAGAGGGAGGTGGGAAGGGGTCATGGGAGGAAACTGATTTTTCAGCGGGGATGTACAAGATCCTTAAAGATGAATGGTAATTGGATTCAAGATGCTATGGTGATGATTCTGTTTAGTGTCAATGATAAAATGGCTGACTCCATTTGTGAATTGACCTCCCCTGATGATTCAGCACTGAAACGGTGCCTAATAATTTGCATGGTCCTCCAGTGGGGAGCTGAGCTAAATTTATTTATCGCTGCTCTTCATGCTTTTAAACTTTTACCAGGTATCAGAACAAAAATCTTGCTCCATTCCCAGATTTTGGTTACTGTTCTAAGTGAATTCAATACCCGAACTGATTCTCTAACAGCTTTACCTCCACTCCATTCAAGAAACCCAACACATGGGCAAATTCTGGATCTTGCCCTGACCTAACATTGTTCACACTCTAAAATTTTTAACTCTAAAATTTCAGTCTCATCCCATGACCTCGTATTTGCCCAACCCTGCCACTCCCACCATCTGCTCATCAACAATCCAAGACTTTGACTCTTCAGCATTTCTCTGGATTGTCAGCCTTCGTTGTCCCTTCCCACTCAACCCAACTAGTTACGTTGCCTGGAACCACTCTCTTTCCAAAACCCTAACTCCATTACCTCCTAGCTCTCTGTGAATCTGTTCTGTGCCTCTAAGGAGTCTTTCCACTCCTGTGGCCAGACACAATTCTTTCCCCATCCCACATGATTGTTGTTCAAGATCTGCATTATCCTCTTCAAACCCTCAATCCCATTTCCCAAATCCATCCCCAAACTCTCAGTGAATAATGAAGTCCTCCAGTCGCTCAATGTATATGCAATATATGTTTATTGATATATACAAATAACTCAATCTACACAAAAACATATTGATCAATATCGCTCTATAGATGCCCCCTCAACTTAGGATAAGGTTATGTCTCAGTAAGCTCATTATAAGTTGAAAACATCACAAGTCCAAAATGCATTTAATACACCTAACCTACTGAACATCATCCCTTAGTCTAGCCTCTCTTAAACATGCTTAGGACACTTCCATCAGCCTACCATTGGGCAAAACCATCTAACATAAGGCCAATTTTATAATAAAGTGTTGAGTATCTCATGTAATTTCTGCAATACCGTACTGAAAGTGAAAAACAGAATAGTTCTATGGGTACTCGAAGTATGGTTTCTACTGGGTGTGTGTCGCTCTCACACCATCATGAAGTCAAAAATGTGTAAGTCAAGCCATTGGGGACCATTTGAAGTTAGTTCATTTTCATTACTATAGAACATTCCATCTCCAGTTAACTGACATATAGGTTGCTTAAAAAAATTATATGAAGAATGCCACCACAATAAATATATGTTTGCATCTTGCACAGGCAGTGTTTCTCGCCGGCAGCTGCACAGCCAGTCTACCAGGTGGGGGCCCAGAAAAAATTATATCAACATATGCTGAATCTGCACTTATATGCTACTGGAGTGTGTTAACTCCATTTCTGACAATATTGTATGTCCCCGGCTAATCAAATGAGGGTATTAGCATGCAAGACGGCTCTCTCCAAGACAATGTAGCCCATCAGAAAAGTTAAAGTAGGGGTCCCCAACCCCCAGGCTACGGACCAATTTCGGTCTGTAGCCTGTTAGGAACCGGGCTGCAGAGCAGGAGGTGAGCAGCGGGCGAGTGAACATTACTGCCTGAGCTCCATCTCCTATCAGATCAGCAGCAGCATTGGATTCTCATAGGAGCGGGTACCCTATTGCGAACTACACAAGCTAGGGATCTAGGTTGGGCACTCTTTATGAGAATCTAATGCTTGATGATCTGAGGTGGAACAGTTTCATCCTGAAACCATCCACCCACAACTATCCATGGAAAAGATGGTCTTCCATGACACCAGACCCCGGTGCCAAAAAGGGTGGAGACCACCGAGTTCAAGCATTAAGTTCATTTGATGGACACTACACAATGACTAAAAATAATGCTTATAGACTCCTAATGACGCGAGAAATGTTCGTAATTTATTGTCAAGTGGAAATACAGAGTCATGTGACCATCACTTTGACTAATGAGATTATGCCAAAAGGATTTAAGAACCAGCTTGAAGAGGCTACTACTATATTAAAATAAACAATAACGGCAGTAGCTTATAATCTGTTGAATAAAATAGGAATTAAAGAGTCCATACTGATATGAATGAATGAATAAGACAAGGCTCTTACTTACAGAATAATGCCAAAAAATGTTGAAAAGATGGTGGACTTAGAAAAACTGTTGTATGATTATCATATGGTTACACATGGTAACCACTTTAGTAATAACTGATTCAGGCAAAAATCACTAATGGACGCTAAACCTAGTGGGTAAAAGTTTGACGATTATGGATATTCATATAGTTTCAAAGTATTTTCCCACTGAACACTAATTACAAAGGGGGAAAGAGCCACTTTAGAGTGGAAAAGCCTGGCGGACTCCACCTGAATTCAACAATCAAAGTCAACATGAACAGTAATGGGTCAAATCACCCCTACATATCACCTGATTAGGTTCCAGGACAAGGATACATCATTATTACTTCTGTGATATTTCTGCAAAAGCTGTATAACTTAATATAACTATGAAGGAACATCAGACAAATCCAAAATGAGGAATATGTTACAAAATAACTGGCCTGTAACCTTAAAAAATATCCAAGTGGTGAAAGTGAAAAGCTAAATGCTACAGTTTGAGTATGTTCTCTTCAAAATTCTTCAAAATTCATGCTGAAATTTAATCCCCATTGTGGTGGCATTAAAAGGCATTAAAAGGCCTTTGGGGAAGTGGTTAAGTGATGAGGGCTCTGCCCTCTTGAATGGATTAGTGCCTTCTGAGAAGGCTGGAGGGACCTAGCTTAGGCCCTTTTTGCTCTTCTGTTCTTCTGCCATATGAGGACATGGCATTCCTTCCCTCCAGAGAATGCAGCAACAGGGCGCCATCTTGGAAGGAGAGAACAGCCCTTGCCAGACACCATTCCTGCTGGCACCTTGATCTTAGACTTCTCAACTTCCAGAATTGTGGGAAATAAATTTCTGTTCTTTATAAATTACCCAGTAATCCAAGGTATTTTGTTATAGCAGCTCCAAAGGACTGAGACACTAAACAAAACACAAAACCTAAGGAAACTTTTCAGATGGGAGAAAACAGAAGAGACATCACAGATGGATGCTAAATTCAGACACACCTCAAAGATATTGCAGGTTTGGTTCTGGACTACTACAATAAAGCAAGTCACACCAATTTCTTGGTTTCCCAGTGCATATAAAAGTTAAATTTACATTATACTTTTGTCTATTAAGTGTGCAGTAGCATTATATCTTTAAAAATGTACTTTTATTTAAACATATTTTATTGCTAAAATATATGAACAATCATCTGAGCATTCAGCAGTTCATAATCTTTTACTGGTAGAAGGTCTTGTCTAAATGCTGATGGCTGCTGACTGATCAAGGTGGTGGTTGCTGAAGTCTGAGGTGCCTGTGGCAATTTCTTAAAATAAGACAACAATGAATTTGGCCGCACATAGATGGACTCTTCATTTCATAAAAAAATTAATCTGTAGCATGCAATGCTGTTTGACAGCATTTTACCCACAGTAGAACTTATTTCAGAATTGGAGTCAATCCTTTTAAGCCTTGCCACTGTTTTATTATGTAAAGAATATGCTGATGGAATATTCTACAACGTTCACAATGCCATTTCAACAATGTTTACAAAGCATCTTTACCAGGAGTAGATTCTATTTCAAGAAACTACTTTCTTAGCTCATCCATAAGAAGCAACTCCGCATCCATTCAAGTTTGATCATGAGATTGCAGAAATTCAGTTCCATCTTTAGGATCCGCTTTTAACTCCCCTTCTCTTGCTATTTCCACCACATCTGCAGCGACTTCCTCCACTGAAGTCTTGAACCCCTCAACATCATCCATGAAGGCTGGAATCTACTTCTTCCAAACTCCTGTTAAATGTTGATATTTTGGCCTCCTCCCATGAATCACAAATGTTCTTAATGGTATTGAGAACAGTGAAACCTTTCCAGAAGGCTTTAAATTTACATTGCCCAGATCTATCAGAGGAATCACTACGTATGGCAGCTATCGCCTTATGAAATGCGTTTCTTAAATATTAAGACTTGAAAGTTTAAATTTTAACTCCTTGATGTATGGGCTGCAGAACGGATGCTGTGTTAGAAGGCATGAAAACAACATTCATCTCCTTGTACATCTCCATTAGAGCTCTTGGGTGACCAGGTGCATTGTCAATGAGCAGGAATATTTTGAAAGGAGTCTTTTCTTCTGAGCAGTATTTCTCAACAGTGAGCTTAAAATATTCAATAAACCATGCTATAAACAGATGTGCTGTCATCCAGGCTTTGTTGTTTCATGTCTAGAGCATAGGCAGAATAGATTTACTATCATTCTGAAGGTCCTTAAGATTTGGGGGATGGTAAATGAACACTGGCTTCAGCTTACAGTCACCAGCTGGACTGGCCCCTCACAAGAGTCAACCTATCCTTTGAAGTTTTGAAGCCAGGCATTGACTTCTCCTACCCAGCTATGAAAGTCCTAGATGGCATCTTATTCCAATAGAAGGTTGTTTTAGGCTGGGTGCAGTGGCTCATGCCTGTAATCCCAGCACTTTGGGAGGCCGAGGTGGGTGGATCACCTTATGTCAGGAGTTCAAGACCAGCCTGGTCAACATAGTAAAACCCCATCTCTACTAAAACTACAAAAATAAGCTGGGCGTGGTGGTAGATGCCTGTAATCCCAGCTACTTGGGAGGCTGAGGCAGGGAGAATTGCTTGAATCCAGGAGGGCAGAGGTTGCAGTGAGCCAAGATTGCACCACTGCATTCCAGCCTGGGCAACAGAAAAAGACTCTGTCTCAAAAATAAATAAATAAATAAATAAATAAATAAATAAAGGGCTGGTTTTTTCTGCATTGAAAAATCTGTTGTTGAGTGTAGCCACCTTCATCAATTTTCTTAACTGGAACTTCTTGATAACTTGCTGCTGCAGCTTCTACATGAGCACTTGTTGCTTCACCTTGTACTTTTATATTATGGAGATGACTTCTTAAACCTCATGAACCAACCTTTGCTAGCGTCAAACTTTTTTTCTGCAGCTTCCTTTCCTCTCTCAGCCTTCATAGAATTGAAAAGAGTTGGGGCCTTGCTCACTCTGGATTAGGTTTTGGCTTAAGGGAATGTTGTGGCTGGTTTAATTTTCTATCCAGACCTCTAAAACTTTCTCCATATCAGCAATAAGGCTGCTTTGCTTTCTTATCATTTGTGTGTCCACTAGAGTGGCACTTTTAATTTCCTTCAAGTACTTTTCCTTTGCATTCGCAACTTGGCTAACTCTTTGGCTCAGGAGGCTAGCTTTCAGTTTATCTCAGCTTTTGTCATGCCTTCCTCACTATGCTTAATCATTTCCAGTTTTTGATTTAAAGTGAGAGACATGAGACTCTTCCTTTCACTTGAACACTTAGAGGCCACTGTAGCATTACTAATTGGCCTAATTTCAGTGTTATTGTATCTCAGGGAATAGGGATCCCCAAGGAGAGGGAGACAGATAGGGAAGGGCTGGTTGGTGGAGCAGTCAGAACACACACAACATTTATTAAGTTCACCATTTTATATAGATGTAGTTTGTGGCCTCAAAAAAATCACAATAGTAACATCAAAGATCACTGATCACGATGTAAGAATTAAAGAAAGAGGAAAGAAACATGAAATGTGGCTCAACAGTTAAGGACAGGTTTATTTTAGAGAAAACAAACCTGAGAGGGGCTTCTGGCCAAGTTAGGTCAGAGAGCCCTTCTCTCTTACACACTAAGTATATTTAAGGGTTTTGGAAAGGGGGGCTTGTCATAGGTTTGGAATGTTTCTATGTGAAGGAAAGTTTATTGCAGGGTTGGAGTGTCTCTGGTCGGAGGGGAGCCTATCTCAGGGTTGGTATGTTTCTGGTCAGAGAGGGGTTTATCTTAGGGTTGGGATGTTTCTAGTTATGCTGACATTAGCCATTAGGCTGATGTTTTGGGGCTGGATTTAGGTGGTTTTTAAAGAGAACTTACAACGGTGGTGTTTTGTTCAAGATGGCGATGCTCCTGCTCTGTCACACAGATCATCCTAACAGATATAATAATGAAAGCAAATAATGAAAAAGATTGAAATATTTGTTGGAATCACCAAAATGTGACCCAGAGGCACGAAGTGAGCACATGCTCTTAGAAAAATGATACTGACAGACTTGCCCAACCACAGGGTTGCCACAAACCTTTAATTTGTAAAAAACAAACAAACAAAACAAAACAAAAAAACACAGTATCTGCAAGGTGCAATAAAGTGAAGTATAAAATGTGGTATGCCAGTATGATCCTGGATTGAATGATTTAGCTGTAAAAGAAATTATTTGGATAACTGGGGAAATTTGAATAGAGTCTGTGGATTAGGTGGTGGTATATGATGTTAAGTTTTCTTATTCTGATGGTTATAGTATGCTTATGCTGTAGCGTCTTTGTGAAAAATATACTCTAGCATATTCAACAGTGGAGGACATCACGCCTGCTGCTTACTGTAAAAAAGTTTAGAAAAAGAACAAATTTTAGTATAAATGATATAAATATAGCATATCTATTTGAGAGAGAGAGAGAATGATACGGAAATGTGCTCCAATGTCTACAATCAGGAAATCTGGGTGAAAGACATATAGGATTTCTTTGTACTGTTCATGCAACTTTCTGCTATTTTTGAAATTATTTAAAGTAAAATAGTAAAATGAAAATAGACTATGGGATGGCAACTTAATTATATCCATGTGGTGAAATATTACACACATTCAAAAACCACATTTAGTAAATGACATGAGCAAATATGTTTTCTTAAGAAATCAGTATATAAAACTATATGTGTAATATGGCTTAACCTGTCAAAACATGTGCCTAAGGGAAAAAGACATAAAGGAAATATATGACATGTAAAGATGGAATTATCATCAAATGATGCTAATTCTAGATGATCATGTATTTTTATTTTGGATTTTTTTTTTTAAACGTCTCCAGGTGTCTGGCTCTTTTAAGAAGAACAAAATGTTATTCTACAAAATGAAACCAACAATGAGTAAACTGGAGGCTCGAATACAAGTGTTCTCTCCATGCTGGGGAGCATTTTCCCGACGCCATCTGAAGCCTCAGAGTAGAAATCTTGTTTCACAAAATTCAAAGCTTCTGTTCTTACACCTGATTCCTCGGGAAACTCTTTTCTCCTACTTGTATTAACCAATTCAGCTGTGAGGAGCAAAGGAGACGGGGACTGCCCTTAGCTGGGCTCTGAAGGTGCGTATTTTAGCACCGGCTGAGAACTGAGTTAGCTAATCTTCAAAGAGGCTGCCTGCCATCCCATTCAACAACATAAAAAGCAATTTGTTTACGGGAAGAAAAGCCATTTCAACATGAAAATTGGTTTCACGACAATATGCCTGATAAAACAGCACATGAAAGAACCATTGGTCGGCCTCTCTCCCCTGGGTCCCCCCACAATCCCCGCCCTTACCCTTTCTTTCAGAACTGTCACCATAATGGAAAAGGAAGTTATCTCAATGGAAAAACATGCTGGAACACATTTTACCTCTGGAGTAATGGGCCAGGACTGCCCACACATTCAATGAAAAACAAAATATTTGGTCATTCTGCTCCTTCTACCCGAACGCATTCGAAAGCTTGCAATGCCATCATCTAGCGTTCAATCTCAAAAATTCATCCTTGACTCCTTCCCTTCTTGTTGATGGTACCTCCAGCATCCAGAGTGGTGTGTCAAAGACATCACGTCTAATCACGCTTTGCTTCAGCTTCAAATTTCTCACTGGCTCCCATTCACTCATATATTCAACAAGCAGGTTGCTATTCCACACCAGGCCAGAGCCCATGGGCATCCGGCAAGGTCACATCCATCCCCTCTTTGATGTCCCAGGCGCTTCCAGAACTGGGCCATGTACACCTTCTTCTAAGCACCTCAGCCCCATGCCTACCATCTTCTAAGCACCTCGGCCACACCCACCCTCTTCTACCCACCTCAGCCACGCCCAACCTCTTCTGCCCACCTCCACCATGCCCACCCTGGGTCTTCTACTCATCTCAGCCACGCCCACCCTCTTCTAAGCACCTCAGCCACGCCCACCCTCTTCTACCCACCTCAGCCACGCCCACCCTCTTCTACCAACTTCAGCCACACCCACCCCTCTTCTACCCACCTCAGCCATGCCCACCCTCTTCTAAGCACCTTGGCCATGTCCACCCCCTCAGCCATGCCCACCCTCCTCTACCCACATCGGCCACACCCCTTTCTAAGCACCTCAGTCAAGTCTACCCTCTTCTAAGCCTCTCATCCATGCCCACCTTCTTCTAAGCACCTCGGCCATGTCCACCCTCTTCTAAGCTCCTCAGCCATGTCCATCCTCTTCTAAGCTCCTCGGTCACCTCCACCCTCTAGGAACCTCAGTGCTCTGCCCCTCCTTAACCCACCCTACAGAGCTGATGGCTGTATTTGGAGCAGGCCTTCACTTTCAGGACTATATACTATGTTGCTACTTCCCTTATCTCTCTTTGCAAATGACAAACACCTATTTATTCTTTCAGATTTACTGAGTCAGGTCTCCTACTAAGCCCTCTTTAGGAAGAGGGAGAAGAGGCCCCTCTCCTCTGTAATCTCGTTGGAATATTTCACCACTGTTGGGGGAGGTTAGGAAAGCATGCTCAGAAGTGTCCTGTAATCTCAGCAATTCGGGAGACTGAGGTGGGAGGATTGCTTCAGGCCAGGAGTTTGAAACCAGCCTGGGCAACAAAGTAACACCCTGTCTCTGCAATAAATTTAAAAATTAGCTGGGAGTGGTGCTGAACACTTACAGTCCCAGCTACTAGGGAGACTGAGGCAAGAGGATCACTTGAGCCCAGGAGTTCAAGGCTGCAGTGAGTCATGATTGCACAACTTCACTCCAGCCTGGGTGACAGAGTGAGACCTTGTCTCAAAATAAGAGAGAGAGAGAGAGAGAGAGAGAGAGAAGAAAGAGAGGAACAGAGAAAGGGAGAAGGAAGGAAGGGAGGGAGGGAGGGAGGGAGGGAGGGAGGGAGGGAGGGAGGATGGAAGAAGCGAATGAAGGAAGCAAGCAGCCAGAACCAGAGTCCCACCTCCTTCTGCTGCTCCTGTGGACCTGCCCAGACAATTTTAGCACACGCAGCTCTACAGTGAGACCCACTCAGAGGAAATCTTGCTGAAAGTATTTCCCTCTCCCTCCTATCAAAGGAAGACAAGGGCAGAAGCCCCCTCAGGGATTACACCCCAACCTTGGCAGGCAGGGTGTGGCCAGTCTGGGCCTATGTGGCCTATGTCTGTTGAATGGTAGGATAAATGAATGAACAGAGGCAACCCTGGTTGGCTCTTGAGTGGTGTGAGCTGGTCCTGTACCCAGATACTGGGGTGGCCTTGGCAGGGCCCTGGAACCAAATGAGTGTTCAAGACAACCTCCTATCGGAGCTCATCAACTTCCAGGACAGGAGAGAATGTGTCACTGCCTCTCTCATGCACAGTCCTGGGGGAAAGCTGGCAAGTACATCAGGGCTGCCTGCCTGTCCAGCCCAGGGCGCTGGGGCCTTGCTCTGCAGTCCTGTGGCAGCTGGTTCCCCACCTGGGAGGAGGAAGACAGCCCCATTGTGAATGTCTCTAAAACAAAAGGTAGAAGATACTAGCCTCCTAGTGTGGACCATGGCAGACTCAAGCTATAGCAACTCCATGGGCTAAGCATGAACTGGTGCTGTGCTGTCCCTCAACCCAAGGCCAAGGTCACTGGCTCCAGCCTCTCTGCGTCCTGAGAAAAGTAGCAACAATTATCCAATAGAAAAATTAATCTCACTGGATGCGGTAGCTCATACCTGTAATTCCAGAAATTTGGGAGGCTGAGGTGGGAGCATCACTTGAGCCCAGGAGGTTGCAGTGAGCCATGATTGCACCACTGTACTCCAGCCTAAGTGACAGGGCATGATCCTGTCTTAAAAAAAGAAAAGAAAAAGAAAAAAAGGCCAGGTGCAGTGGCTCACACCTGCAATCCTAGCACTTTGGGAGGCTGAAGCAAGTGGATCACCTGAGGTCAAGAGTTCGAGACCAGCCCTGGCAACATGGTGAAACCCAGTCTGTACTAAAAATACAAAAATTACCTGGGTGTGATGGCACTTTGAGACCACCGACCCTTCGGCTAGGCCTATGCACGTGTCCCAAAACAACCTTTTGTGTCCGAGGGCTCAAAACTCCACCCTCAGATGATGCTAACATCACCATTTTTTTTTTCAAGACGGAGTTTCCATCTTGTCAATCAGGTAGGAATGCAATGGTGTGATCTCAGATCACTGCAACCTCCGTCTCCTGGGTTCAAGCGATTCTCCTGCTTCAGCCTCCTGAGGAGCTAGGATTACAGGCATGCATCACCATGCCTGGCTAATTTTTGTATTTTTAGTAGAGACAGGGTTTCACCATGTTGGTCAGGCTGGTCTCCAACTCCTGACCTCAGGTGATCCTCCCATCTTGGCCTCCCAAAGTGCTGGGATTACAGGTGTGAGTCACTGTGCCGGGCCAACATCACCACTTTCTACAGATGGGCCCTATGTCAAAACATGAGGCTTGATTACACCTGCACAGTGATCTGTTTTGGATGCTTGTCCCCTCCACATTTCAGGTTGAAATATGATCTGCAGGGGTGGTTCCAAGATGGCCGAATAGGAACAGCTCCAGTCTACAGCTCCCAGCGTGAGCGACGCAGAAGACAGGTGATTTCTGCATTTCCAACTGAGGTACCGGGTTCATCTCACTGGGGATTGTCAGACAGTGGGTGCAGGACAGTGGGTGCAGTGCACCAAGCATGAGCCGAAGCAGGGTGAGGCATCGCCTGACCTGGGAAGCACAAGGGGTCAGGGAATTCCCCTTCCTAGCCAAGGGAAGAAGGGACAAATGGCACCTGGAAAATCGGGTCACTCCCACCCTAATACTGTGCTTTTCTGACGGTCTTAGCAAACGGCACACCAGGAGATTATATTCCGTGCCTGGCTCAGAGGATCCTACACCCATGGAGCCTCACTCATTGCTAGCACAGCAGTCTGAGATCGAACTACAACGCGGCAGCGAGCTGGGGGAGGGGCACCTGCCATTGCTGAGGCTTGAGTAGGTAAAAAAAGTGGCCAGGAAGCTCGAACTGGGTGGATCCCACTGCAGCTCAAGGAGGCCTGCCTGCCTGCCTCTGGAGACTCCACCTCTGGGGGCAGGGCATAGCCGAACAAAACGCAGCAGAAACTTCTGCAGACTTAAATGTTCCAGTCTGACATCTTGGAAGAGAGTAGTGGTTCTCCCAGCACGGAGCTTGAGATCTGAGAATGAACAGACTGCCTCCTCAAGTGGGTCCTTGACCCCCGAGTAGCCTAACTGGGAAGCACCCCCCAGTAGGGGCAGACTGACACCTCACACGGCTGGGTACCCCTCTGAGATGAAACTTCCAGAGGAACGATCAGGCAGCAACATTTGCTGTTCACCAATATTCGCTGTTCTGCAGCCTCCGCTACTGATACCCAGGCAAACAAGGTCTGGAGTGGACCTCCAGCAAACTCCAACTGACCTGCAGCTGAGGGTCCTGACTCTCAGAAGGAAAACTAACAAACAGAAAGGACATCCACACCAAAACCCTATCTGTACGTCACCATCATCAAAGACCAAAGGTAGATAAAACCACAAAGATGGGGAAAAAACAGAGCAGAAAAACTGAAAATTCTAAAAATCAAAGTGCCTCTCCTCCTCCAAAGGAATGCAGCTCCTCACCAGCAACAGAACAAAGCTGGACAGAGAATGACTTTGACGAGTTGAGAGAAGAAGGCTACAGACGATCAAACTTCTCCGAGCTAAAGGAGGAAGTTTGAACCCAACGCAAAGAAGTTAAAAACCTTGAAAAAAGATGAGACGAATGGCTTACTAGAATAACCAATGCAGAGAAGTCCTTAAAGGACCTGATGGAGCTGAAAACCATGGCACGAGAACTACGTGAAGAATGCACAAGCTTCAGTAGCCGATTCGATCAACGGGAAGAAAGGGTATCAGTGAAGGAAGATCAAATGAATGAAATGAAGCTAGAAGAGAACTTTAGAGAAAAAAGAATAAAAAGAAATGAACAAAGCCTCCAAAAAATATGGGACTATGTGAAAAGACCAAATCTACGACTGATTGGTGTACCTGAAAGTGACGGGGAGAATGGAACCAAGTTGGAAAACACTCTGCAGGATATTATCCAGGAGAACTTCCCCAATCTAGCAAGGCAGGCCAACATTCAAATTCAGGAAATACAGAGAACGCTACAAAGATACTCCTCGAGAAGAGCAACTCCAAGACACATAATTGTCAGATTCACCAAAGTTGAAATGAAGAAAAAAATGTTAAGGGCAGCCAGAGAGAAAGGTCGGGTTACCCACAAAGGGAAGCCCATCAGACTAACAGCTGATCTCTCGGCAGAAACTCTACAAGCCAGAAGAGAGTGGGGACCAATATTCAACATTCTTAAAGAAAAGAATTTTCAACCCAGAATTTCATATCCAGCCAAACTAAGCTTCATAAGTGAAGGAGAAATAAAATACTTTACAGACAAGCAAATGCTGAGAGATTTTATCACCACCAGGCCTGCCCTACAAGAGCTCCTGAATGAAGCACTAAACATGGAAAGGAACAACTGGTACTAGCCACTGCAAAAACATGCCAAACTGTAAAG
The DNA here is from genome assembly GCF_000001405.40 of Homo sapiens. Classification (NCBI taxonomy): domain Eukaryota; kingdom Metazoa; phylum Chordata; class Mammalia; order Primates; family Hominidae; genus Homo; species Homo sapiens. The sequence continues at coordinate 72,144,037 of NC_000007.14, forward strand.
ACCATCGAGGCTAGGAAGAAACTGCATCAACTAACGAGCAAAATAACCAGCTAACATCATAATGACAGGATCAGATTCACACATAACAATATTAACTTTAAATGTAAATGGACTAAATGCTCCAATTAAAAGACACAGACTGGCAAATTGGATAAAGAGTCAAGACCCATCAGTGTGCTGTATTCAGGAAACCCATCTCATGTGCAGAGACACACATAGGCTCAAAATAAAGGGATGGAGGAAGATCTACCAAGCAAATGGAAAACAAAAAAAGGCAGGGGTTGCAATCCTAGTCTCTGATAAAAGACTTTAAACCAACAAAGATTAAAAGAGACAAAGAAGGCCATTACATAATGGTAAAGGGATCAATTCAACAAGAAGAGCTAACTATCTTAAATATATATGCACCCAATACAGGAGCACCCAGATTCATAAAGCAAGTCCTTAGAGACCTACAAAGAGATTAGACTCCCACATAATAATAATGGGAGAATTTAACACTCCACTGTCAACATCAGACAGATCAACAAGACAGAAAGTTAACAAGGATATCCAGGAATTGAACTCAGCTCTGCACCAAACAGACCTAATAGATATCTACAGAACTCTCCACCCAAAATCAACAGACTATACATTCTTCTCAGCACCACACTGCACTTACTCCAAAATTGACCACATAGTTGGAAGTAAAGCACTCCTCAGCAAATGTAAAAGAACAGAAATTATAACAAACTGTCTCTCAGACCACAGTGCAATCAAATTAGAACTTAGGATTAAGAAACTCACTCAAAACCGCTCAACTACACGGAAACAACAACCTGCTCCTGAATGACTACTGGGTTCATAACGGAATGAAGGCAGAAATAAAGATGTTCTTTGAAACCAACGAGAACAAAGACACAACATACCAGAATCTCTGGGACACATTTAAAGCAGTGTGTAGAGGGAAATTTATAGCACTAAATGCCCACAAGAGAAAGCAGGGAAGTTCTAAAAATGACACCCTAACATCACAATTAAAAGAACTAGAGAAGCAAGAGCAAACACATTCAAAAGCTAGCAGAAGGCAAGAAATAACTAAGATCAGAGCAGAACTGAAGGAGACAGAGACAAGAAAACCCTTCAAAAAATCAATGAATCCAGGAGCTGGTTTTTTGAAAAGATCAACAAAATTGATAGATTGCTAGCAAGACTAATAAAGAAGCAAAGAGAGAAGAATCAAATAGACACAATAAAAAAAGATAAAGGGGATATCACCACCGATCCCACAGAAATACAAACTACCATCAGAGAATACTATAAACACCTCTACACAAATAAACTAGAAAATCTAGAAGAAATCGATAAATTCCTTGACACATACACTCTCCCAAGACTAAACCAGGAAGAAGTTGAATCTCTGAATAGACCAATAACAGGCTCTGAAGTTGAGGCAATAATTAATAGCCTACCAACCAAAAAAAGTCCAGGACCAGACAGATTCACAGCCGAATTCTACCAGAGGTACAAGGAGGAGCTGGTACCATTCCTTCTGAAACTATTCCAATCAATAGAAAAAGAGGGAATCCTCCCTAACTCATTTTATGAAGCCAGCATCATCCTGATACCAAAGCCTGGCAGAGACACAACAAAAAAAGAGAATTTTAGACCAATATCCCGGATGAACATCGATGCAAAAATCCTCAATAAAATACTGGCAAACCGAATCCAGCAGCACATCAAAAAGCTTATCCACCATGATCAAGTGGGCTTCATCCCTGGGATGCAAGGCTGGTTCAACATATGCAAATCAATAAATGTAATCCAGCATATAAACAGAATCAAGGACAAAAACCACATGATTATCTCAATAGATGCAGAAAAGGCCTTTGACAAAATTCAACAGCCCTTCGTGCTAAAAACTCTCAATAAATTAGGTATTGATGGGACGTATCTCAAAATAATAAGAGCTATCTATGACAAACCCACAGCCAGTATCATACTGAATGGGCAAAAACTGGAAGCATTCCCTTTGAAAACTGGCACAAGACAGGGATGCCCTCTCTCACCACTCCTATTCAACATAGCGTTGGAAGTTCTGGCCAGGGCAATCAGGCAGGAGAAAGAAATAAAGGGTATTCAATTAGGAAAAGAGGAAGTCAAATTGTCCCTCTTTGCAGATGACATGATTGTATATCTAGAAAACCCCATTGTCTCAGCCCAAAATCTCCTTAAGCTGATAAGCAACTGCAGCAAAGTCCCAGGATAAAAAATCAATGTGCAAAAATCACAAGCATGCTTATACACCAATAACAGACAGAGAGCCAAATCATGAGTGAACTCCCATTCACAATTGCTTCAAAGAGAATAAAATACCTAGGAATCCAACTTACAAGGGATGTGAAGACCTCTTCAAGGAGAACTACAAACCACTACTCAACGAAATAAAAGAGGATACAAATAAATGGAAGAACATTCCATGCTCATGGATAGGAAGAATCAATATCGTGAAAATGGCCATACAGCCTAAGGTAATTTATAGATTCAATGCCATCCCCATCAAGCTACTAATGACTTTCTTCACAGAATTGGAAAAAAACTACTTTAAAGTTCATATGGAACCAAAAAAGAGCCCACATTGCCAAGTCAATCCTAACTCAAAAGAACAAAGATGGAGGCATCACACTACCTGACTTCAAACTATACTACAAGGCTACAGTAACCAAAACAGCATGGTACTGGTACCAAAACAAAGCTATAGACCAATGGAACAGAACAGAGCCCTCAGAAATAATCCACACATCTACAACTATCTGATCTTTGACAAACCTGACAAAAACAAGAAACGGGGAAAGGATTCCCTATTTAACAAATGGTGCTGGGAAAACTGGCTAGCCATATGTAGAAAGCTGAAACTGGATCCCTTCCTTACACCTTATACAAAAATTAATTGAAGATGGATTAAAGACTTACATGTTAGACCTAAAACCATAAAAACCCTAGAAGAAAACCTAGGCAATACCATTCAGGACATAGGCATAGGCAAGGACTTCATGTCTAAAACACCAAAAGCAATGGCAACAAAAGACAAAATTGACAAATGGGATCTAATTAAACTCAAGAGCTTCTGCACAGCAAAAGAAACTACCATCAGAGTGAACAGGCAACCTACAGCACGGGAGAAAATTTTTGCAATCTACTCATCTGACAAAGGGCTAATATCCAGAATCTACAAAGAACTCAAACAAATTTACAAGAAAAACACAACCCCATCAACAAGTGGGCAAAGGATATGAACAGACACTTCTCAAAAGAAGACATTTATGCAGCCAACAGACACATGAAAAAAATGCTCATCATCACTGGCCATCAGAGAAATGCAAATCAAAACCACAATGAGATACCATCTCACACCAGTTAGAATGGTGATCATTAAAAAGTCAGGAAACAACAGGTGTTGGAGAGGACTGTTACACTGTTGGTGGGACTGTAAACTGGTTCAACCATTGTGGAAGACAGTGTTGCGATTCCTCAGGGATCTACAACTAGAAATACCATTTGACCCAGCTATCCCATTACTGGGTATATACCCAAAGGATTATAAATCATGCTACTATAAAGACACATGCACACATATGTTTATTGTGGCACTATTCACAATAGCAAAGACCTGGAACCAACCCAAATGTCCAACAATGATAGACTGGATTAAGAAAATGTGGCACATATACACCATGGAATACTATGCAGCCATAAAAAATAATGAGTTCATGTCCTTTGTAGGGACATGGATGAAGCTGGAAACCATCATTCTCAGTAAACTATCGCAAGGACAAAAAACCAAACATCGCATGTTCTCACTCACAGGTGGGAATTGAACATTGACAACACTTGGACACAGGAAGGGGGACATCACACACCAGGGCCTGTTGTGGGGGGAGGGGGGAGGGATAGCATTAGGAGATATACTAATGTAAATGACGAGTTAATAGGTGCAGCACACCAACATGGCACATGTATACATATGTAACAAACCTGCATGTTGTGCACACGTACCCTAGAACTTAAAGTATAATAAAAAAAAATAAAAAAAAAAAACAACCAACCAACCAACCAAACAAACAAACAGAAAAAAAAAAAAGAAATATGATCCACAGTGTTAGAGATGGGGCTTGGTAGATGATGTTTGGATCGTGAATGGATTGGTGCCCATCCCACAGTAATGAGTTCACATCAAATGTGGTTGTTTAAAAAAAAAAAAAAAAAAGTCTGGGCCAGGTGCAGTGGCTCACTTGTAATCCCAGCACTTTGGGAGGCCGAGGTGGGAGGATCACTTGAGCCCAGGAATTCGAGGCCAGCCTAGGCAACATAGCAAGACCCCATCTCTACAAAAAAGTAAAAAAAAGAAAAAAAAGAAAAAAGAAAAAAAGAAAAAAAAATAGCCAGCTCTGGTGCCTGTAGTCCCAGCTACTACTTGCAAGGTTGAGGCAGGAAGATTGCTTGAGCCCAGGAGTTTGGGTCTACAGTGAGCCATCATTGTGCCACTGCACTCCACCTTGCAGCCTGGGTGACAATGTGAGGACCTGTCTCAAAGAAAAGAAAAAAGAGGCTGGGCATGGTGGCTCACGCCTGTAATCCCAGCACTTTGGGAGGCTGAGGCAGGCGGATCACCTGAGGTCAGGTGTTCGAGACTAGCCAGGCCAACATGGCAAAACCCCATCTCTATTAAAAATACAAAAATTAGCCAGCAATGGTGACAGGCACCTGTAATCCCAGTTACTCAGGAGGCTGAGGCAGGAGAATCATTGGAACCCTGAGATGGAGGTTGCAGTGAGCCAAGATCATACCACTGCACTCCAGGCTGGGTGACAGAGTAAGACACCACCAAAAACAAAAAAAAGAAAGAAAGAAAGAAAAAAAAGAAGGAAGGAAGGAAGGAAAGAAGGAAGGGAGGGAGGGAGGGAGGGAGGAAGGAAGGAAATAATAATTAAAATGAGCCTAGCATCTCCTGCTCTTTCTCTTGTTCCCTCTCTCGCTCTGTGTTATGCTGGTTTCCCTTCACCTTCTGCCATAAGTATAAGCTCCCTGAGTCCTCTCCAGAAGCAGATGCTGACACTATGCTTCCTGTACAGCCTGCAGAACCATGAGCCAAATAAACCTCTATTCTTGGCCAGGCACAGCGGCTCGCATCTGTAATCCCAGCACTTTGGGAGACCGAGGCGGGTGGATCACTTGAGAGGTCAGGAATACCAAACCAGCCTGGCCAACGTGGTAAAACCCCGTCTCTACTAAAAATACAAAAATTAGCTGGGCGTGGTGGCAGTCGCCTATAATCCCACCTACTAGAGAAGCTGAGGCAGGAGTATCATTTGAACCCAGAGGTGGAGGATGCAGTGAGCTGAGATCACGCCACTGCACTCCAGGCTGGGTGACAGAGTGAGACTGTGTCTCCAAAATAAATAAAATTAAAATTAAAAAACCCCTCTATTCTCTATAAATTACCCAGCCTCAGATATTTCTTTATAGCAACACAAAAACAGATTAACACACACAGAAACCCTGATTAGCTCACCTTTCCCACCCTCCCCTCACCGTTCCCCACACTTTAGACCATGCTGCCTTCTATCCCATAATACTCCCATTCCCTATTTTCAGGGAGGCAGATTTGAGATTTGTTCTCCTATCTCCTCACACAGCACTGCATTGTGAAATCTTTTCTCTTTTGCAAAAACTCATTACCACAGTGATTGGCTTCTTGCACATGGGCAGAAAGGACCTGGTCACTAACAGGCACTGCTATAGGAGTTACCAGGACAGGCCAGGCACCGTGGCTCATGCCTGTAATCCCAGCACTTTGAGACATGGAGGCGGGCAGATCACCTGAGGTCAGGAATTCGAGACCAGCCTGGCCAACATGGTGAAATTCTTGTCTCTACTAAAAATACAGAAAAAAAAAAATTAGCCAGGCATGGTGGCAGATGCCTATAATCCAAGCTACTCAGGAGGCTGAGGGCAGGAGAATCAGTTGAACCCAGGAGGCAAGAGGTTGCAATGAGCCGAGATCGTGCCACACTACACTCCAGCCTAGGCAACAAGAGTAAAACTCCATCTCAAAAAAAAAAAAAAAAACAGATAGAAGTTACCAGGACAGACAGTAGCTGCCTTCTGTTGAGCAGAAGATCTTCACGAATCTTTTGCATATGCAAGATGGAGCCCAAGTTCCAATTTGCTTGAGGGGGCCTAAATTATTTGAATCAATAAATAAAAAGGAAACTGAGTTATAAAATACTTTGTATGTTTTAGGAATGGATCCAGTGCCTGGGATAGAGGATTGAAGAAGCCAGGCAAGGTCCCTGTTCTCCCAAAACTTATGTTCTAGGGGGTTTACTCACAAGTAAACAAGAAGAATGTTTCAGATGGCAGCAAGTGCTATTAAAAAAAACACTGATAAAGCAGGCAGTGTGCTGAGATGACCGGGAGGGTAAGAGGCTCTCCCTTGAGATAAACATCAGGGCTGAGACTCATATAGAAAAGGGAGCCAGCCATGTGGAATGGAGTGGCAGAGCTGCCTAGGCAGGGAACAACCAATGCAAAGATCTTGAGAGGGTGAGCTTGATATTGGCAGAGCAGAGAGAACGTGAGAGGGGCTGAGAAAGGCTACATTGGGCCTCTCCACCTACCAGCCATATATACTCTTGGGCAAGTTTCTTCCTTCTGTGTGTCTCAGTTTTTTCATTTGTAAAATGGGAATGTTACTAACATCAATCGTGTAAGTTTAAGGACTCAGTAATGTAAAACATGCAAAGTATACTTGTCCAGCATAGAGTAGATGCTCAATAACTATTTGCTGTGATGATATGATGATGATGATGATGATGATGATGATGATGGTGACGATGACACTGTTGTCATGAGCCTGCATCATGAGGCTGTTCACAATGACAAAAGCCTTAGGCACTATCTACCAGCTGGCCATATTATCACCCTTGGCCCTCACACTGCCTTCCCGTCCTTGCTATCTCCCTGGTTAGATTCTCACAAGCTCATCATTGCCTGTAAGACGATCCTGTATCCATTTGTTAGGGCTGCCATAACAAAGGACCACAGGCCAGGTGGCTTCAACAACAGAAGTCTATTGTCTCACTGTTCTGGGGGCTAGAATTTGCCATCAAGGTTATATGTAGGGTTGGTGCCCTCCAAGGGCCTTGGGCAAGAATCTGTTCCATGCCTCCCTCTGCTCGCTTCTTGGAGTCTGCTGGCAATCTTTAGCGTTCCTTGGCTTGTAGATCTCTGCCTTCATCTTCACGCAATCTTCTAATGTTCTTCCTGTGTGTGTCTCTGTCCCAATTTCCCCTTTTATAAGGACACTAGTATTAGACTAGAGCCATCCTAATAGTCTCATTTTACCTCGATTATCTCAGTAAAGATCCTATCTCTAAATGAGGCCACATTCTGATGTACTTGAGGGTTGGGGCGCCAACATATTATTTTTTGGGAGGACACAATTCAACCCCGTAATAGACCCACACGTCACATTCAGGAGTCTATCATCAGTGCTGCCTCCCACTTGGGGGACCCTTTCCAATGCGCTACCTTCTCCCACATCCTGCTCTCAGCCAGGGAACGTTCTGAATGTGCCTGCAAGACTAACCAGCTACCTTCCACCCATGTGCCTGCCCAGCAGATATCGTTTTTGTTGTTGTTGTTGTTGTTAGAGACAGGGTCTCACTCCATGGTGTAGGCTGGAGTTCAGTAGCACAGTCATAGCTCACTGCAGCCTTGAACTCCTGAGCTCAAGAGATCCTTTGATCTCAGCCTCCCGAGTAGCTGGGACTACAGGTGCATATCACCACACCTGGCTATTTTTATTTTTTATTTTTATTTTTATTCTTTTCTTTTTTTTTTTTTTTCAAGACAGAATCTCGCTCTGTCGCCCAGGCTGGAGTGCAGTGGCGTGATTTCGGCTCACTGTAACCTCCATCTCCTGAGTTCAAGTGATTCTCCTGCCTCAGCCTCCCAGGTAGCTTGGATTACAGGCACCCACTACTGCCCAGCTAAGTTTTGTATTTTAGTAGAGATGGGGTTTCACCATGTTGGCCAGGCTGGTCTTGAATGCCTGACCTCAAGTGAGACGCCTGCCTTGGCCTCCCAAAGTGCTGGGATTACAGGTGTGAGCCGCCATCCCTGGTCTATACATTCTTTCCAAACCCAAAGCTATGAAGAGATTTCATAGGTCTCTGCCTCCCCTATGGGGAGACCAGGGTTCTCTGTGAAAACAAAACAAAACAGGATGTTCTGTTTATGCCAAGATGACTGTGGCTTCAAGGCCTTCCCTCTCACATCTGCACCCATTTCTGTTGGTGTCTGATTTCCTGTGAGAGCCCTAGAGAGCTACGATCTTCACATAGCTGGAGTTTGCATGGTGCGAGAGAGCAACACATGAAAGAGATCTTTCTAGGGCTTCTTCAGTCCATTAGCATCTGATGACTAGTGACCAGTTTGATACAACCTATCTACCTGCCAGGAACCACAGGTCTCAGCAGTCCACAAGCCCAGCAATAGGAACAACACTGAGGAATCCATGGTTATGGTCCTAGAAGCAGAAACTTGAGATGTTTCCCGGCCAAAGCTGGTGCACATTGCCCTCCAGGAAAATTCAGGTCCTCAGACTTCAATTCCCAGCTACCAGCCGAGAGAGAGGCACCAGAGAGGATTAGAGTTTTTCCTAGTTTTTCTTAGGTTCTAAACGTGACAGGAAGCATTCCCCAGGCTACAGACTTGTTCCTCTAGGCTGTACAAAATCTGATTCAGGTCTTTCCAAGCTGGGAAAGGTTATCTGAGGTCACTCCATGGGGGAGAAGAATAAACAACTCCAAATAAGGCACTGTTTGTCCCCAGACTGTTCCTTGCCAGTTGGACAAACACACTCAAATACAAAGCTGTTTTGTCAGTATCTGAGCTATGTCCCTTTCATGGCTGAGTATCAATCAAAGCAACCACTAGAACAGGCTAGAACCTCAGTGTTCACACTGGGCTCCCCCGGCTACCAGAATCAAGCCACTTTTCCTATAAATCAGTCACAAACAGTGAATGTTAAGACTGGCACTTCTTGCTTAGAGACCCAAATTCTGTTCCAAGAAGAGTATTTAAGGATCTTCCTCTAACACCCCTTGGCTGCAGCAATCTTACCTGCCAGGGGACATTATTACAGCAAGATCACACCTACGCGTGGGCTGCTCCACCAAAAAATATGCCCACTGTTCCAGTAGGAGAGATCCTGCCTCTCTCTGCCCTTGGGGAACCTCTAGGGCAGACGTGGTGGCAGGATCTTGGTCAGAAATTGTCTACCTGCTGCCAGTACTGGATTTCTGGAAAGTTGTCAGCCAGGTGCATTGGCTCACTCCTGTAATCCCAGCACTTTGGGAGGTCGAGGTGGGAGGACTGCTTGAGGCAAGGAGTTCAAGTCCAGCCTGGGTAATATAACGAGACCTTGTCTCTACAAAATTAAAAAAAAAAAAAATAGCCAAGGATGGTGGTATGTGCCTACAGTCCCAGCTACTCGGGAGGCTGAAGCAGAAGGATCACTTGAGCCGGAGTTCAAGGCTGCAGTGAGCCATGATTCGTCACTGCACCCTAGTCTGGCCAACAGAGTGAGAACCTGTCTCTAAAAAAATAAAAAGAAAAAAGAAAAAGAAAGTTGTTAGAAAAAGGCCCTCTCTGAGTAAGGGGAGGTCTGTATGGTGCCCTGGCCTTTCATCGCAGGACATCCACTGGGTAGTTTCTGCCACTGGGCACTTGAAGGATGCTTTGAAGCACTCTGCCTAGTATCAGCCTGGGAGCTGGTCCTGGCTAACCTGGGCTTTGGTGGTTAGAATGATTTTTAAATGTGCCCAGTGCTCTTGACATGAGACTTTCATTTTTCCAAGGCAGCCTGAACCACTAACAATTCGCATTTCGGGGCAGTGGAGTGGACACTGGCCCAGAGTAACTTCTCTGTGAATTGGACACTAGGAGGGAGGTCTCCAAGACTGGATCTCATGATGAGATGTCCCTGCAATGGTGTTGGAAGCATCCCTTTTACCAGGAAAGCCTCAGGCTAGATCACAGAAGGCTGGGATTGGGAAAATAGAAATGGCTTCAACTCCTAGAAAGATAAAATAATGACCTAGGGCCAGACAAACTGCTTCTTTTAACTAAGGAGGGAAGTAAAATTAAAAAAAAAAAAATAGGGGCATACTACGGGATTATGGACACCTTGTCCAGCGTCATGCAAAATGCCTTGGCCAAGCCAAACTTGAACTTGAACTTAACTCTCAAAGCTCGCCATCTACATGTCTGACGACTGGCCCAGAAGAATTCATTTGCCGTCAGTGAAAGACTGGCCAAAGATGCTTGATGAAAAGTCCTCAAATATCCCGAATTAGCCTCTGAAGCTCTGGATTATAAAAGCAGAAGGTAAACTCACATGGGTACCATCTTGAGGATACCAATGTGTCAGCAATGTCTCTACACAACACTCTTATTTGCAAAGGGCACTGAACACCCGAGATGTAAATGGCCTGAGAAACCTTTACCCTTTTTGCCCTGATATAACCACAGAGGGCCTCTGTGTCTCCCTCTACTAAAACTCAGATGTTGAAGTCCTAACCTCCAGCAGGGCTTTTAAGGAGGTTATGGGGTTAACTAAGGTCATAGGGTAAGGCTTAATCCGATAAGGCTGGTGTCCTTAATAAGAAGAGGAAGAGAGCCAGGCCCAGTGTCTCATGCCTGTAATCCCAATGCTTTGGGAGGCTGAAGAGAAAGGAGGATTACTTGAGCCTAGGAGTTGGAGACCAACTCAACATAATGAGAGCAACATAATGAGATCCTGTCTCTACAATTTTTTTTTTTAATTAGCTGGGCATGGTGGTGTGTGCTTTTAGTCCCAGCTACTCAGGAGGCTGAGGTGGGAGGATTGCTTGAGCCCAGGAGTCGGAGGCTGCAGTGAGCTATGATCACACCACTGCACTCCAGTTTGGACAACAGGGCATGATCATGTCTCTAAAAAAATAATGATAATTAATTAATTTTTAAAAAGAAAAGGAAGAAACACCAGGGATCTCACTTTCTCTCCCTGCATGCCCAGAGGGAAGGACATTTGAGGGCACAGTGAGAAATGACCATCTGCAAGGCAGAAAGAGAGGCTTCACCAGAAACCAATCTTGCCAACACCTTGGGCTTCCAGCCTCCAGAACAGTTAGAAAATATGTGTTGTTTAACAAGGTCAGGAGATCGAGACCTTCCTGGCTAACACGGTGAAATCCTATCTCTACTAAAAATACAAAAAATTAGCCGGGCGTGGTGGCAGGTGCCTGTAGTCCCAGCTACTCGGGAGGCTGAGGCAGGAGAATGGCTTGAACCTGGGAGGCGGAGCTTGCAATGAGCCGAGATCACGCCACTGCACTCCAGCCTGGGCGACAGAGCAAGACTCTGTCTCAAAAAAAAAAAAAAGAGAGAGAGAAAAAGAAAAAGAAAATGTGTGTTGTTTAAGCCACCCATTCTGTGACACTTGGTTATGGCAGCCTGAGCAGACGCATAGAGCTTCATTTGGAGTTCCAAAAGTGAGTGATCCTATTGGCCAGAGACCCTTTGTACTAGGGAGGGCTATAATGCCAACCAAGGGGCAATATATTAGTTTCCCATTTCTGCTGTAACAAATTACCCTAACTCTATGGCTTAAAACCACACAAATTTGTTATCCTATAGCTCTGGATGTCAGAGGTCCAAAGTGAGTCTTATGGGGCTCAAAGCAAGGTGGTAGCTGGGATGGTTCCCTCTGGAAGCTCAGCAAATAATCCATTCCTTGCCTCTTCCAGCTCCCAGACACCAACCATGGCTCCCTCCTCCACCTTCAATGCCAGCTGAATAGCATTTTTTCCTCTCTCTAATCTCCTGCCTCACTCTTATAAGGACCCTTGTGGTTACATTAAACCCACTCAGATACTCCAGGAGAATCTCTTAATCACATCTGCAAAGTCCCTTTTGCCATAGAAGGTAACATATTCAGAGGTTCCAAGGTTAGGACATGAACATCTTTGCAGGGGCCATCATTCAGCTAACATAGGCAACTAGTGGTCCAAAATCACCCAATGAGATTCTCTAGAAGAGGACAAACCAAGGAGAACCTGGAAGGCCATCAGGGTCCAGCAATGGACTTCCATGTTTAAGCAAAAAAATGGCATGGGCTTACCAAATAATGGAAGATTGTTTTCCTAAGGAAACCAAGCAATAGAAGGATTATAGGCAAAACTGCTTGGATAGGACAGGACCAGCTGCTCAGAAAGGACCCCTGAATACAGAATGCTGTGAAGAGCCCCCTGTATCTTCAGACCATGGTGCAAAGAGGCACTCTCCGGCAGCATCTGCCCAAATGTGGGCACCTGATGGAGAGTAGGCAGTCGGGCCCACAACACTAGGACCCAAGCCACAAAGCCTGACTAATGCTCACACTGACTGGCCTGGAGGCAAGACTCCATCACTGCCTCTGTGCCTGGAAGCCAGCACAGAGCCATCCCTTGGGGAAGGGCCCCATGAGTCCCCATGTCACCACCGTAGCGACCTACAGGCAGAGCTTGGTGCAGCTCAAGCTGGGCATCCCAACACATTGGGCCATGCTCACCACCATCCAGACATAAGCGCCCTACTGGGGCAAAGTGTTCTGTTTGTATCATAATCTCCTCACTCTGAGGGATGCACCTCCCGTGGTGGGAGTGCTCTGGGGGACAGAGACACAGAAGCCACCAGTTCCTTCTAAAGCTGCTTCAGGATGATGGGGCTGAATATCACAACCCCACCTGCAAAAACCTCAGAGGCAGAGACTTCAAATCACAAAGCACTTCATGCACTTGTAAGTCTCTGTGAGTGGTGATGCTGAGTGTTGAGAGGATGCCAGGATTACTACCAAGACATAACCTCTGCCTACAGAGAGCTGTGATTGCCATGGTTGAGACAGATGCTCATGAAATGACATAAACGCCAGTCAAATTGATGGAAGTATAAAACAATGTACTAATTTATTAACAAATACCAGCAGAATGTACAAACCAATCGGTTGAGCCCATCTGTCCTAGTGGGAGATCTTGATCGATGACATGGGAACTACTGGTCAGAGCTCATTCATTCATTCATTCACTTACCCATTTGGCAAATATTTGTTGAATGCGTTGCATGCCAAGTACTGCACACAACAACGATATGCAAAGATGAATAAGACATGGTCCATGTCCTCAAAAATTCCTGATCTAGGAAGATAGACAAGTACCTTAAAATACGCTGGCTGGGTGCAGTGGCTCACACCTGTAATCCCAGCACTTTAAGAGGCCAAGACAGGAGGAGCACTTGAACCCAGGAGTTTGAGACCAACCTGTGCTACGGGAGGACTCAGGGGCTTCCAACAATGCCTAGTGAGAGAAAGGTCCGGAAAGTTTCCCAGAGAAGGTGACATTTCCACTGAAATGTGCTTCCAGAGAAGGATTTAATCATGTAAAGTGAGAAACAAAAAGACTTTTAGGAAGACAGGGGAAAAAAAAAACAGGGTATTTTTGAAAAACTGAAGAAAGTTCCAGAAAACTGGAGGAGAGGAGGAAGGAGAAGTGGAAATGGAGGGACAGACCTTTCCAATTTCCAGAAGATATGAATTCACCTCAGGGGCAAAGGAAAACCATTTGAAAGTTAGTCAGTTAGTTTGTTTGTTTGTTTGTTTGTTTTTGAAAGAGTTTTGCTCTTGTTGCCCAGGCAGGAGTGCAGTGGCACAATCTCGGCTCACTGCAACCTGTGCCTCCCCCATTCAAGCGATTCTCTTGCCTCAGCCTCCAGAGTAGCTGGGATTACAGGCACCCGCCACCATGCCTGGCTAATATTTTTTATGTTTAATAGAGACAGGGTTTCACAATGTTGGCCAGGCTGGTCTTGAACTCCTGACCTCAGCTGATCCACCCATCTCGGCCTCCCAAAGTGCTGTGATTACAGGTGTGAGCCACTGCGCCCAGCCCATTTGAAGGTTTTAAGAGAAGATTCACAGAATCAGATTTATATTTCACTCATTCAGCCAGCCAAGACATATTTAGTAAGTACCTTTGATGTGAGAGGCTCTGCTCTAGGGGATAAAAGCAGGAACAAAACAGACAAGGTCTCTTCCGTCATGTAGTTTACATTATCATGAGAGATGCTGACAATAAATAACTAAGCACATAAATTAATACAATAATTAAACACTTTGGAAACATCCCCCTGGCAGCAGCAATGTGGGGAGAATGGATTGAAAGGAAGCAAGACCAGAAACAAAGAGAAAGAGTAGGAGGCCCTGGCCGTAGTCCAGGCAGGAGATGAGTTTGCATGAGGCAGATCATATTGAATGCCTCCCCCAAAATATTCCTTCCCCACTCCACCTCTCCAATCCAACCTTCGTCCTGGCCAGCAGAACCTGCTTCCCACACCAACAGCTGAAAATGCCAGAAACTCACTTTCACAGCCTTGTTTAGCTACAGTGTGGAGAAGTGACCCAATCATGGCCACTGAGACCTGAGAGTAAGGCTACAGAGGGCCCTCATGGGTAGGCTTTCCTTCCCCGTAAAGAGTGACATGACACAGCAAGACACATCCCTCTTCTTTGCTTGATGTGTATCTGCAAGTCGTGCTGAGAACTGTTGCTGGCATCTTGTGATGCTGAGGACTGAGGCATTAAGGGTAGTGGAGCGAGTAGTTTGAAAGTACCCGAGTCTTGATGCCATTTTTGACTCACTAAATCAGCCCTGTAGCTGCCCTATCTCTTACCTCTTATTATGTGAGATTTATTTATTTATTTGTTTGTTTGTTTGTTTTTGAGATGGAGTCTCGCTCTGTCGCCCAGATCCGAGTACAGTGGTCTCGACTCACTGCAACCTCTGCCTCCCAGGTTCAAGCAATTCTCCTGCCTCAGCCTCCTGAGTAGCTGGGATTACAGGCATAAGCCACTATGCCTGGCTAATTTTTATATTTTTAGTAGAGATGGGGTTTCTCCATGTTGGCCAGGCTGGTCTCAAACTCCTGACCTCAGATTTCCACCCACCTCAACCTCTCAAAGTGCTGGGATTACAGGCATGAGCCACTGAGCCTGGCTGTTATTATGTGAGATTTTTAAAGAAACAAACAAAAAGCCTCTCACTGATGAAGGCACTTTTGGTTGGGTATTCTGTTTATTGCAATCAATAATGGCTTCAGTGATATGCTGTGCAATGCTAGGACACTTGTGGTAGAGATTTAAAGAACTAGAGCCTGGGCAATATAGCAAGACCCCATCTCAAAATCATTTTTTAAAAATTAGCCAGGCATGTGGTGTGTGCCTGTAATCCAGCTACTTCAGAGGCTGAGGCAGGGAGGATCACTTGAACCCAGAAGGCTGAGGCTGCAGAGAACTATGACCACGCCACTGTACTCCAGCCTGGGCAACAGAGCGAGACCCTGTCTCTAAAATAAAATAACACAGCCAGGCATAGTGGCTTATGCCTGTAATCCCAGCACTTTGGGAGGCCAAGGCAGGTGGATCACCTGAGGTCAGGAGTTTGAGACCCGCCTGGCCAACATGGTGAAACCCCACCTCCACTAAAAATACAAAAATTAGCTACGCATGGTGGTGGGCGCCTGTGATCCCAGTTACTAGGGAGGCTGAGGCAGGAGGATGGCTTGAACCTGGGAGGCAAAGGTTGCAGTGAACCAAGATCACGCCACTGCACTCCAGCCTGGGTGGCAGAGTGAGACTTCATTTAAAAAATAATAATAAAATAAAAAGTGGGTAGGTGCAAAAAATATTTAGAAAGAAGAATTGACAGAGCTGAGTGATTTCCACTGAAGGTGAAAGAAACAGATATCTCTGAAGTCTGTGACCAGCAGCCCAACAGACAGACCATTAATCACTGTGTCAGGGAACACAAAAAGAAGAGCAGATGTGGACAACTTGGAGGTTCCCTTGCGACTTCCAAAGTGAAGGCAGGTGAGAACAGACAGAAAGGCAAGGGCTTGTCTGGGCAACCAACCCAAACAAGTCCATCTGGTATTCCCCTATCCTGTGGGTCTGCACACTAAGTTACGTAGTAACACAGAGAATAACATGGTTATTCTACTGAGATGCTAGGGAGAGATTAGATTGCCATAAAATATGACTCCCTGATGAGTTCTCATGATGGCCACAGGAAGGAAGAGACATCCGTCATAATCATCAGCATTAAAGAACACTATTTATTTTCTTTTTAGTTTTTTTTTTTTTTTTAAACAGAGTCTCGTTCTGCCACCCAGGCTGGAGTGCAGTAGTGCAATCTAGTGCCACTGCAACCTCCAGCTCCCAGGTTCAAGCGATGCCCCTGCCTCAGCCACCCGAGTAGCTGGGATTACAGGCATGCGCCACCATGCCCAGCTAACTTTTGTAGTTTTAGTAGAGATGGGGTTTCACCATGTTGGCCAGGCTGGTCTCAAACTCTTGACCTCAAGTGATCTGCCCACCTCGACCCCTCAAAGTGCTGGGATTACAGGCATGAGCTACCATGCCCAGCCAGAACACTTTATTTTTATGCAACACTAAAGTAAGCCTCTAACACTTAGTATTTGCACAACATGGATATTTGTGGATCCATTGCAACCCTGATAAATAACAGTGGGTTCATGAATTCAAAGCTCTGCTATAGTAAGGAGCTACTTATTATCTCAGCTTATCTTAGAATCTCAGCTCCCTCCAGCCTGATATTCTGAGGACTGGGAGGGGCACGCCGCTGATGGCAAGCCCCTGCATGGAGAAAGGTTACCAGCACCATGGCTGCTGCAGCACTGTCCCCAAGCTAGCCCTGCAACCATTCCCAAAATCTTCCTTCCATACCGGATAGAAAGCTAGGAGAAGTCAAATACTCACTTCCCAGCCTCCTTTGTTTGAAGGGATGACCACGGAACTCAATCTTGGTCAATGAAACCTAACCAAGTTAAACAGAAGCTGGCAGGGAGCTTCTGGGATATCTTGTGCTTTTCTGATGAAAAGGGCAGACAGAGCTGGGTCCCTCCATGTCCCTTCTACAGAGTCAGGTCACCATGGCAGGAGCTTCAACAGCCATTTTTTGACCATGAGGAGAAACGTAAACTAACTAACTCAATAAATAAGAGGATGACATAAGGAGGATTCCCTGCCTTCACTTGGGAAATCTCAAGGGAACCTCCAAATTGTCCACATCTTTCTTTCTTTCTGTATTCCCTGACATGGTGATTAATCATCTACCTGTTGAGCTGGTGGTCATGGACTTCAGAAATATCTACCTCTTTCACCTTCAGTGATAATCACCCAGCCCTGTCAATTCTCCTTTCTAAAGAAGAATAAGGTGGAGAAGGATGGAAAGAGGCCTAAATAATGTCATAAATCAGTTGAATCCAAGGTAGTGGCTTTCTACCCCAGATTTCTCATATAAAACAATGGCAAAAAAATTCTATTTGCTTAAGGCACTCAATTTGTTTACTTACAGCTAAATATATCCTAAATTATCTAGAATTTGGTACCTAAAATGGTGGCTGGAGGAAACAGACCCTAAAATGTGGAACTCTCTGCCTGAAGGAGGTAGAATGCTGGGCAAAGAAGACTCAACTATTTTGAGCTAGAAAGTTGGCGATTCTTGTACCGCATGTTCTCACTTGTAAGTGGGAGCTGAATGATGAGAAGACAGGGACACAGGGAGGGGAGCAACACACACGGGGGCCTGTAGGGGGCAGTGGCGGGTGGGAAGAGGGAGAGCATCCGGAAGAATAGCTGATGGATGCTGGGCTTAATATCTAGGTGCAGCAAACCACCATAACACATGCTCACCTACGTAACAAACCTGCATATCCTGCACATGTAGCCCTGAGCTTAAAACAAAACTTGAACAAAAAAAGAAAAAAAGTTGGTGATTCTTGTAATGTCATGGAGGCAAATCTAGGAACTGAATGATATAATACTTTATATATATATTATATATATATATTAGGATTTTGGTATATGTCAGTTCCTTCTAGAAGTTTTCAACAACATTCTATAAGACAGAGACAAACTTAGAATAGAGGTAACTGATATTATAGCACAGAAAGAATAAATTACATCTTTGCTACTAGAGGCTCTCTCTGCCTTCTACTTGGAAACAAAATTCACTGAGAGTCACATAATCTATTACCTTGAGTCTTAAGAGCCAATTTCTGTGCCCTAAATTAAATATATAACAATTGTTGGCAGAAAGTATTGGTTTCAGTAATGGCAGAGTAGCTCTTATCAGACTAACCCTCCTACAGATAACAGCAATAAATTCTAAACAAAATATGGAAAATAAATATTTGAAGGCATAGGATGGTGGCCAAAAGCAGATAGAAAGTGAAGGGGATCAGAATCTTGGGGGTTAAAAAACAAAGAGGATATATGGGCCAGGCATGGTGGCTCATAGCTGTGGTCCTGGCACTTTGGGAGACCAAGGTGGGCAGATCACTTGAGGACAGGAGTTCGAGATCAGCCTGGGCAACATGGTGAAACCCAGTTTCTACTAAAAATACAAAAAAAAAATTAGCCAGGCATGGTGGTGCATGCCTGTAATCCTAGCTACTCAGGAGGCCGAGGCAAGAGAATCACTTGAGCCTGGGAGGCAGAGATTGCAGTGAGCCAAGATCATGCCACTATACTCCACCTTGGGCAACAGAACAAGACTCTGTCTCAAAACAAAAAAACAAAAACAAAGAGGACACATACATGTTTATATGGCTTTTCTTCTGAAGATACTCCTCTGTCAGTATGAGCCATGAGGTGGTTAGAACTTAAGGATAACTTAAAGTCTTAATGGATCAAGGTGTCAGATACAAAGTTTGGGGCTGCCAGAAGAGTTACAAATAGAAAGGAAATATTCCAGAAAGGAGAGAGCTGCACAGGGCAAAGCCTTTCAAATCCACAGCTGACCTCTGAACTGCTCAGGCACAGGAGCACAAGGGGACAGAATTGCCAGAATGCTGAAAGTGCTGAGCAGAGATTTCAGCTGCCGCCCTCCATAGAGGCTGGAGAGACAGAGTTTGGGGTTCAAATCTTGTCAAATTACAGAGATTGGCAAAACGTTTGGAATTTCAATTGAAACTAGAAGGGCTAGTCCCTTGAAATAAAAACTAAGTCCCAAAACTGAGGGGTTCATCCTAGAATCAAGGACAAAATAGAAAAATGCCGTAAAAGAGCATAAGAACAAATTTCTATAAAGTCAAGGTGTTTGGACAATAACTGCTTTTGAGAATAAAAACAACATTATTCAAGAAAAAGAGCATAATTAAGATTCTTTACAAGGCATTATCCACAATGTACTACAAGAAAAAAACTTATTGGAGATTAAAAAAAAAAAAAAAAAACAGAAAAACATGTCACATAGTGGAAAACACAGTCAATAGAAACAGACCCCAAGATGACTCGATATTGAAATTGGCAGATAAGGACTTTAAAAGAGGAATTAAAATGAAGTTCAAAGACTCAGAGGAAAATATGTCCTAATAGGTGACTAGATGGAGAACCTCTGCAGAGAAACAAAAACTATTACAATGAACCGAATAAAAATTCTAGAACTAAACAGTATGATATCAGTAATAAAAAGTTCACTGGATGGGCTTAACAGAAGATTAGAGATGGCAGAAGAATCAACGAATTTGAAGACAGATCAATAGAAATCATCCAATCTGAAGAACAGAAAGAAAAAGATACAGAAACATATTGATGGAGATTCAGTGACCTGTGAGACAATGAGAGATTTAACATACATGTAATGAAAATCCAAAAGGGAAGACAACATAAAAGAAGAAATATTTGAATATATAACAAGTGAAGATTTCCCAGGCTTCCTGATGAATCCATGATCAGACTACCACAAACAAGATAAAGGCAAAAAGAAAGAAGAAAGAAAGAAAAAATGTAAAGAAAGGAGATAAAAGATCAAGAAAGAAGAAACCTATACACATTAAAGAGAGAGAAAAAACGGAGTAGGATGGACTCTAATCCAACAACTGGTATCCTTTTAAGAAGATGGCCATATGGACCAGGTGCAGTGGCTCACGCCTGTAATCCCAGCACTCAGGGAGGCCAAGGTGGGCAGGCCATCTGAGGTGAGGAGTTCAAGACCAGCTTGGCCAACATGGCTAAACCTCATCTCTACTAAAAATACAAAAATTAGCCGGGCATGGTGGCACATGCCTATAATCCTAGCCACTCTGGAGGCTGAAGCAGCAGAATCACTTGAACCTGGGAGCCAAGATCACGCCATTGCACTCCAGCCTGGGTGACAAGAGCAACACTCCGTCAAAAAAAAAAAAAAAAAAAGAAGAAGAAGAAGACAGAGACACATAGGAAGAACGCCATGTGATAATAAGGGCAGAAAATGGAATTATACTCTTATATGCCAATGAATGGCAAAGATTGCTGAAAACCACTAGAAGACAGAAAGAGGCAAGAAAGTAGAACGTTCTCCCTGCAGGTGTTAGAGGAACCACAGCCCAGCTGACACCTTCATTTCGAACATCCATCCTTTAGAACTGTGAGAAAATAAACTGACACTGTTTTAAGCCACTCAGTTCATAGTACACTTTGTGATGGCAGCCCAGAAACATGGTTACATGAGTATATACATTTTTTGTGTATTTGTTTCAGAGACAGGGTTTCCCTCTGTCACCCAGGCTGGAGGGCAGTGGCATGATCATGGTTCATTGTAACCTTGAATTTCTCCTCCCACCTCAGCCTCCTGAGCAGCTAGGAATACAGGTGCGTACCACCATGCCTGGCTAATTTGTTAATTTGGGTGGTATTTTTTAGGGTTTTTGTTTGTTTTTTGTAGAGACAGGGTCTCGCTATGTTGCCCAAACTGACCTCAGACTCCCGGCCTCAAGGGATCCTCCTGCCTCAGTCTTCCAAAGTCCTGGGATTACAGGCATAAGCCACTGCACCCAGCCAAGTATATACTTTTAAGTGGTTACATAGGCATATACATTTACCAAATTCATCAAATTGTGCACCAAAGCCCTATGCATTTCACTGTTTCTAAATTGTAAATTTTAAAGTGTAAACAAGGAAGCAGATGTTTTACCAAGATATAAGATTAAAGACCCTGGTAGCAAAGAACAAGTTCACCATGGTATCTGCCCACCAGAACCCAGAACCTACCGTTTCAAATTTCTTCAAGGCAACTGCCCATACATTTAGGTGTAAGAAGGATGGTAGAAACTAGAAGTGGCGGCCAGGCATGGTGACTGGCTTCTGTAATCTCAGCACTTTGAGAAGCCGAGGCGGGCAGATCAAGTTGAGGTCATGAGTTTGAGACCAGCCTGGCCAACAGGGTGAGACTGCGTTCCTACTAAAAATACAATAAATTAGCCAGGCATGGTGGTGCATGCCTCTAATCCCAGCACCCCAGCTACTCAGGAGGCTGAGACAGGAGAATCGCTTAAACCCAGGAGGATCGCTTAAACCCAGGACGCAGAGTATGCAGCAAGTTGAGATCACACCACTGCACTCCAGCCTGGCCAACAGGGCCAAAAACTCTGTCTCCAACAACAACAAACAAACAAACAAGCAAACAAAGAAAAGCGAAAATGGGAAGGGAAAAGAATTATCAAATTTTAAAAATGGAGCCTAAATAATCTCTTTATCCATGGTACTAACATTTAAAATTGCCCAGAAATAAATAAAACTTAAGCCATGAGGGCTGTCTCCTTGAGGAAGGTTGAGTGTATACTAGATAAAATGCAGGGAAGAAGGAAATGAATTGTGTTTGTAATGCCAGGTAGCCAGGTTAAACAATTTATATGCATTGCACTGCATTTTATCAATTCAGATGGAAACCCTTGAACCGTGATGTTGCCAAGAAACTGCACCAGTAGGCATGTTAGGATCAACCAACTATGTGGGGCTGCTACCCAAATTGTGTAATAGACCTTTTTAGGTGGCTGACCCAGCAATTTTCCGAACCTCCTTCTCCTTTCTCATGCTTTGCTACAGAGGCTAGAGAACTAAACATTTACTGTTCCAGCCTCACTTGCAGTGAGCACTAGCCATGTATTACAGTCCTGGCTAATAAAAACATTAGAAGAAAGCTTATATTTTCAAACAAAGGTGTCTCAGGAGGTGAAGGTGTTTTGCCCTGGTTCAGGTTTCTGTTTTTTGTTTGTTTGTTTGTTTTTGAGACAGGTTCTCGCTGTTACCCAAGCTGGAGTACAGTGGCATGATCATAGCTCACTGCAGCCTCTAACTCCTAGGCTCAAGCAATCCTCCTACTTCAGCCTCTGGAGTATCTGGGACTACAAGTATGAGCCATCATGCCTATCACGGTCTTGCTGTGTCTTGCAACGGTGTTGCCCAGGCTGGTCTTGAACTCCTGGTCTCAAGTGATCCTTCCACCTCAGCCCCCTCAAAGTGCTGGGATCACAGGCATGAGCCAACACACCAAGGTGAAATTTCTTATTAAGTGAGCAGTGATTGTCTTTGTGACAAGCCACTGTTCATCAATATTTCTATTACTTGCTACAAAATGCATTCCTAATTGATAAAACTAACAACTACCTCCCTCCTACCTAACAGTCCTAACAAACAAGAGCAAAATATGGGAAACAGAGTGGAGTGGCAAACGGATTATGTAAATATACCAAGCATTCTTCAAAGGCTATGAATAGATCAGAGTTTACTTGTTGGCTACCTCTAGCATAAAAATACCAAGGTAGTCCAGGCGCGGTGGTGGCTCACGCCAGTAATCCCAGCACTTTGGGAGGCCAAGGTGGGTGGATCATTTGAGGCCAGGAGTTCAAGACCAGCTTGGGCAACATGGTGAAACCCCATCTCTACTACAAATACACAAATTAGCCTGGCATGGTGGTGGCATGCACCTATAGTCTCAGCTGAGGAATTAGAATTGCTTAAACTGGGAAGGTGAAGGTTGTAGTGAGCCGAGATCATGCCACTGCACTCCAGCCTGGGCGACAGAGCAAGACCCTGTCTCAAGGAAAAAAAAAGAAAAAGAAAAAGAAAATACCAAGGCAAAAATAAAGCAGTTAATAATAAAAGAAGGAGAAGAAGTAAAATAAGAATTGTTAACATTCATTGATGGCTTTCTAGGTTCTAAGTAATTTACATGCATTGTGTTATTAATTCAGATGGAAACCCTTGCACCATGATGCTGCTGAGAAACAATACCAGTAGGCATGTTGGGTCAACCAAGTACGTGGGGCTGCTACCCAAATTGTGTAATGAGAAAACAATAGTAGATTGAGAATCAGTAGACTAACATTCTAGTTTCTTTTTTGTTGTTGGTTTTGTTTTTGTTTTTTTGAGACAGCGTCTTTCTCTGTTGCCCAGCTTGGAATACAGTGATGCGATCTAGGCTCACTACAACCTCTGCCTCCCAGATTCAAGCAATTCTCCTGCGTCAGCCTTCCCAGTAGCTGGGACTACAGGAGCCCGCCACCATGCTCAGCTAATTTTCGTAATTTTAGTAGAGATGAGGTTTCACCATGTTGGCCAGGCTGGTCTTGAGCTCCTGACCTCAAGTGATCCACCCTCCTCAGCCTCCCAAAGTGCTGGGATTACAGGCATAAGCCACCGTGCGCAGCTACATTCTACTTTTCACACTGCTAGTCACATGCTCTGTGAATTTGAAGAATCATTTAATATCTCTGAGATGGTTTTTCTTCCCTTAAAGACAGACGTTGGAGAAAATTATTTGTAGGATGCACTTGACATCAAACATCCTAATTTCCAACCTATTTAGTTTGGCTGAAGTAATTTGGCTGGATTTGTAACAATTCATGGAATATTTATGAAACATCACAGTCATGTCAAGAGAGCAACAGCAATTGATTATCCCAAGCTCCAAAGACTTGGCAGAAATAGTCAAAGCAGGATACGGAAGATAGAATTCTGCTAATAAAGATAACTTCCTAAGCACTCTCAACAAGCTTATACAGTAGCTGTGAACTTAATAAAGGAATTATTGCCTGGGCAAGATGTGAATTTGTTGCCAAATTTATGCAATCTATGTTAATGGCCAGAAACTATGTTTAACTGACTCAGGGATACAGTGATGGCTTATTTTGGGTTTTCTCCAAAAGCAAAATTTCCCTTCAAAATTATTTCTCCCCTGAAGCTAGCATTAAAATTCATTTACATTTTCTCAACACATACTTAATTTTTGCAAACAAGCAAAAAAAAAAAAAAAGAAATAACTTGGGAAGAGGATCTGAGTTTGAAATATTCACATAGACAGTCCAACGATCTATAATCTGTAGGGTGGAGAATCAAAGGTTGATTATTTGTGAACTAGACTGTGAATAAATTTTTTAAAAAGTTATTCAAGATGCAGAAAATTGCATGCATACGTATTTATGTTTGGCATCAGTAGTAAAATTACATTTTCTAATGAATCTACAGCTCAGGGCTTTAAAATGTGGATCTTTTAAAATGCACCAAGCAAAATTCCAAGCATTACAAGAAATGTTTTATTTATAATGTTTGTGTGAAGCTAGACGTGGCACCCATCTGTCTCTTCCAATATATTTTCACAACTGGATTTATAGACTGTAACTAAAAAAGTAAAAGAGACAGTGTTCTGACTCCTGTGTAGTCTAATTCAGTCTATTATCATAATTTTATTTGTTATAAGCTGTCAATACAATATGCCATACTACCCTTCCTCTGCCAGTTTCATGGCAGTAAGTTTTGTGTCCCCTTTCTGAGAAACACTTCAAGGATGCCTGCTTATTATTATTATTATTATTTTTTTTTTTTTTTTTGAGATGGAGTTTCACTCTTCTCAACCAGGCTGGAGTGCAGTGATGACACTGCGGCTCATTGCAACCTCCGCCTCCCAGGTTCAAGCGATTCTCCTGCCTCAGCCTCCCGAGTAGCTGGGATTACAGGTGCCCCCCAACACGCTCAGCTAATTTTTGTATTTTTAGTAGAGACGGGATTTTACCATGTTGACCAGGCTGGTCTCGAACTCCTGACCTCAGGTGATCCACCCGCCTTGGCCTCCCAAAGTGCTGGGACTTCAGGCATGAGCCACCACATCTAGCCCTATTTATTTCTTTATCGCCTTCTTCCCTACATTTACACATACTTGATGTGGCAGGAGATAAGTAAGTATTGAATGAAGGACCAGAACTCTCACTGCACCACATAAAAAGAACTTAAGACAAAAAAAAAGCTCCAAAAAAGTAAAATTTTTCATGCACTCTCCTTGGCCCTCACTTGCCTCTTGTTTTTATCTTTTTGCTTTGTTAGTTTTTATGGTTTTGTTTTTGGTTTGGAGACAGAGTCTCACTCTGTCATCCAAGCTGGAGTACAGTGGTGTGATCATACCTCACTGCAGCCTCGAGCTCCTGGGGTCAAGTGATTCTCCTGTCTCAGCTTCCCAAGTAGCTAGGACTACAGGTGCATGCCACCACACCCAGCTGATTATTTTTTTTTTTTTTTCAGATACAGAATCTTTCTATGTTGCCCAGGCTGGTCCTGAACTCCTAGCCTCAGGTGATTTTTTTGCCTCAGCCTCTCAAAGTGCTGAGGTTACAGGCTTGAGCCACCACGCAGCCTTGCTTCTTGCTTATACCCTCATTCTCCCTCTAAGGCTTTAATTTTTTTTGTTATTTTCTTTTTCTTTTTTCCTTTTCTTTTCCCCCAAGACAAAGTCTCACTGTGTCACCCAGGCTGGAGTACAATCGCGCGATCTCGGCTCACTGCAACTTCCACCTCCTGGGTTCAAGCAATTCTCCCTGCCTCAGCCTCCCCAGTAGCTAGGATTACAGGTGCCCAGCACCACACCCGGCTAGTTTTTGTATCTTTTTAGTAGAGACAGGGTGTTGCCATATTGGCCAGGCTGGTCTTGAACTCCTGACCTCAGGTGATCCACCTGCCTTGGCCTCCCGAAGTGCTGGGATTACGGGCGTGAGACACCGCACCTGGCCAATTTTTATTGTTATTTTCTTAGGGACAGGATCACACTCTGTCACCCAGGCTGGAGTGCAATGGTGCATAATCACAGCTCACTGCAGCCTGGAACACCTAGGCTCAAGCAATCCTCCCTCCCAAGTAACTAGGACATGCCTCAGCTAATTATTTTTTTCTTTTTACATTTTGTAGAGACAGGATCTTACTATGTTGTCCAGGCTGATCTCAAGCTCCTAGCCTCATGTGATCCTGCTCAACCCTTCAAGTGGCTGGGACTACAGGTGTGTGCCATCGTGCCTGGCTACCTCTCTAACTCTTTATTTTGCTGGCATTTAGTTCTACTCTCTTGTCTATTTATGGCCTTAATAACTCTGATGCTACTTTAGAAAGCATTTCCTATTCATTTTTAGCAATCACCATTCAGTCTTCGATCGTGACAAGGTCCTATATAAGTCAACCAGATGAGCAGCAGCTGCAACCACTTGCAAAACAATCTTCAAAAAGACAAAAAAGAAGTGAATGACCATTTTTACATAACTTGGTTAAAGTCGCAGGAATTTCAACCTGGACGTTAGGGCCAGTGGCATTGCCCCACCTTCCTCCAGAGAACAGAGAACATCAGGCACGCACATAAAGAGAGTCCTACATCCTAAGCTCCAAGATGGGGTTCCTGAGTCATTCTCTGCCTAATTTAGGTCATCTGTCATTGTCATGTCTTTATCAAAGTTTCAAAACAACTAAGAAACCAGATTTTTTGAGCAAAGTCATTCAGAGAGAGAGACCAGTTATTTGGTATATTCTACCATAGATTTGAGATGAATTGAATTAAGCACTAGAAACTCATACTTGTGGATACTTTTAAACAGGATGCTGAACAATGAATATGATTTCACAGAGTCAGCCAGGCATGGTGGCTCATGCCTGTAATTCCAACAATTTGGGAGGCCAAGGCGGGTGGATCACATTGAGTCCAGGAGTTTAAGACCAGCGTGGGCAACATGGCAAGACTCTGTGTTACAAAATATACAAAAATTAGCTGGGCATGGCGGTGTATGCCTATAGTCCCAACCACTCGGGGGGCTGAGGTGGGAGGATAGCTTGAGCCCTTGAGAGTTCGAGGTTGCAGTGAGCCAGACTGCACCACTGCACTCCAGCCTGGGTGACAGAGTGAGAGTCAGTCTCAAAACAAAACAAAAAAAAGATTTCACAGAGTCAAAATTAGGTATTGGCTGGTTTAAACTTTTCACGCCTAAAAGATAAGCTGACTTCCAATCAAATCCAACTTGAAAGCCAAGGACTTGGGTATTAACTAGAGCTCTACACCTCCAAATAATCAAAGTCTTTTAAAATACATTCCTAAAATGTGTAGCCAGGTGTGGTGGTACACACCTATAAATCCAGTGTCTTGACAGGCTCAGAGAGGAGGACTGCTTGAGGCAGGAGTTTGAGACCAGCCTGGCCAACATAGTGAGACCCCATTTTTCTTAAAAAAATAAAAATTAAAAATTCCTAAAATGCATGGTGACTGATATAATTTGTAACAAATGGCTGACAAATGAACAAATAAATCAATGAAGGAAAAACATCTGAAAACCTGTATTATTTAGCCTCGTATGTTCTCAGTACAAACTTGTTCACCTGCAAAAAAGAGGCCCACATCCAGGACTAACATGTGAAGTAGGAGAGGGGAGAAAAAAAGAGATTTTTGAAGATCTTTGTACCAGGTCCTGTTCATTTATTTTTAGCTTGAAAATAATACTGTGGGATCCTCATTTTACGTATTATTATATTTATTTTAGAGATCAGTAAACTAAGGATCAGAGCATTTAAATTTTGAAATAGTAATAATGTTTACCATTTAAACACACACACAGGTCCACACACACACCCATCTTTGATTCTTACAACCTTTCAAGTAATGTGTCGCCATCCCATTTTAAAGGCAAAGAAACTGGGGTCCAGAAAGATCACAGGTCATGTAGCGATCAAGTAGCACAGCCAGAACCATAATGAGAATTGATGAAAGCAGGAAACCTCCCAGCAGCATCTCTATCTGCTGGTCGTTTTGCAATTATCTGTCTTTGCCATTGTCACAAACAGGCTCATCAACAAAAGAGTAATCCACCAGGGAACAGACCCATGGGGTCCAGCCTGATTGTGACTAAGCAAGAGCCATGGAACCTGTGGAAAAGTTGAACCAAAGAGTCTGAGTTTTTAACAGCCATTGTTCAGACTCCCTGTCCACCTCTTAGTTTTTCAAGGCTTTTCGAGAGTAAAAATGAAGTCATCCTTGCCTGAGAAGATGCCATAAAGATGCATGAGATGTCTACCAGGGAGTGCTTTGATACCTTCTCAGTCACATTCAGACCATTTGTACCTCCTTCACAGCAACCAGTGATGGAGAAGACTTAGAGCCAGAAGGCTCACTAGTCAGTCTTGCATAGCCCTGGTGCTTTGTGTTCAAGAGTGAAATGGACCAAAAAGCAGACAAAACAATGATAAGAAAAGAAAACTCCAGACCAATAACTCTAGTGAACAAAGATGCCGAAATCCTTATTACAGTATTAGCAAATTAAACCAGTCATCTACAGAAATATATCAAAAGGTACATAACACATCATGACTAAGTAGGGTTTATTCCAGGAATGCAAGCCTGGTTCAACATTTCTTTAAAAAGAGATAATTCACTACTTCAACTGAATAAGTTGAAAATTCTTACGACCATTTCAATGACTGTAGAAAAAAATACTTGACAAAATTTAACAACTATTCATGGTATAATCTCTCAGCAAATTAGAAATAGTGGGTAATTTCCTCAGTCTGATAAAATCTGTTATATATGAAAGACCTGTATCTCACATCATCCTTGCCAGTGAAAGACTGAAGACTTCCCCCCTAAAATTGGGGACAAAGCACAAAGCAAATATGTCCACTGTTACCACTTCTATTTACCACTGTATTGTATCCTAGGTCTTAGCCATTGCAATAAGGCAAGAAAAAAAAGAGATAAATATCTTTTTTTTTTGAAGATCTTAAAATAAGTAAAATGATCTCTTATTTGCAGATGAATGTTTGTATAGAAATGTACAAGATATCTACAAAACAATTTCTAAAAAGAATAAATAAATTTAACAAGGTCATAGGATACAAGGTTTATATGAAAACAATTGCTGTACTTCTATATAGGAGCAGAACAAAAATGAAGCTATAAAAATCAATTCCATCTGCAGTAGTATTAAAAAAAGAAAAATAAAGTACATATGAATAAAACTAATCAAAAGTTATACAAAATCTCGAAGTTGAAGGTTATAATTTAACGTTATTTGGGCCTTAAGGAAGACCTAAATGAATATATATATATATCATGTTTATGGGTTAAAATATTCCATATTGTTAAGAGATTAATTTCCCCAATTGATTACAGAGTTAATGCAATTACTATCAAAATTTA
Organism: Homo sapiens; assembly: GCF_000001405.40. Classification (NCBI taxonomy): domain Eukaryota; kingdom Metazoa; phylum Chordata; class Mammalia; order Primates; family Hominidae; genus Homo; species Homo sapiens. The sequence goes on from NC_000007.14 coordinate 72,173,427, forward strand.
ACCAGACTTATGCAGACATTGACAATTTGGATTCTAAAATTTACATATAAAGGCTAAATGCTATAAAAAGCCAAAGAAATGGTTTAAAAGAACAAAGTGAAAAGGACTTAACTGCAGCTGATCTCAAGACTTATTCTGAAGGCCCAGTCAAAAGGACAGACTTCTAGATAACTGAACAGAATACAGAGTCAAGAAATAGAGATACATATAAATGGATATTTTACAAAGGTGCTAAGGTAATTCAGTGGCAAAAGAAAGGTGGTTTTGTTTGTTTGTTTTTAATAAATGATGCTAGAATGCCTAAATATCCACATGAGAAAGAAATAAACAACCATTTTTTCATCTTGTATGTAAAAATGAACTCAAAATTGATAATAGATCTAAATAGAAAAACAAAAACTATAAAACATTGGGAACAAAAGACAAGAGAAATCTCTGTGAGCATGAAATAAAGATTATCTAGATAGCACACAAAAAGTATGAATCATAACACAAAATACTGATACATCTAATTTTATAAAAAATAAAAATGTCTGGTCTTTAAAGGCCACTGTTGAGAAAATAAAAAGGCAAACCACAGACTGGGAGAATATATTTGCAACATGCATGCAAACAAAGAACTTATATCTAGTATATATAAAGAATTTATATAGCTAAAAAATAAAAGAGGCTTCAAAAATGAAGAAATACAAATAGCCAATAAACACAGGAAAAGGTACACATCATTAGTCATTAGGAAAAGGCAAATAGAAACAACAGTTATATACCACCACACTTCAGCAGAATGGTTAAAATTAGACATAGTATCAGGATTGGCAAGGATGTAGAGCAACTGGAACTCTCATACACCAATGGTGGGAGTGCAAAAGAGTACAACTACTTTGAAACACAGTTTGGCAATGTCTTAAAAAGTCAAATATCCATCTATCATGCAACCCACCCACTCCACTCTTAGCTATTTACCCAAGAGAAATGGAAACATATGTCCACAGGAAGATTTGTATAAAAACATTCAAAGAAGCTTTATTACATTTTTGACTATTACTTATAATAGTCAAAAACTAGCTAAACAAAAAACACAAACGTCCATCAACAGGTGGATGGATAAATTGTGGAATATCCACACCATAGAATATCACCCAACAATAAAAAACAAACTACAGATACATAACAACACAGATGAATCTCAAAATAATATGCTAAGAGAAAGAAGCCAGACACAAGAGTATATATATTGTATGATCACATTTCTATAAAATTTCAGAAAACAAAAACTGAACTGTAGTGATAGAATGCAGATCAGTTTGGGACAGGGAGGTGACAACATGGAGGAAGGAAGGAATTGCAAGGACCATCATGGAATTTTGGGGTGTGATGGAAATCTTTGGTCTCTTTATTGGGTGGTAGTATTATAGGTATATGCTTAGTCAAAATTCAACAAATTGCACACTTTAAATATGTGCAGTGTACTGTATGTAAACTATACCTCAATATAATCAATTTTTTTTTTTTTTGAGACGGAGTCTCGCTCTGTCTTTGGTCTCTTTATTGGGTGGTAGTATTATAGGTATATACTTAGTCAAAACTCAACAAATTGCACAATTTAAATATGTGCAGTGTACTGTATGTAAACTATACCTCAATATAATCAATTTTTTTTTTTTTGAGACAGAGTCTCACTCTGTCACCCAGGCTGGAGTGCAGTGGCGCAATCTCGGCTCACTGCAAGCTCCGCCTCCCAGGTTCACGCCATTCTCCTGCCTCAGCCTCCCGAGTAGCTGAGACTACAGGCGCCCGCCACCACACCCAGCTAATTTTTTGTATTTTTAGTAGAGACAGGGTTTCACCGTGTTAGCCAGGATGGTCTCGATCTCCTGACCTCATGATCTGCCCGCCTCGGCCTCCCAAAGTGTTGGGATTATGGGAGTGAGCCAAATCATTTTTTAAATAAGAATAAACCAGAGCAAATTCAGAATACAGTAAGTGGGGTAAGAAAGCATGCAATCTGAGACACGAGTGAAGATTCTTGAGGAGCATCATGACTGTCCTCAGATGTCCATCAGAAACAAGAGTCAGCTTCTGGACAACCTCACTGCAAGGACCAGGATATACTGGTGGCATTTGGAGATGGCAAACTTCATCTGGGGATAGAGAACAATTTCCTAACCAGGAAGAATAATCCACTGCTAAAACTGGCTGCCACGCTGGAGAGGGTATTCCTTGGTACTGGAGGTATTCATGGAGAAGTAGGCAGACCAGGGCTTTGGAGGAACTTTGTGAGAACAAACGCCGCCACTTTAAGTTCCAGCTCCCTTTCTAACCTCATGCATTTCAAGGAAATTACTTCTCTTCTAACAACAAGCAGCCTGAAAGAACAGACAGTAAATCACAAATAAAACAGCTCAGGCACAGAGGAAGAGGGAAAGTCTCTTAGGTAACCACCAAACTTCACATTCATACAATGGGCCCCAGTAAAACAGTGGGCCCTAATAAGCATATTCCTTTCCCTTTAAGTGCACTAAAATAAAAAAAAAACTAAATGCAAACTCAGAGGGTATGCCTGCAACTGCAAAAAAAATGTATGGGAACAGACACAAAACTCTCCCTCCCAGATAAGCAAGACAAAGACACACAGAAACATTCTGAGTCTGTGATAAGCTCTTCCACCCTGAACCCTTAAAAACTCTTAATCTGTAAGAGAGAGCACCTGACCTAGCTTGGCCAGACGCTCCTCTCAGGTTTATTCTCCAAAATAAACCTGTCTTTGACTGTTAAGCTACTTTTCGTGTTTCCTTCCTCTTTCTTTAATTCTTACAGGCAGACCAGGGCTTTGGAAGAACTTTGTGGGAAAGGTAAGGCCTCTTCCAGCCTGAAGATGCTAGAATTCTGCAAGACTAGGCATTCCCTGCTGTTTGCTGTTGGCATATGATAGAGTTTGGATGTTTGTCCCCTTCAAATCTCTTGTTGAAATATGATTCCCAGTGTTGGAGGTGACGCCTGCTTGGAGGTGTTTGGGTCATGGGGGCGGATCCCTCATGAATGTCTTAGTGCTGGCCTTGATAATGAGATCTGGTTATTAAAAAGTCTGTGGCACCTCCTCCTTCTCTTTCTCCCACTCTCGCCATGTAACATGCTGGCTCCTCATCACCTTCCCTCCATGACTGGAAGCTTCCTGAGGCCTCACCAGAAGCAGATGCAGGCATCACACTTCATGTACAGCCTGTAGAACCATAAGCCAATTAAACTTCTTTATAAATTACCAAACTTCAGGCCTTTCTTCCTAGTGATGCAGGAACAGCCTACTACAGCATAGGAAAGCCCAAAGTTCAATAGAGTCTCCCTTTCCCAGACAATTTTCTCTAAAGAAAATTCAAATGTCAGGATGGAAATGAAGAGGAATTTTCCACCCTGTCTTATTTGGTGCCAGATCCCCTTCTTTCTGTTGGCCCAAGAACACTTACACTGAAGATGGATGATTTTTAGGCTTGCTCCCTTCCAAAACCTCATCCTGTAATGACTAATTAGTCTGAAGTTAGCACAAACAGTAGCGGCTGAGTGGAAACACCTATTGTAATTTCTGGTGTGCTGGCTCCCAAAGCCATCCTCATATTACATCTAACTCATAGCCTTCGTCTCCTGCTGAAACAGTGAGGAGGCGGGATGCGTGGGTGTAATCCTTAAAAGTGATGACAAACCAGTTGAGCTACAAGAGCTCATTCACTCATTCATCTGTGCATTCATTCAATGAGCACGAGCATTCTGATGCACCAGAACACTGTCTCCCCTGCTGCAACTGTGTAGCCCCTTCTTATTGTTATTTCAAGTGCTTACCCTGACTTAGAGAGGAGGACACTTGGAGGAGGAGACAGATTTAAGGAAGGTAAACAGAAATAAGACATCCCGGGCTATGTCATGACTCTTAAGCAGGCCTGGCCAGAGGGTCTATGTAAGACTGATCAGCAGCTCAGGGTTTTTGTTAATTAATTTTTGATTATTCTCAAAGAGCTCAGGGTTCTTATTTTCTACACCAAGCTTTATATTACAATAGGACATTTGGGCGGGGCAATGTGGTTCATGCCTGTAATCCCAGCACTTGGGGAGGCTGAGAAGGGCGGATCACTTGAAGTCAGGAGTTCGAGACCAGCCTGGCCAACATGGTGAAACCTCATCTCTACCAAAAATACAAAAATTAGCTGGGCGTGGTGGTGCATGACTGTAATCCCAACTACTTGGAAGGCTGAGGCAGGAGGATCACTTGAACCTGAGAGGCAGAAGCTGCAGTGAGCTGAAATTGCACCACTTCACTCCAGCCTGGGCGACAGAGGGAAAAAAAAAAAAAAAAAAGGACATTTGGTGGCGATTTGGCACTTCTGAAGAGTCATTCCACAGGCTCCAGGGACCATGGCAACCAGGCTATTTGCTCCTTATTTCCCTTCTAGCATTCTCCTTTGTAACATGTTCGCGTCCCTTAGCACCTCCACCCGGTGCTGATCCAGGGCAACAATAAAAGAACTCACTCTGGTCCAACCACCTTGCCAAGTGCTCTTGCTCAAAGAGCCAAGGCAGAAGCTCATTTGGTAGAAGTTGAATCTGAGGCCTTTTATTACCATTAATCTAACCTGTCCCAATTTGAAAGGATGAGGAAGGTGTGTTTGCATTCAACTCAAATCACATCCCGAAAAATGGGGGAAAAAATTTGTAAGCAATTCAGAAGGAGAATAAGGCCCAATGTGTATTGCATAAAGGAATAAAACTCTGAACAATAGTGCTGTCAGAAACAGGAAGGAAGACCTCTTTCCACAAATCCAGATGAGACTAATTCAGCATGGAGAATTATTTCAGCTTGACATTAAAGGGAAATTCTGAGAAAGAAAAGGCAATGGGAAGTATAACTGTTGGAAAAGGCTGCACTTGTGCAAGAGGTCGAATGGAGTAGCATTCGATACATAATCACTGTAACTGCTAACTAAAAAAGGGTTCCTTGGGCCAGGAGCGGTGGCTCATGTCTGTAATCCCAGCACTTTGGGAGGCTGAGGTAGGTGAATCACGAGGTCAGGAGTTCGAGACCAGCCTGACCAACATGGTGAAACCCTCTTTACTGAAAAGACAAAAATTAGCCAGGCGTGGTGGCACGCACCTGTAATCCCAGCTACTCAGGAGACTGAGGCAGGAGAATCATTTGAACTCGGGAGGCGGAGGTTGCAGTGAGCCGAGATCGCACTAATGCACTCCAGCCCAGACGACAGAGAGAGACTCCATGTCAAAAAAAAAAAAGAAAGAAAGAAAAGGTTATTTGACAAACTCCCGCTTTATTTTTCACTTGGGTAATATTTTTACGCATATTGTAGATGTCTATTTCAATTAGGAACTACAAATGTCATTTTGTCAGATTTAGACCCCATTGAAAAATAAACAGCAAATTTTGAAATGCTTTGTTCTTGTATTTTATATCAAGTTTATTTGATAAAGTCTGAAGTCTGGGTTTTCCGTGTTTTCAATATTTGTGGTCTTTAGGCATCATGGCTTACTTTAAAAGGCTAACCCCCAATAATATTTGGTTTCCTTTGTAACATGCGAGATATTAAATGAAAACTGGTGATTTTTTTGGACTAAAATTAGCAAAGGTAAAACTTAGATATTTTCTCACATGCAAGCAAGTTTTCAGTTGAACTCATATCTCACACTAATTGGGTGAAAAGTTGATCTAAATTAGAGATGCTTTAAATTCAGTATTATGACTTTCAAGGGCATTCAGTAACAAAACGAAGTAGATAAGAAAAACATTCTATTTATACGTCTAACCAGGACAGCTCTGAGAGGCTAAATAAGTTTCACGGGTAATTAACATCATTTGCATGAGGACTAATATGCTTGAGATTAAAAGTTCTTTTTTAAATGTCATACAATTTTTTTGACTGTTCCCATCTTGACTTAGAGTAATGGCTAGCGCTGGCAAATACATCTGCCCCCAAAGACCAAACAGGTTAAGGCAAGTGTCACTAAACACTTATGTCTGCATCGGAGTTTCCATCAGCCAAAACCAGCAAGTTTTCTCTAATGGAGAATCTTGTCTCATTATACATTGGTAGACTATGTAACTTATCATCATGAAAATTAAAACTGAAGAAGAAAATAATAAATATATATATATGAATATAAGCACATGTGTGTACATATATATGTGTAACTTCATATATCCACCTAATTGTCAAACTTGCTCAAAATGACAGATAACTAAATGAATCGCCATATAACCATAACTCAGCTTCAACAATTAGCAATATTTTGCCACATTTGCTTCATCTTTTTCCCCCTTTCTTGCTAAAATATTTTAAAGCACTTCTCAGACATCATGTCATTTCACCCCTACGCACTGCAATGCACATCTATTAAAAAAATTACATTTTCTTATGTAAAAAAGTTATATACTGACTCATATTAACAAAGGACATATACTGTTTGCTTATTAACAAAAGACATAATAATTCTCAGGATTAAAAATATCTCATCTGATAGTCATCCATGATCCCACCTCCCTAATTGTCTCACAAAGGTCATTTTACATGATCCGTCCGCATCAGGATACAAACAAGGCACACATGTTGCTTATCTCTAATGTGCCCCACCCTCCCCAGCTGCTCATTCTTTTCAAGTCATTGACTTGTCGCAGAAACCGTGTCAGCTGTCCTGAAGACTGTCCTACATTCCAGAAGCCCACGGGGTATCATTTAGTTTGTTCCTCTGTCCCTCATATTTCCTGCAAATGGAAGTTGGCCCTAGAGCTTTGAATAGATTCATATTCAGCTTTTCATGAAGACAACTTCATATGGGATGCTGTGAGCTTCAGGTTGTACTACATTGGGACCCCACCCTACCTAGATATGCCAACTATAGTGACAACTAGCAGGTTCAGGGGGTGACAGCCCAAAATGTGCATTGTCAAGTTCTCCATAAACCTTTCATCTCATGGTTTCTTTCATCACAGAGCCTTGCTTGATGCAAACACCGTATTTCATTCTTGGTGGCAAACTGGTGATTTCCAAGTGCAATTAATTTCTTCCACAATTATTCATTGACATCTTCATACAGAAGGTGTCCTTTTTTTTTTTTTTTTTAATCAACTTGGGCTATTTGGTTACTGTTACTTGGGCTATTTGAAATACTGTTTATGCTTTTTTTTCTTTTTTTTTTTTTTTTTAGAGACAGGATCTCACAGTGTGGGTCATGCTGGAGTGCAGTGGCACCATCATAGCTCACTGCAATATCAAACTCCCAGGCTCAAGTGATCCTCCAGCCTCAGCCTCCCACGTAGCTGAAGGCTACCACCTACCACGCCGGGCTTGTTTATGCTTTTTAAGTGCCAATCTTTGGAGTAAAGATTTGGTACCTGGCCAAGCACGGTGGCTCACACCTATAATCCAAGCACTTTGGGAGGCCAAGAAGGGCGGATCACCTGAGATCAGGCACTCAAGACCAGCCTGGCCAACACAGTGAAACCCCATCTCTTCTAAAAATACAAAAAATTATCCAGACATGGTGCAGGTGCCTGTAATCCCAGCTACTTGGGAGGCTGGGGCAGGAGAATCACTTGAATCTGGGAGGCGGAAGTTGCAGTGAGCCACGATCACGCCACTGCACTCCAGCCTGGGCAACAGAGCGAAACTGCATAACCCCCCCCCCCCCCAAAAAAAAAAAAAATTTTTGGTACCCTATAAGCTTTTACCCCTACCATGTTAAAGTACCATGGAAGTAAGTCTATATATGTATGTATTGTTAGAAACTTATTGGAATATATATAATATATAAAATATATATTATAAACATATAGTTTTTAGTATATATTACAAATATACAATATATAAAATATGTAAAATGTTTATATATGTTATATGAATATATTTTTAATGTGTTGCTACCAATTGCATTTATTATTTTTTTACTGCTTAAATCATTCCATTTTGGGCAGTGGAAATCCTTTCAGTGGCCTCCAGTTCTTAGATAACCTGTTAGTCTTTGGACTTAGCACACACTGCCTAGCTCATAGTAAGGATTTCCATAACTTTTTTTTTTTTTTGAGAGTCTTGCTCTGTCACCCAGGCTGGAGTGCTATGGCATGGTCTCGGCTCATTGCAACCTTCACCCCCAGGTTCAAGCGATTCTCCTCCCTCAGCCTCCTGAGTAGCTGGGATTACAGGTGTGAGCCACCATGCTGGCTAATTTTTGTATTTTTAGTAGAGTCATGGTTTCGCCATGTTGGCCAGGCTGGTCTCGAACTCCTGACCTCGTGATCCGTCCATCTTGGCCTCCCAAAGTGCTGGGATTACGGGCATGAGCCACCACACCCAGCCGACTTCGGTAACTTTTATCTATTACTATATGAAAGTGAAACTTACTTCCACATAACAATGACCATAAGAACACAAGTATTCAGCCTATCCAACATATCTCTATCACGAGCATTTACTGGGTCCATACTATGTACCAGCACTATCCAAAGTAACTGGACTACAAAGACAGGTATAGCATGTTCAGTGATTATGGGATTACAGACTCGAGCAGCTGTTTATAAACACAGCATTCTAGTGCACCTGCACTTCAGGGTTAGGTGAGAAGTTAGTCATGAATCATTTATAGCTTGCCTTAGAGAAGACTAGGGATAATTGCAAATGACAGGCTTCTTAAAGAAATAAATGAGAAGAGATTCAAGGTGAGCCCTAGAATGCCGCTGGTCTCAGTGTATCTCAATATTCAGAAAACCAGGGAGCAGACGCAGCTGGATCGCTCAGCCTTGCACAACGCAGTGTGTCCTGTATCTGTGCATCATTGATCAAGTGTGTCATGCTCTGAAAAAAAAAGCTGGTCTAGGAAGAGCAATGTGTTACCAGACAACTATAACACAGTGGGATGTGTTCTCACAATGCCATCAGAATAGAGATGAGCATGTGGTTGAAAAAAAATCTGTAGGAAGGGAAATATCAGTTGGGCTTTTAAAAGATGACTGAAATTCATTTTTCCAGATGCAGTAGTTCAAACCTATAATCCAACCACTTTAGGAGGCCGAGAAGAGCAGATTACTTGAGGCCAGGAGTTCGAGACCAACCTGGGCAACATGGTGAAACCCTGTCTCTACAAAAAATACAAAAATTAGTTAGACGTGGTGGCACACACCTGTAGTCCCAGCTACTTGGGAGGCTGAGGCGGGAGAATGGCTTGAACCTGGGAGGTGGAGGTTGCAGTGAGCCGAGATCGTGCCACTGCACTCCAGCCTGAATTACAGAGTGAGACTCTGTCTCCAACAAAACAAAAAATGAAAAAAAAATGACAAAAATTCTACCAATGTTGTAAAAAAAAAAACAAACAAAAATAGAAAAGACGTTCTAGATAGGAACACTAGCTTCTGTAAAGGCACAAAGTTGTGACAATTATATGGACAACTGTGACAGGTTTTGTGTGGCCGGAAGACAGAATATGCTTGAGAGGTAGCAGAGGAAGGTCGAACGGGACCAGGTGGTAAAGGCATTGAATGCTATGAAAAGGAGTCTACGTGTGGTCAACACCAGAAGAAACCATCCAGTTGTCAAGCAAAAGTAATATGGTCAGCTCTATGGGGCTTTTTTGTTTGTTTTTGGGGTGTTTGTTGTTTGTCTGTTTGTTTCAGACAGAGCCTCACTCTGTCACCCAGGCTGGAATGCAGTGGTGTGATCTCGGCTCACTGCAACCTCTGCCTCCCTGGTTCAAGCGATTTTCATGCCTCAGTCTCCCAAGTAGCTGGGATTACAGGCATGCGCCACCACGCCCAGCTAATTTTTTGTATTTTTAGTAGAGACGGGGTTTCACCACGTTGGCCAGGCTGGAAATCTATGTTTTTTAAAAGATAACAGAAGAAGGCAAGGAGGGGGAGAGGGTAGATGGACCAAAAGAGAGAAAAAGTCAAAACAAAAAGACGAATTAGAAATCTACAGTGGCGGAGATGAAAAATTATGAGAGTCTAGAAGTATACCTTAAATCTGCCAGGTAGAAAAAAAGGAGGCAGAAATTCATTCACAAAGCTTTTCACAGGTGAAATTTACAGGACTTGGTGACTGCTAAAATGCGAGAAGTTATGAAGAAGAGGAATGAAGGATGACTCTCAGGTTTCTGAGTGTAAACAGGAAGTCGCTGAAATGCAATTCCATTTGCTAACTAGCCAAATCACAGTGCAAATTGATTAAGAATTAATACATGACAGAGTGTATTAGCAAAACAGGCAAGTTGCAAAAGACATCTTGGAGAAATAAACTCATCAGGATTTCCATTTTAAAAACACATGCAGGGCAACTCACATTTATAGCCTCTCCATTTTTGAATGTTAATGTTCTCTGGAAAGTAAATTATGAATGTCCAGTATGCCAGGATGCCGTCCTTAGCATCAAAGATGAGTCCCAAATTTGAGGTATAGGTTGCCTAGCAACTAAAGTCCCCTCGAACAAAGAAAAACTGACTTTTTTTTTTCTAGTAAAGTCGCTTCATGGATCCAAAGCAGGAGTAGGGGGAAATGATCATTAAAAATTGACCTTATGACGACAGTTCAGTTAAGAAAATTGAATTTACTCAACCAGCAGGGGGCATCCCACCTTCTCCAAGAACCTTTGCTAAAGTTCTCCGTACAGGTTATTTCCCATCCTTGACCAATCTCAGCAAATGATAATCTCTCCTTCCTCTAAACTCTTACTTCACTGGGATGACCCTGGAGGCACAGCGTGGCATGATGGTTAATTTTTCAATCGTCGTCTTCGAATACGTTGACATATCTGGAGCCATTATCTTTTACGTCATTTATTGACTGTGGACCCGGACAGCCTAAGTTTGAATCGTGACTCTAGCCCTTACTACCTCTGTGGCCTTGAGCAATTGTGTAATGCCTCCATGCCTCAGTTTCCCCATCTTTAAATGCAGGCAGTAATACTACCCTCTCTCATGTTGTAAGCATTCTATGTGTGATACACGAATTTGTATTTTCATATTTATGAGTTCATATTTTTATGTGTATAATTTATGACATGTGAGCAATATAGGAGTTAACATAGTTAAGGTGCTTGACACAGTTCTGGCACATAGGAAGCACTCAGTAGTGGTTGGCTCTGATTAGTATTACATCATGTTACCTTGCATCCTCTGTCGTAGCTGGAAAGGTAAACATATAGCATTTATTGTAAAAGTGATGAGTGATTTTCTGGTTCTTTTTCCACTGCTTCCTACTTTAATGTTCCATTTTGCAGGAAAACACTCGAATTTATTTCAGAGCTCCAAAGGGGCCTCAGGAATTACCTGAGTATTCTGCAGGTACTTAGGGAGGAATCAGCCCAACCAAGACATCTTTTTTTTTTCTTTTTCTTATTTTTTTTTAGAGACAGCCTTACTCTGTCACCCAGGCTGGAATGCAGTGGTGCAATCATAGCTCGCTGCAGCCTTGAACTCCTGGACTCAAGTGATCCCCCATCTCAGCCTCTTGAGTAGCTGGGACTACAGGTGCACATCAACAAGCCCGGCTAATTTTTATTTTATTTTAATTTTTTTTTGTAGAGATGAAGGTCTCACTGTGTTGTCCAGGCTGGTCTCAAATTCCTGGGCTCAAGCGATCATCCCACCTTGGCCTCCCAAAGTGCTGGGATTACAGGCTTGAGCCACCACACCCAGCTTAGGCATCTCTGTTGAATTAGTGTGAGAAATTTGCAATTTGTGTGCAGTTGACTTGAAGGTCCTTCCTCTGGGCCAATCAGCTCACCCAAAGAGTCCAAGCGTAGAAAATGTACATGGGAAAAATGTACATGGGAAAGAGATCCAATCTCTTTCCCATGTGCATCCCCATGAAAGGAAGGAGCATTTGCTGGGAGATGCTGAAGTCAGTCTCAAGAAGAAAGGAAAAGAAAAAGATGAATGAGCTTATAACAAACAGGTAGGTGGAGAAAAACCAGAGATAGACCTGAAAACACAGATTGCGCAGGAAGCTTTCATGGACAAGGCCCTGGGATTCGCAGAGGAAGGCACAGAACTTCCCTTTTCAAGGCCAGCCAACTAGGTTGTGGTAAGTAGAGTAATGGCCCTCCAAAGATGTCCATGTCTATAAATATGTCACCTTACATGACAAATGGGACTTTGCAGGTGTGATCAAGTTAAGGATTTTGATATAGAGAGTGATATAGTTTAGCTCTGTGTCCCCACCCAAATCTCATCTTGAATTGTACTCCCATAATTCCCACGTGTTGTGGGAGGGACACAGTGGGAGATAATTGAATCATGGGGGCGGTTTTCCCCATGCTGTTCTTGTGGTAGTGAATAAGTCTCACAAGATCTGATGGTTTTATCAAGGGGTTCTGCTTTCCCGTCTTCCTCATTCTCTCTTTGCCTGCTGCCAAGCATGGAAGACATGATTTGCTCCTCTTTGCCTTCCCCCATGATTGCGAGGCTTTCACAGCCATGTGGAACTGTAATTTCAATTAAATCTCTTTCTCTTTTAAATTGCCCAGTCTCAGGTGTGTCTTTATCAGCAGCATGAAAACAAACTAATGCAGAGGGATTATCCTGAATTATCTGGGTGGGTGCAATGTCATTACAAGAGTCCCTAACTAAGAGGAAGGCCGGAGGGTGAGAGAAGGAGAGGTAAGGGCAGAGGCATAGCCACAGTGATGCATGGCCATGAACCATGGAGTGCTGGTCACCTCCAAAAGCAGGAAAAGGCAAGGAAAGGATTCTCCACTAGAGCTTCCAGAAGGAATGCAGCCCTGCTGCCCCACCCATCACTTCTGACTTTCAGAACTAAAAGATAATGAATTCCTGTTATTTTAAGCCGCTCAAATGGTGACTGTAGTTACAGCAGCAATAGGAACCGAATGGACAGGTGGGAAAAGGGAGGAGTCTGGGAGAAAATCCACGTGCCCTCCCTCAGATAGGCAAGGAGAAGACAGCAAGAGTGGAAGTGGCAAAGCAAACAAATTAGTGCCTGTATCAGCATTTTCCTTTGAATTTTTTTAAACTGTACATTCGGGGGTACATGTGCAGGTTTGTTACCTGACGACATCGCATGATGCTGAGATTTGGTGAACTGAACCCCTTACACAAGCAGTGAACACAGGGCCCAACAGGTAGCTTTTCAGCCCTTGCCTCCTTCCTCCTTCCCCACTCTGGTAGTCTCCAGTGTCCCCATCTTTATGTCCATGAGTACCCAATGGTTAGCTCTCACTTACAAGTGAGAACATCCACTATTTGGTTTTCTGTTTCTGTGTTACTTAGGATAATGGCCTCCAGGTGCATTTGTGTGGCTGCGAAGGACATGATTTTGTCCTTTTTTACAGTTGTGTAGTATTCTATGGCGCACATGTACCACCTTTTCTTTATGCAGTCCACCACTGATGGACACCTGTGTTAATTCTCTGACTTTGCTATTGTGAATAGTGCTGCAATAAACATATGAGTGCAGAGCTTTTTTTTTTTTTTTTTTTTTTTTGATAGAATGATTTCTTTTCCTTTGGGTTATATCAGCATTTTCTAAACTGTTCTGTAAGATGATATTATGAGTCCCCAGAAAGGGACAGGGCAAGTAGGGGAGTTCAGAAGATGATGAAAGTGGAACCAATTTGACAATCTGAGACTGATGGAAATTTGGTAAAAGAATATGATTGCTTTAGCCAGTTAAAAGTTGCAAGAAAGGTATTATCATTATTATTATTGTAACCATTACTATTATTATGACTCTTCTGTTTTTTGTGGGAAAAACAGGATGAATGGATGAAATGGATGAAAAAGATTCCTGGGTGTCTTGTCTGACACATTTTTCCAGGTTATCTCAGCCTTTCATCCTATTACATAATCTGTAAGTGGTAGAAAACTACTAAGAATGCAAGGAATTCTTGTCCATAGAGATGCAGATTAGTAGCATCTGGTGGAATGCAATCATTGTCTAGGACAGATGATCTAAGATGGGTACAGGTCCACAGCCTGTTAGGAACCGGGCCACACAGCAGGAGGTGAGGGAACATTACCTCCTGAGCTCTGCCTCCTGTAAGATCAGTGGTGGCATTAGATTCTCATAGGAGCATAAGCCCTTTTGTGAACTGCACGTGCGAGGGATCTAGGTTGCGTGTTCCTTATGAGAATCTAATGCCTAATGATCCAAGGTGGAATAGTTTTATCCCAAAACCATCCCCGCCTCAAGTCCATGGAAAAATTGTCTTCCATGAAACTGGTCCCTGCTGCCAAAAGGGTTGGAGACTGCTGGTCTAGGTGATAGACCCATTTTGCACCCACTTGTAAATCCATGTCAGCATTCGCTCTTTTCGTGTATACGTGTGATTCTTAGTCTTTTCCTTGGAACAAGTCATATCACCTTACTGGCTCTCTCAGTGAATGCCTTATATAAAATTTGTGATATATGTTCATCCTGTATCTGTATGGGAGTCACAATTTCTCATTTTCAAAAACTTATCCTGCAGGAAATGCAAATCAAAACCACAATGTAATACCACCTTACTCCCACAAGAATGGCCATTATCAAAAAAATCAAAAAACAATAGATGTTGGTGTGGATGCGGTGAAAAGGAAACACTTCTACACTGCTGGTGGGAATGTAAACTAGGACGGCCACTATGGAAAACAGTGTGGAGATTTCTTAAAGAACTGAACGTAAAACTACCATTTGATCCAGCAATCCCACTACTGCACATCTGCTCGGAGGAAAAGAAATCATCATGCACAAAGGATACTGGCACACGCATGTTTACAGCAGCACGATTTGCAATTACAAAAATGTGGAACCAGCCCAAATGTCCATCAATCAACAGGTGGATAAAGAAACTGAGATATATATACATGTACATAAATACACACATATGTACATGTATATATATCTCAGTTTACGTATACATATTCTTTATATACACATATATATATGATGGAATACTACTCAGCCATAAAAAGGAATGAATTAATAGCATTTGCAGCAACATGGATGGAATTGGAGACTACTAGTCTAAGTGAAGTAACTCAGGAATGGAAAACCAAACATCGTATGTTCTCACTCATAAGTGGGAGCTAAGCTATGAGGATTGAAAGGCATAAGAATGATACAATGAACTCTGGGAACTTGGGGGAAAGGGTGGGAGGGGGGTGAGGAATAAAAAATTACAAATTGGGTTCAGTGTACACTGCTCAGGTGATGGGTGCACCAAAATCCCACAGATCACCACTAAAGAACTTACTCACGTAACCAAATACCATCCATTCCCCAAAAATGTATGGAAATAGAAAATTTAAAAATAATCATCATATAAATTAAAAAGCAAAAAAGAAAACCCATCCTGCAATATTTTATTAGGATAGAGCCGTTGTGTAGCTAATATAGTCTGAAAGCGTGTGTGTCCGTCTTTCTCCCACCTTCTCAGGAGCTGACTCAGGTACCACAGTGATGCAGCAAGGCCAGGTACCCGAGAGGTATCCCCAGGCCCCAACTCCCTACACCGCACACACACAAAGCTCTCCCCATCTTGGTCTAAGAGGGACTAAGCCTTCCTCCTACGAGGACTCTCCCTGCCTTCAGAACGGTGGCTCCTCCAGTGAGGAAAAAGAGAGAAGCAGAAGGAACTGCAAAGTGGACCCTTGGATGCTGCTATCCAAAATCAGAGCCAAAATTAAGAGACTCTTAACCCCCGCAAAATTATCCAGGTTAAAAACATACGTGAGCTTCAGAAAGGGTGAACATAGCCATGGCTGAGAATCGTTGTGGATTATCATGATAGGAAATTGACATGCTTATGGGTGTTCTGTCCTTTGGGGTTGATGTCAGGGAGCCAAGTGGTTGCACTATTTCTGCTGTGTGTCCGAATTTCTAAAGTAATATCCGTGTATTGTTTGGAGAGCGGACTTTTTTGCTTTACTCCTACTTTTACAGAAAAGAATTTTGTTTCTCAAGCAACAAAACATTTGGTCTCTGGTGTCAAAGAGGACTTTATTATATTAGAATTATAAAGCTTTAGTTAGGAATAAGTGTTGGACATTATTAAATCAAGTTACTGCAGGCTGGGCATGGTGGCTCACGCCTGTAATCCCAGCCCTTTGGGAGGCCAAGACTAGTAGTCTCCAATTCCATTCCATCACTTGAGGCCATGAGTTCAAGACCAGTCTGGCCATTGTGGTGAAACTCCGTCTCTACTAAAGACATAAAAATTAGCATGGTGGCCTGCACCTATAATCCCAGCTACTCCGGAGGCTGAGGCAGGAGAATCACTTGAATCCAGGAGGCAGAGGCTGCAATGAGCCAAGATCCTGCCACTGCACTCTAGCCTAGGCGACAGCGCCAGACTTTGTCTCAAAAAAAAAAAAAAAAAAAATTTACTATGTATGGAGATGATTTTTCATCTTTTCCTTAAACTAGTCATACGATGTACCATGCTAATGAATTCCTTCCTAGCTTCTTTACTGGGGCATAGGATACAATACTTTGAATGCATATAGCCGAATTCTGTCTGCTAGTAGATTATTTTAGACTTTTGTGCCTGTATCAGCGTTTTTTACTGTCCAGGAAGATGTTAGCATGTACCAATGTTTAAAAAAGGGTTTATTCTCCAACTTGAGAAGTAAAATGGTGGGTAAACAAACAAACAAAACAAAACAAACTGCCAGGTGCAGTGGTTCATGCCTGTAATCCCAGCATTTTGGGAGGCCGAGGTGGGCAGATCACCTAAGGTCAGGAGTTCGAGATCAGCCTGGCCAACATGGCAAAACCCCGTCTCTACTAAAAACATACAAATTAGCTGGGCACGGTGGCACATCCAGCTACTTAGGAGGCTGAGCCAGGAGAATCGCCTGAACCCAGGAGGGAGAGGTTGCAGTGAGCCGAGCCGAGATTGCACCGCTGCACTCCAGCCTGGGTGACAGAGCAAGACTCCGTCTCAAATAACAAGAAAAAGCTTCAGCAGGTCTCTGCTGCATGAACACTGAGAAGCTGTAACCAGCTGATGTGCATTGTAAATTTCAAGATGAGGGAAGTGACAGCAGCATTTCCCAGACTTATTTGACTGTGGACCTTTCCCCTGGCACATCTATTCACATTTCCCAGCACACCATTCTGCAAATCACCAGTTTCCAAATGCTAGTTAATACAAAAGTGAGTCTTATTTCTGAAATACCTTTATTGAGGTTTGAGTTCAAGATCATGATTGCCTAAAACAAATTTAATACATTAATGTGTGCATGTTTCAGAAAAATTATTTTTTAATACAAGAGTCCTTTGAGTCCTTTGTACCTTGAATATTTGAAAGACTTAGCTGGCATTTTATCAGATGCCTCCTGGGAGAGGTTAGCATCAGATACATTTTGTAAATTCTTTCTCAGTCCCAACTTGCTCTGCCCTATTCAAGTGCCTACATCTGTACATCGATTTATTATTATTTTTTTTCAGTTAAAAAATGTGTGTCTTTATTTAAAGCTCAAAACCTGATTGGCATTCAATGGTATGTTTTCATGTTTACATTTCCTTCATAGCTATTGTCAAATACACATTCCCATTTCTAATTCTGTTATATCTTTGGCATTCATTCATTGACCAAGAAACTCAAAGCGACTATTGTACGGCAAGAACCAGGCATGAAAAATGGCCAAGACGTAGTTACTGCTTTTGTGCAAGTCATGGTCTAGTGTGAGAGACAGATGCGCCAACGAATAATTACAACCCGCTGTAATGAAGGATAGAATAAAGTCATGCGAGCAGGCTGGGAAGACAAGAAGAATGCGACTGACAGCCTAGAGGAATTGGCAACTTCAAAGCCTTTGGATCCTACAAGATGAACAGAGAACAACGTAGCAATTTAGGCGGAAGCTACAGACTGTGTAAGAGGAAGGAGAAATGAAGGATGGCAGAGGAGGCCAGCCATGGTGGCTCACGACTGTAATTTCCACACTTTGGGAGGGCGACGCAGGTGGATCACTTTAGGTCAGGAGTTCGAGACCAGCCTGGCCAACACAGTGAAACCCCGTCTGTAGTAAAAATACAAAAATTAGCTGGGTGTGGTGGCACATGCCTATAATCTCAACTACATGGGAGGCTGAAGCAGGAGAATCGCGGGTACCCAGGAGGCAGAGGTGAGACTCCGTCTCAAAAAAAAAAAAAAAAAAAAAAAAAAGAATGGCAGAGGAAGAAAGGAGGAAGAGAGTGCAGAGAGAACATGGAATGGAGGAAAGCAGGACATGAGGCTGGTCAAATCAGGTTGAACCACAGGTTTGAGTATGTGTTAGGTTCCCAGGGCTGCCATCACAAATTCCCACAGACCTAGTGGCTTAAAACCACACAAGTTCATTATCTGACTGTTCTAGAAGTCAAAGTCTGAAATGGGTTTCATTATCTGGCTTTTCTAGAAGTTGAAGTCTGAAGTGGGTTTCGCTGGATGAAATCAAGGTGTCAGCAGAGCCGCACGCTCCCCGCTAGGCTAGCACCCGTTTCCTTGCCTTTTCTATTAGGCTGGTGCAAAAGTAACTGCATTTTTTGCCATTACCTTTAATGGCAAAAAACTTCGATGGCGATTACCTTTAACGGCAAAAACCACAGTTACTTTTGCACCAATCTGAGAGCTTCCAGAGTGCACCTGAATTTCTTGGCGTACGGCCCCTTCCTCCGCATTCAAAGCCAGTCATGTTGCATCTTCTCTTTCCTCTGACCTCTGCAGAAGGTCGGACATCATACAGCATTATTTACATAAACCTAGATAGTCTAGCCCACTACACGTCTAGGCTAGATAGTATATGCTATTGCTCCTAGGGTACAAACCTGTACAACGTGTTACTGGACTGAATACTGTAGGCAACTGTAACACAACAGTAAGCATCTGTGTCCCTCTGCTTCCATCATCACGTTTCCTTCTCTGACTCTGCTCCTCCTGCCTCGGTCTTAGAAGACTTGTCAAAACACAGTAATATATTCACAGGTTCTGTTCTGAGAATTAGGACGTGGGAATCTGTGGATGGGGCGGGCATTGTTCTGTCAATCTGCCTAGAGGCTGGATTTTATACAGCAGGCAATAAAGAGCAGTGAAAGATGTTTATGCAGGAAAGTTATCACGATGGATTGTGATAGGGAACTCTGACAGGAATGCAAAGAACAGCCTGGAGCAGGGGCAGACTGGTTTTAGGACCCGCTAAAATACCCTAGGCAACATTGGGAGATCCCATTTCTTTTATTATTATTATTATTATTATTATTATTATTATTATTATTATTATTATACTTTAAGTTTTAGGGTACATGTGCACATTGTGCAGGTTACATATGTATACATGTGCCATGCTGGTGCGCTGCACCCACTAACTCGTCATCTAGCATTAGGTATATCTCCCGATGCTATCCCTCCCCCCTCCCCCCACCCCACAACAGTCCCCAGAGTGTGATATTCCCCTTCCTGTGTCCATGTTAGGGAAATCCCATTTCTACCAAAAACTTTAAAAAAATTTTGCCAGGGCCAGGAACAGTGGCTCACGCCTGTAATCCCAGCACTCTGGGATGCTGAAACAGGCGGATCACTTGAGGTCAGGAGTTCGAGACCAGTCTGGCCAACATGGCAAAATCCCATCTCTGCTAAAATTACAAAAATTAGCCGGGAGTGGTACCACATGCCTCTAGTCCCAGCTACTTGGGAGGCTGAAGCAGGAGAACCGCTTGAACACAGGAAGCAGAGGTTGCAGTGAATCAAGATTGTGCCACTACACTCTAGCCTGGGTGACAGAGTGAGACTCCATCTCAAAAAAAAAGAAAAGAGAAAAAAAAAAATTAGCCATGTGTGGTGGTGCACAACTGTGGTCCCAGCTACTTGGGAAGCTGAGGTGGGAGGATTGTTTAAGCCTGGGAGATCGAGCCTGCAGTGAGCCATGATTGTACCACTGTACTCCAGCCTGGGCAACAGAGAAGGGTAGAAGACTCAGACATTTCTGTAGAAGATTAAGCCATTATCCAAGCTTGAAAATAATAAAGAATTCACTAGGGAACCCATCAGGTCCAGATGCCATTGTAGGAAGACACAGACATGCATCACTTAACATTGGGGACACATCCTGAGAAATGTGTCATTAGGGGATTTTGTGGTCATGCAAATATCATAGTCTACTTACAGAAACCTAGATGGCCTAGCCCACTACACATGTGGGCTAGACGGTATATGTTATTGCTCCTAGGTTACAAACCTGTTCAACATGCTACTGGATTGAATACTGTAGGCAATTGTAGCACAGTGGTAAGCATCTATGTATCTCAATATATCTAAACATATAAAAGGTTCAGTAAAAATATTCTATCAGTCAATGAGTGGATAAAGAAATTGTCTATACTATTCAGCCATAAAAAGGAACAAAATAGTGGCATTCGCAGCAACCTGGATGGAATTGGAGACCATTATTCTAAGTGAAGCGACTCAGGGATGGAAAATGATACATTGTATCTTCTCACTCGTAAGTGAAAGCTAAGCTATGAGGATGCAAAGGCATAAGAATAATACAATAAACTGAGGACTTGGGGGAAAGGGTGGGAGGGGGTGAGAGATAAGACTACACATTGGGTACAGTGTACACTGCTCAGGTGATGGGTGCACCAAAATCTCAGAAATCACCACTCAAGAACTTAGTCATCTAACCAAAACCCACCTGTTCCCCAAAAAATCTATTGAAATAAATAAATACAAAGTATTATAATCTTGCAGAATCACCATTGTTTATGCAGTCCATCCCTAACTAAAATGTCATTCCGCAGTGTACAATGGCATCTCTTTGACTGGGTAGATGGCTATGCCATTAACCAAGGCTAAAACTCAGTGCAGTGTGGTAGCTCATGCCTGTAATCCCAGCACTTCGGGAGGCCGAGGCAGGTGGATCATCTGAGTTCAGGAGTTGGGAGGTCAGCCTGGCCAACACGGTGAAACCCTGTGTCTACTAAAAATACAAAATTAGCCAGGTGTGGTGGTACATGCGTGTAATCCCAGCTACTCGGGAGGCTGAGGCAGGAGAATCACTTTAGCCTGGGAGAGGGAGGTTGCAGTGAGCCAGGATTTCACCACTGCACTTCAGCCTGGGCGACAGAGTAAGACCCTGTCTCAAACAAAAACAAAAACAGAAACAGAAACAGGTTTGGGCAGAAGGGGATCTCCTAACTGGCCTCTTTTTTTTTTTTTTTTTTTTGACAGAGTCTTGCTCTGTCGCCAGGCTGGAGTGCAGTGGCACGATCTTGGCTCACTGAAACCTCTGCCCCCTGGGTTCAAGCGATTCTCCTGCCTCGGCCTCCCAAGTAGCTGGGATTACAGGTGCCAGCCACCACGGCCAGCTGATTTTTGTATTTTTAGTAGAGATGGGGTTTCACCATGTTGGCCAGGATGGTCTCAATCTCTTGACCTCATGATCCATCTGTCTCGGCCTCCCAAAGTACTGGGATTACAGGTGTGAGCCTCTTGCCTTTTATTCCTCCCCTCTATTCTGTCCTCCACAATTCTCCCTCACTCTTCCACGGTCCCATATGGTTTAGGTTAAGATCAACTCCTCATTCTAATATACAAGACACTTTATGGCCTGACCCCTCCCCTTGTCTCCAGCTGTATTCCTTGCCTCTCGTCCCATCCTCAATCCTCAACATGAGCAAGTTCAAGTCACTTTACAGTTCGTCATGTGAAGCAGCACATTGCCAAGTGCCTTCATGCATCAGCTCAGACTCACACCACTGCCTGAAGCGTCTGTCTTACAGACACTCCACTCACCTAATATCTGTGCAGACACACTCATCTTTTGAGCCCTTGCTCCTCTGTGCATTCTTTGATGTCCCTGCCAGATAGAATAACCACTGTCTTCTCCTACCAGTGGACAGGTATGGGCTTCCATTATTTAAATTCAGGCACATATTTAAGTGCATAACTTTCCCACAGCTGGAAAATAAGTATTCTGATGTCAATTACAATCTCTCTCTTTTTTTAAGAGACTAGATCTTGCTCTGCCACCCCGGCTGGAGTGCGGTGATGCAAGTAGCTCACTGCAGCCTTGACTTCCTTTGCTCAAGCTATCCTCCTGCTTCAGCCTCCTGAGTAGCTGGGACTATAGGCAGGTACTAACATTCCTGGCTAATTTTTAAAAAAATTTTTTTAAGGATGGGGTCTCACTATGTTGTCCAGGCTGCTCTCTAACTCCTGGGCCTCAGGCGATCCTCCCTACTTAGCCTCCCAAAGCACTGGGATTACAGGCATGAGCCACTGTGCCCAGCCAAGAACAATACCTTATTCATCAACCCATTCTTGGTGGCTAACACAGCACTTAACATTTTCTAGCTTCTAAATAAATGTTTGGTGAAGGAATTAATCAGTGGAGAAAGATGAAAAATAAAATGAAGTCATTAGAAGTTACAAGGTGTCATTATTTAGTCCACGAATTGAAAAATGGATAAACAAAATATTGGTATATCTATCCAATGGAATATGATTCAGCCATAAAAAGAAATGAGGTACTGATACATGCTACAACATGAAGGAAACTTGAAAACATTACACTCAATGAAAGAATATTTGATATTATTCCATTTATATGAAATGTCCAAAATAAGCAAACAGAGAGAGACAGAAAGTAGATTAGTGGCTGCCTAGGGTTGGGAGATATGGCGAGATTGGAGGAGTGAATGCTAAGGGGTATTAAGTTTCTTTTTCTTTTCTTTTTTTTTTTTAGACAGGGTCTCGCTTTGTCACCCAGGCTCCAGTGGAGCGCAGTGGCGAGATCTCGGCTCACTGTGACCTCTGCCTCGTGGACTCAAGCAGTTCTCCTGCCTCAGCCTCCCAGGTAGCTGGGGCTACAGGCGCATACCGCCATGCCTGGGTAACTTTTTGTATTTTTGCTAGAAATGCGGTTTCGCCATGTTGCCCAGGCTAGTCTCAAACTCCTGAGCTCAAGCAACCCACCCTCTCTGGCCTCCCAAAGTGCTAGAATTACAGGCATGAGCCACCGCTCCTGGCCTTCAGTTTCTTTATGGAGCAACAAAAATGTTCTAAAAGTGATTACCCTGATGGACACACAGCTACGGGATTGTACAAAAAGTCATGGAATTTCATACATTAAGTGGGTGAATTGTATAGTATGTGAACAGCTCAATCAAGCTGTTACCAAAAAAGAAAAAGATGTCATATGTAGATTCAAATATAATTCTTTAACGAAGAAAAAGAAAGATCTAGAGAAGCACACTGGGAGATAGGCCCAACTGATGGTGGACATTTATCCAAGGCAGCAGGGAGAAATCGGAATGCAAATACGTGTTCACATATATTAAGTTCTTTTTATGTGCTTGCCACTATATCAAACACCTTACCTATGTAATTATTTCATCCTCATGAGTTAGATATTTTTATTCCTGATGAGAAAACTGGGTCATTTGCCCAGCAGCCCACAGTTAGTATCATGAAACCAGCACTTGAACCCAAGACAACTAGCTCCAAAATCCACACTCTTGACCTTGGCTTTGCTTATGAACTTGGAGGGTACATTAAGATTTTCCTTTTTTGTTTCTTTAAATGAGGGATAGTCTGAAAAACTCTCTAGAGAAATGAGTTTATTTTCTTTAAGAATGGATGCACTTAAAACTATGAAATTTTACCTCTGGGTAATTTTGAGTGAGTTTGGCCAGAAGTCATTTGGATTGCCCTAATTTCTTATTGCTTAATTTGTTTTCCTATATTTAATTTCCTGTTGTTTGATTTTCATTGTCAAATGGAAGGTTTGCTTTTTTTTTTTTTTTTTTTTTTTTGAGACAGAGTCTCACTCTGTCACCCAGACTGGAGTGCAGTGGCACGATCTCAGCTCACTGCAATCTCTGGCTCACTGCAACCTCCGCCTCCCAGGTTCAAGTGATTCTTCTGCCTCAGCCTTCTGAGTAGCTGGGATTACAGGCGCACACCACCACGCATGGCTAATTTTTGTATTTTTAGTAGAGACGGGGTTTTGCCATGTTGGTCGGGCTGGTCTCGAACTCCTGACCTCGTGATCCATCTGCCTTGGCCTCCCAAAGCGCTGGGATTACAGGCGTGAGCCACCACACCTGGCTGGTTTGCTTCTTTAGGCTGGTGTTACATTATGGCCGAAGAATGTGGCCTGGCTGGACATAGTGGCTCATGCCTGTAATTGAGCACTTTGGGAGGCTGAGGTGGAAGGATGGCTTGAAGCCAGGAGTTCAAGACCAGCCTAGACAACAATGTGAGTTCTTGTCCCTACAAAAAAATAAATAAATAAATAAACAAATAAAGATGGAAAATTAGCCAGGCAAGATGGTGCACACCTGTAGTTTTTGCTACCTGGGAGGCTGAGGCTGGAGGATCACTTGAGCCCAGGAGTTCAGCACTGCAGTGAGGTATGATCATGCCACTGCACTCTAGCCTGGACAATACAGAAAGATCCTGTCTCTGAAAAACAGAAAAATACAAATTAAAAATACATAAAAATAAATGTAAAAAAGAACGTGGCCTGCAGAGTTTCTGCATTGAGGAATTTAAGACACCTTTCTTCGTGGTCTAATCTAGAATCAGGTTTTGTAAAACTGCAGAACTCCTGAAAAAAAAAGGTTCATTCCCTCTTTGGAGGGGAAGTGCCTAGCGCTCCCTGATATATTAAATATAAGACTTTCATAAAAGGAAATTCCAATTTCTTCTTAAATTATTTTAAAAACAGAATGGCCTTCTCAATAGTTAAATGTTTAATGCAAGCAACATGCTTAGAAGGAAGAGGAGGAAGAATTTGTCTGAGTAATTCAAAAGGCCAGAAAGAGCTCAGTCATTTGTAATCAGATATTTCAATACTTGCAAGGCTTTTTACTTTGGCATGATGAATGGCCATAAAAAACTATACACCTTCATGTAAAAGACGTTGGCTTCCTCTGCTCTTTACATAATCAATTTGACATTTGAATTTTGGCAAAGGATCGCAGGTACCTTGCTTTATTTATTACCTGAGATTAGATAAAAACATCACTGTTATCAAGCCATACCAGGCTTCTTCCTAAAATCATGTGCAATTTTTCAAGTAAGGATCACTTTGTCCTGACATCGAACTCTCCCAAACAGGATTTCCAAGTATATTATACATAGAAGCCACATTCTCCTCCCTCCCTCCCTTCTCTTTCCCGTCTGCTATAACCACCCCCCACCCTTTAAAATAACCCACTCCCAGCAATTCTACCTTCTACCAACTGTGACATTTATAGCATGGGACCCACCTAAAAAAGAAAAAGGGATTACTAAAGGATTCATCATCAAAACTGGGCCAGAAAAGAGAAGCACTCTCAGGCACCAACTGTGTCACTTTGCACACTATATGATCAATACTGAAAGGCAGATGGGTGCCCTAGGACCACAGGCTTGCTTTCATTTGGGATGGGAAGATTTTTAACACTGGGAAAGGGCTACAGCCAGAGAAAAGCACTGAGGAGGTCATCAAGCTCTCACTAATCCCTGTACTTACCTCTGTGCTCTCAAAGGCACCCTTAAGAAAGGATCTGTCCAGAACCATCTGAAGAATGAGTAGAGGTTTAAAATGGTAAATTCTGGCTGGGCGCAGTGGCTCATGCCTGTAATCCCAGCACGTTGGGAGGCAGAGGCAGGTAGATCACTTGAGGTCAGCAGTTCGAGATCAGCTTGGCCAACATGGTGAAAGCCCATCTCTACTAAAAATACAAAAACTAGCTGGGCGTGGTGGTGGGCGCCTGTAATCCAAGTTACTTGGGAGGTGGAGGCAGGAGAATTGTTTGAACCTGAGAGGTGAAGGTTGCAGTGAGCTGAGATTGCACCACTGCACTCCAGCCTGGATGACAGAGCGAGACCCTGTCTCAAACAACACATCAATCAATCAATCAATCAATAAGTTCTAATGCCCACTCTCCCAGTTTCCCATGAAAGGCTACAATCCAAAAATACAGAACCTCAGCTCTCTCTCCAAAACTAAGCCAATGGTCAAACAGCCTAAATCTAGAAGGAACTGGCCAAGCACAGTGGCTCACAACTGTAATCCCAGTGCTTGGCAGGCTGAGCCGGGGGGCATTGCTCGAGACCAGGAGTTCGAGACAAGGAGTTCAAGACCAGCTTGGGCAACATAGTGAGACCACATCTCTACAAACAATTAAAAAGTTAGCCACAGTGGTGCCCGTCTGTAATCCCAGCTATTCAGAAGGCTGAAGCAAAAGAATCACTTGAGCCCAGGAGTTCGAGCCTGGGCAACATAGCAAGAAGCTATCTCTACAAAATATTTAAAAAATTAGCCAGGCGTAGTGGTGCAAACCTGTAGTCCTAGCTACTTGGGAGGATCGCTGGAGCCCAGGAGGTCAAGATCACAGCTGCAGTGAGCTGTGATTGCACCACTATACTCCAGCCTGGGAGACAGAGTCCCAACAAACAAAACAACAACAACAAAATCCACAACTGAGCCAACGGTCAAACTATAGCCTAACTCTAGATGGAATCCCTATACTGCAGCCCAAACTATAAGGCTTGTCCTGGTTCTACCTCATGAAACAATGACGGGCAGCCTGCAAGGTTAGCAGAATTCTCAAGCGACCTCTACTATGCCCCCTTCAATCTTCAAAGAAGAAATGGACTTTGCAGCTTCTATGGCAGTCTGCAATTCCCCTTATCCTACCGCCTCTCCACTATATCTCACCTTTCTTCATAAATGTTGATGCCCCGACAAATCAACTCAAAAAAAGCCAAATTAATATGAAATTGGGGGGAGTGGAGGGGAGTGGCAATGACACATTTTTGAGACAGCATGTATGGTGACATGATGGTGAAGAGCCCAGTCTCTCTAGTCAGTCAGCCAGGGGTGAATCCCAGCGTTACCACCTACTAGCTGTGCAACGATGGGCAAATACCTTAACCTCTCCAAGCCTCCTTCCTCTCTGTGAACTAGAAATGTTAATAGTGCCTACCTCATATTTTAAAACATGTGAAGTCCTTGGAAGAATGCTTAACCATAGTGAGCACTCAGTTTATTATTTCTAGGTTTCAAGCACCTTACAAATAGTGTCTCGTATTATTTCATTTAATCATCCCAAAGATGCTTTGAGCTCCACTGTGTGGATGAACAAACTGAGACTTAGAGTAGCTCCATAACTAGCTCAAGGTAATGGAGCTGGTGGGGTGGAGCTGGGGCTTGAGCTGAGATCTGCCATCAAAGCCCAGGTTCTACCAGTGCACCATGCTATGCCCCTGGGGGATGCGGTCTCCATGAAAAAAAAACACACATGGAGACAAAGAAAACACCAACCCTGGCAGCAGCAAACAATGATGATGGCTGTTTTTCAAGTGCTCTGTTGGTTTAAAGCAAGGAAGAACCAGACAGTGGGAAAAGAACAGGATGTCACATGTCAAAGCTGTAGCTATATTATACACTGGGCTTGTGAATTTGTTTCTCCCTGAGGAAAGCAACTTGGAGATTTCTCAAAGAGCTAAAATTAGAATTATCATTCCATCCAGCAATCTCATTACTGGGATATACCCAAAGGAAAATAAATCATTCTACCAAAAAGACACCTGTTACTCACATGTTTATTGCAGCACTATTCACAATAGCAAAGACATGGAATCAACCTAGGTGCCCATCAACAGTGGATTGGATAATGTAGTATATACACACCATGACATACTATGCAGCTGTAAAAAAGAATGAAATCATGTCCTTTGCAGGCAACATGAGTGCAGCTGGAGGCCATTATCCTAAGTGAATTAACTCAGGAACAGAAAACCAAATGCTGCATATTCTCACTTATAAGTAAGAACTAAATATTAGGTACTCACAGACACAAAGATGGGAACAAGAGATACTGGAGACTACTGGAGGGGTTGGGGGAAGGGTTGAAAAACTATTGTGCAGGGCACGGTGGCTCACGTCTGTAATCTCAGCACTTTGGGAGGCCGAGGTGGGTGGATCACTTGAGGTCAGACATTCAAGACCAGCCTGGTCAAAATAGTGAAACCCCATCTCTATTTAAAATATGCAAAACTTAGCCAGGCATGGTGGTGCGCACCTATAATCCCAGCTACTCGGGAGGCTGAGGCAGGAGGATCGCTTGAACCTGGTAGGCAAAGGCTGCAGTGAGCTGAGATTGTGCCACTCCAGCCGGGATGACAGAGTGAGACTCCATTTCGGAAAAAAAAAGAAAGAAAAAAAAGAAAAAGAAAAACTATTTATTGGGTACTATGCTCACTACCTGGGTGACAGATCAATTGTATCCCAAACCTCAGCATCATGAATACATCCATGTAACAAACATACCCATGTACAACCTTGAATCTGATTAAAAAAAAAAAAAAAAAAAGCAGTAACTGTAGTAAGCAAAAGCCAGCTAGAACCTG
Organism: Homo sapiens; assembly: GCF_000001405.40. Classification (NCBI taxonomy): domain Eukaryota; kingdom Metazoa; phylum Chordata; class Mammalia; order Primates; family Hominidae; genus Homo; species Homo sapiens. The sequence continues at coordinate 72,201,794 of NC_000007.14, forward strand.
GAACCTAAATTTGGAACATCATACATCAAACTCCCCTCTAGCCTTAGAAGTGGAACTCACCATACATCACCCAAGAGGACAGAAGACGCAGCCTGGAGCAACCCACACTCCCTATCTGTTGGCAAGAACTACGTCCGGACAGACCTTGCTTTGAAATAAAGCGGGAAACTGACATGGAGATGCGTAAAACCCTTTCAAAACCATATCACAAAGTCTCAGTGGGAGGAGCAAGCCTCAAAACAATTCAAGGACACGTGGACTTCATGAAATGTGAGTAAACATCTATAGTGAGAGAGCCTCCTAAAGGAAAAATGAAATGGAAGGAGATAAAAAGGGATACAAGTAACATAAGATTTGCAAGAAACCAAAAAGCATTTAAATATCCACATGGAGATATTTATCAGCAAGACTGATACCGCAGGAAAATCAAATCAGTGATATTAAGAATACACTTGAGAAGTTCTCCAAGAATGTAGAGGAAAAGGATAAAAGAATGAAAGTAATGAGAATGACAGCTCTGTGAAATCCAATTTTAAAACTCCAATATAAATATAATAAATTTTTCAGAATAGAGTAGAACAAAAACAACAAACTAATGAAAAAAAGAAATAGAAAACATCTTTTCTTGACCTTTAGAAAAATCATGTTCTATAAAAAGAGATCCTCACATAGACATATCCTGGCAGAATATGTATTGAAATGCTGGAAAACTTTAAACCATTGCTGGATCTGAGAAAAGTACTTAGAACTGAATGAAAATCAGACTGACCCTGGCTTTTCCTCTGTGATAGAAAGTTCAGGAAAACACCAGAATACCATCTACACAGTTGAGGGGAAGGGTTAGAAACCCAAGGAGTAAACCAGAGACTTTGAAAACACACTTGTGTAGTCTGACATCTGTGAAAATAACATGCTTGGCTGTTTTTGCTTTGAGAGTACATATCACCAATAAGCAGCTTAAGAAAAATATCACCTTAGTTCCACCATTATAGAAGACAGTGTGGCGATTCCTCAAGGATCTAGAACCAGAAATACTATTTTACCCAGCATACCCAAAGGGTTATAAATCATTCTACTATAAAGACACATGCACACATGTTTATTGCAGCACTATTTACAATAGCAAAGACTTGGAACCAACCCAAATGCCCATCGATGATAAACTGGATAAAGAAAATGTGGCACATATACACCATGGAATACTATGCAGCCATAAAAAAGAATGAGTTCGTGTCTTTTGCAGGGACATGGATAAAACTGGAAACCATCCTTCTCAGCCAACTAACACAGGAACAGAAAACCAAATACCACATGTTCTCACTCATAAGTGGGAGCTGAACAATGAGAACACATGGACACAGGGAGGGGAACACCACACACCAGGGCCTGTCGGGGGGTGAGGGCAAGGGGAGGGAGAGCATTAGGACAAATACCTAATGCATGCGGGGCTTAAAATCTAGATCATGGGTTGATGAGTGCAGCAAACCACCATGGCATATGTATACCTATGTAACAAACCTGCACATTCTGCACATGTATCCCAGAACTTAAAGTAAAATAAAAAATTAAAAAATCACCTTAAATTTACGCGAAACAATGAGTAGGTCATAGGTCATGCTATTTGTGGGTTTTCCTTGAAAAATTTAGTTCCCAAACTCCGGCAGGTTTGGGGTGGGCTAAGGACTGCCAGGATGTTTCTGGGGACCTGCAATACTTCCCTTGATAACTCCCCTTCTCCCTGGTTTCTGCCAACTTCCAGAAACCAGAAACCATGCTCCCTGGATCACATCCTGACTACTACAGTCCACACCAAGTTTTCCAACCAGTTAAAACAATCCCTGGTGCTTCTCTATTTCACTCTAATTAGCAAGGGCTAAATTATGTACACTGCTGGATGCTGTACGAAAATTAATACAAAGAGCTTTATTCCTCCTTCCCAAACAGGGCAACATCAT